>NC_000010.11:133341576-133690466 GCF_000001405.40 Homo sapiens | reverse complement strand
GATCACCCAGGTGATGTAACACTTGTGTTGGATCTGCCTATAGGGGCATTGTGACATATTTCTGCACTGATCACCCAGGTGATGGGACTCTTGTCTAGGCTCTGTGTATGGGGGCTTTCTGACATATCTCTGCACTGATCACCCAGGTGATGTAACGCTTGACTAGGCTCTGCCTACGGGGCATAGTGACATATCGCTGCATTGATCACCGAGGTGATGTAACTCTTGTCCAGGCTCTGCCTATAGGGGGCCTTGTGACGTATCTCTGCACTGATCATCTAGGTGATGTAACTCTTGCTTACGCTCTGCCTGCAGGGGCATTGTGAAATATCTCTTTACTGATCAACCAGATGATGTAACTCTTGTCTAGGCTCTGCCTACAGAGGGCATTGTGGCATAACTCTGCACTGATCACCCAGGTGATGGGACTCTTCTCTAGGCTCTGCCTACTGGCGGCATTGTCACATATTTCTGCACTGATCACCCAGGTGACTGACTCTTGTCTTGGATTTGCCTATGGGGGCAATGTGACATATCTCTGCACTGATCACCCAGGTGATGTAACTCTAGTCTAAGCTCTGCCTAAAGGGGCATTGTGACAGATCTCTGCACTGATCACTCAGGTGATGTAACTATTGTCTAGGCTCTGCTTAAAGGGGCCTTGTCACATATCTCTGCACTGATCACCCAGGTGATGTAACTCTTGTCTAGGCTCTGCTTACAGGGGGTATTGTGACATATCTCTGCACTGATCACCTAAGTGATGTAATACTTGTGTAGGCTTGCCTACAGGGGCATTTTGACATATCTCTGCACTGTTAACCGAGGTGATGTAACTCTTGTCTAGGCTGTGCCCACAGGGGGATTGAGACATATCTCTGCACTGATCCCGAGGTGATCCAACTCTTGCCTGGTCTCTGTCTACTGGGGACATTGTGACATATCTCTGCACTGATCTCCCAGGTGCTGTAACTTTTGCCTAGGCTCTGGCTACACAGCATTGTGACATATCACTGCACTGATCAACCAGGTGATATAACTCTTGTCTAGGCTCTGCCTACAGGGGGCTTGTGACATATCTCTGCACTGATCACCCAGGTGATATAACTCTTCTCTAGGATCTGCTTACAGGGTGCTTTGTGACATATCCCTGCAATGATCACCCAGGTGATGTACCACTTGTCAAGGCTCTGCCTACAGGGGCATTGCGATGTATCTCTGCACTGATCACCTAGGTCATGTAACTCTTGTCTAGGCTCTGCCTACAGTGGCATTGTGACATATCTCTGCACTGATCACCCAGGTCATGTAACTCTTGTCTAGGATCTGCCTACAGGGTGCTTTGTGACATATCCCTGCAATGATCACCCAGGTGATGTACCACTTGTCAGGGCTCTGCCTACAGGGGCATTGCAATGTATCTCTGCACTGATCACCTGGGTCATATAACTCTTGTCTAGGCTCTGCCTACAGTGGCATTGTGACATATCTCTGCACTGATCACCCAAGTAATGGGACTCTTTTCTAGGATCTGCCTAAAGGGACTTTGTGACATAACTCTGCACTAATCATCCAGGTGATGGGGCTTTTGTCTAGGCTCTGCCTAAGGGGGCATTGTGACGTATTTCTGCACTGATCACCCAGGAGACGGACTCTTGTCTTGGATCTGCCTATGGGGGCATTGTGACATATATCTGCACTGATCACCCAGGTGATGTAACTGTTGTATAAGCTCTGCCTACAGGGGAATTGTGAGAGATCTCGCCACTGATCACCCAAGTGATGTAACTATTGTCTAGGCTTTGGCCTACAGGGGGCTTTGTGACATACCTTTGCTCTGATCACCCAGGTGATGTAACTCATCTAAGCTCTGCCTACAGGAGCTTTGTGACATATCTCTGCACTGATCACTTAGGTGATGTAACACTTTTATAAGCACTGCCTACAGGGAATTTCGACAAATCTCTGCACTGATCACCTAGGTGATGTAACTCTTGTCTACCCTCTGCCTACAGGGGGCGTTGTGAAATATCTCTGCACTGATCACCCAGGTGATGCAACTCTTGTCTAGGATCTGCCTACAGGGGGTATTGTGAAATATCTCTGCACTGATCAACTAGGTGATGTAACTCTTGTCTAAGCTCTGCCTACAGGGGCGTTTTCACATATCCCTGAACTGATGACAAAGGTGATGTAACTCTTGCCTAGGCTTTGCCTACAGGGGACATTGTGACATATCTCTGCACTGATCACCCAGGTGGTGCAACTCTTCTCTGTGCTCTGCCTACAGGGGACATTGTGACATATCTCTACACTGATCACCCAGGTGATGCAACTCTTCTCTATGCTCTGCCTACAGGGGGCATTGTGACATATCTCTGCACTGATCACCCAGGTAATGTAACTCTTTTCTAGTCTCTGCCTACAGAGGACGTTGTGACATCACTCTGCACGGATCACCTGGGTTATGTAACTCTTGTCTAGGCTCTGCCTACAGGGGCATTGTGACGTATCTCTGCACTGATCACCGAGGTGATGCAACTCTTGTCTGGGATCTGCTTACAGGGGGCATTGTGACATATCTCTGCCCTGATCACCCAGGTGATGTAACTCTTGTCTAGGCTCTGCCTACTGGAGACATTGTGACATATCTCCGCACTGATCACCCAGGTGATGTCACTTTTGTCAAGGATATGGCTACAGGGACATTGTGACATATCTCTGCACTGATCACCCAGGTGATGTAACCCTTGTCTAGGCTCTGCCAAAAAGGGGCATTGTGACATAACTCTGCACTGATCACCCAGGTGATGGGACTCTTGTCTAGGCTCTGCCTACAGGGGCATTGTGATATATCTCTGCAGTGATCACGCAGGTGATGTAACTCTTGTCTATATCTGCCTACTGGCGGCATTGTGGCATATTTCTGCACTGATCACCCAGGTGATGGACTCTTGTCTTGGATCTGCCTATGGGGGCATAGTGACATAACTCTGCAATGATCACTCATGTGATGTAACGCTTGTCTAAGCTGTGCCTAAAGGGGAATTGTGACACATATCTCCACTGATCACCCAGGTGATGTAACAATTTTCTGGGATTTGTCTACAGGGGGCTTTGTGACATATCTTTGCACTGATCACCCAGGAGATGTAACTCTTGTCTAGACTCGACCTACAGGGGCTTTGTGACATATTTCTGCACTGATAACCCAGGTGATGTAACTCTTGTCTAGGCTCTGCCTACAGGGGCTTTGTGACATATTTCTGTACTGATCACCCAGGTGATGTAACTCTTGTCTAGGCCCCACCTACAGGGGGTATTGTGACGTATCTCTGCAATGATCACCCAGGTGATGTAACACTCATCTAGGCTCTGCCTACAGGGGCGTTTTGACATAGCTCTGCACAGATCATCTAGGTGATGTAACTCTTGTCCACTCTCTGCCTACAGGGGGCATTGTGAAATATCTCTGCACTGATCACCCAGGTGATGGGACTCTTCTCTATACTCTGCCTAGAGGGGGATTTGTGACATATCTCTGCACTGATCACCCAGGTGATGGAAGTCTTGCCTAGGCTCTGTCTATGGGGGCATTGTGTCAAATATCTGCACTGATCACCCAGGTGAAGTAACTCTTGTCTAGGCTCTGTCTACAGGGATTTTTGTGACATATCACTGCACTGATCACCTAGGTGATGTAAACCTTGTATGGGCTTTGCCTACAGAAGGCTTTGTGACATATCTATGCACTGATCTCTGAGGTGATTCAACTCTTGTCTAGGCACTGCCTACAGGGGACACTGGTACATATCTCTGCACTGATCACCCAGGTGATGGACGCTTGTCTTAGATCTGCCTACATGGACATTCTGACACATCTCTGAACTGATCAACCAAGTGATGAAACTCTTGTCTAGGCTCTGCCTACAGGGGCTTTGTGACACATCTCTGCACTGATCATCCTGAGGAGGGAACTCTTGTCTACGCTCTGCCTACAGGAGGCTTTATGACTAATAATTACACTGATAAACTAGGTGATGTAACACTTGTCTAGGCTCTGCCTACACGGGAATTCTCACATATCTCTGCACTGATAACCTAGGTGATGTAACACTTGTCTAGGCCCTGCCTACAAGGGAATTCTCACGTATCTCTGCACTGATCCCCCAGGTGATGTAACTCCTGTCTAGGTTCAGCCTACAGGAGCGTTTTGACATATCTCTGCACTGATCACCCAGATGATGTAACACTTGTCTCAGCTCTGCCTACAGGGGCATTGTGACAGATCTCTCCAATGCTCACTCAGGAGATGTAAAAATTGTCTGGGCTTTGTCTACAGGGGGCTTTGTGATATATATTTCCACTGATCAAACAGGTGATGTAACCCTTGTCAAGGTTTGGCTTATAGGGGCTTTGTGAGATATCTCTGCACTGATCAGCCCAGGCAGGGAACACTTGCCTACACTCTGCCTACAGGAGGCTTTATGACTTATCCCTGCACTGATCACTAGGTGATGTAACAATTGTCTAGGCTCTGTCTACACGAGAATTTTAACATATCTCTACACTGATCACCTAAGTGATGTAACCATTCTCTAGGTTCAGTCTACTATGGAGTTCTGAAACACATCTGCACTGATCACCGAAGTTATGTAAATCAATTTCAGGCTTTTTCTACAGGGGATATTGTGACATATCTCTGCACTGATCACACAAAAGATGCAAATCCTCTATAGGATCCACAGGGAGGGGGAATTTTGATATATCTCTGAACTAATCATCCAGGAGATGTAACTCTAATCCAGGTTTGCCTAGACAGCCTCGGAAGGTGGGGGGAGAGATTCAGCCAGAATTTCACGGACGAACAAGGGCACAGAGAGGCCAGCGAGCTCCCTTGCACGTCACCCGGGGTGCGCACTGCGCGCAGGTCTAGCCAGGAAGCGGGCAAAGACAGACAGAGGTATGCTTTTGACCGCCAGGCGCTCCGTGCTGGCACCTGGGCGGCTGCAGGGGCCCGGGCGGGCGGGCGACGGTGGCGCGGGGGCGCAGAGGAGGCGAGCCGCCGGAGCGGTGTCAGGCCCGGACGCTGCGCGGGGCCCGGTGTTTCGCGGGACGGGGGTCTCCACCCAGCCCAGGGGACGACGCGTTTTCCGGGGGCGGGGGGTGGGGGTGGGGAGGGGGCGGTCAGGCGGCGGGGTGGGCTGGTGGAGAGGCAGGAGAGCTCTGCCCGGGCTGCTCCCACAGCCCAGGCGGCTGCCCGCAAACCCGCGCGTGCGCAGTAGGCGGCCCACCTGCTGGTACCTGGGCCGGCTCTGGGATCCCCGGGATGCCCAGGAAAGAATGGCAGTTCTCCGCTGTGTGGAGTCTCTCACCGGGCCTAGGCCTAGAAGGCAGGAATCCCAGGCCGGTCAGCCCGGTGGAGGGGGCGGGGCGGAGACACGCCCCTCCGTAGCCAGCCAGGCGTTCCCCGCGAAAGAGAGGCCACCGCCCTGCCCCGAACCACCCGACCCCGTCCCAACCCCGCGTCCTAAAGCTCCTCCAGCAGAGCCCGGTATTCTTCCTCGCTGAGGGGTGCTTCCAGCGAGGCGGCCTCTTCCGAGGCCTCCAGCTCCCCCGGGGCCTCCGTTTCTAGGAGAGGTTGCGCCTGCTGCAGAAACTCCGGGCTCGCCAGGAGCTCATCCAGCAGCAGGCCGCAGGGGAGTGCAGACCAGGGCGCCGGCTCCTGGAGCGCCTGGGAGGGCGCCGGGATGCCTTGCATCTGCCCCTGCCGCGCGGAGGCGTCCGGGGGCGCGGGCTGGGGAGGTGGAGCTGCCCCGGCTTGGGGTTCCCACGCCGCCCCGGCGACCTGGGGACCCCGGCCCCAGCCCCACCACGGACTCCCCTGGGACGTGGGTGGCGCAAGCACCCCTTGGCCCTGCGGCCCCGCTTGAGCGGGCCCAGGCTGTGCCACCGCGCAGGGGCCCGGCAGGCCGTCGCGCTGCGGGTCCCGGTCCTCCCGGCTTTTGCCCGGGTGCGGAGGCCACCGAGGAGCCTGAGGGTGGGAGAGCGCCCCGTCCGGAGGAGCCGGGGCGGCGTAGGCGAAATCCCCGCGCGCCGGGGCAGGTTGGGAGATCCCCTCTGCCGGCGCGGCCTGGCTGGGCTGCAGCGCGGGGGCGGCCCTCGCTGCCTGGCTCACGAAAGCCCCCTGTGGGAGAGCCCCAGGCGCGCAGGGCACGTGGGGTGCGGGAAGCCCCGTTCCCCACGCGCCGGTGTGGGCGAAGGCGACCCACGAGGGAGCAGGGTGACCCCCGCCGGGGGCCGCGCTGCACAGGCCGCCTGCCTGCGCGGGCGCCCTGCCACCCTGTCCCGGGTGCCTGGCCCTTCGATTCTGAAACCAGATCTGAATCCTGGACTCCGGGAGGCCCGTCTCTCTGGCCAGCTCCTCCCGGGCGGCGATGCCTGGAAAGCGATCCTTCTCAAAGGCTCGGAGGAGCAGGGCGGTCTGGGATCCGGTGACGGCGGTCCGCTTTCGCCGGCCTTCTGGCGGGCCGCGTCTCCCGGGCCAGGGCCGAGATTCCCGCCGGTGCTGCCTCAGCTGGCGTGACCTCTCATTCTGAAACCAAATCTGGACCCTGGGCTCCGGAATGCCGATGGCCTGGGCCAGCCGTTCTCTGGTGGCGATGCCCGGGTACGGGTTCCGCTCAAAGCAGGCTCGCAGGGCCTCGCTTTGGCTCGGGGTCCAAACGAGTCTCCGTCGCCGTCCTCGTCCCCGGGCTTCCGCGGGGAGGGTGCTGTCCGAAGGTGTCGGGAGGGCCATCGCGGTGAGCCCCGGCCGCAATTTCACGGACGGACGCGGGCAGAGAGAGGCCGGCGGGCTCCCGTGCACCTCAGCCGGACTGTGCACTGCGGCAGGTGCAGCCAGGAGGCCTGCCCGGACAGCCAGCCAGCCAGCCAGCCGCCCTTGTAAAGGCCCACGGGCAGGCAGGCTCCACCCCTTCATGAATGGCGGTGAGCCCCCCTGGGACAGCCCGCCCCACCCCGGAAGGGACCCAGGGCGTCGAGGCCTGGGGCCGGCCGGCGGGGTGGTGGTGGTGGTGGTGGTGGGGGGGGGGTGGTGGTGGGGGAGGGCGTGGTGGCGGTGGTGGTGGTGGGGCCGGAGAGACGAAGAGGAAGGTGGAGAGGGGGGAGGGGGGAGGGGGGCGCGTTTCGGGGGCCGGCTCTCCGGACCTCTCCAGGGATCCCGCGGGAACGGGAAGCCGCTCTCTGGGCTCCCACGCGTCGGCAGCAGGGAGAAACCAGCCTGGGAGGGTGGAGGGGAGTGTGGAACTGAACCTCCGTGGGAGTCTTGAGTGTGCCAGGCCCTCTCTCCGTGAAGGAGGCAATGCCTGTGGGCGTCGCCGTTGCCGGGACGGTCTCGCACACGCAGGCGTGTGGCTCTCGTTCATTTCCACGTAGAAGACCAGAGCGAGACCCCAGAGAGGAGATGCCTCCCCGGCGTGATGGCCTGACGATGGATTCCCGCGTGCGGCAACGTGGGGAGTCTGCAGTGTGGCCGGTTTGGAACCTGGCAAGGAGAGCGAAGGCACCGTGCCGGGCTTGCACCCTCCCCTGCATGTTTCCGGGTGCCCGCAGAGCTCCGGGAGCAAACAGTCGGCATGGCCAGCCTTTCGGGGGCCGGAGAGACGTGAGCAACAGGCCGCCTTGCAGAGGGCAAAGCCACGCGGAAACCAAAATCACGCCTCCGTCGTCCTGCGTGTGGCTCCTCCGTGGCCGGGGCTGTCGGCCTCGCGCCGCGTTGCAGGGCTCAGCCTGGGGATGTGCGGTCTGTGAACCGCGCGGGTGAAAACCCGACGGCAACCCGAGTCCCGGTCTTTTGTCCCGGAGGAAACCGCCCACTCCCTGGGCCCCGGAACCGGGGCGAATGGGTGGTGCCCCGCCGGCCGGCGCGGCGGCTGTGGGCCCAGCCCTCAGCCCGCGCCGGACGCTGACCGTTTTCCCGGAGGGCGGGGGTCCCGCTACTCCCGGAGGCCGAAGACCGCTTTTCCTCCCTGCCTTCCTCCCCCCGTCCCCGGCTCCCTCCCGCCCGCCCCCAGTCCCTGCGTCGCTCTGTCTTTCCCTCCGTTCCTCCCTGCCTCCCTGCCTCCCTGCCTCCCTCCCTCCCTCCTAACGTCCCTCCGCCCATCCTTCCGCCCCTCTAGGTCTCCCGTTCCTCTCTCCATCTCTGCCCGCCTTCCCTCCCGCCTGGAACGCTCAGCGTCCCCGGTGTGCGCCGGGCCTGGGGTCTGCGTTCCGCCGCCAGGCGCTCCGTGCTGGCACCTGGGCGGCTGCAGGGGCCCGGGCGGGCGGGCGACGGTGGCGCGGGGGCGCAGAGGAGGCGAGCCGCCGGAGCGGTGTCAGGCCCGGACGCTGCGCGGGGCCCGGTGTTTCGCGGGACGGGGGTCTCCACCCAGCCCAGGGGACGACGCGTTTTCCGGGGGCGGGGGGTGGGGGTGGGGAGGGGGCGGTCAGGCGGCGGGGTGGGCTGGTGGAGAGGCAGGAGAGCTCTGCCCGGGCTGCTCCCACAGCCCAGGCGGCTGCCCGCAAACCCGCGCGTGCGCAGTAGGCGGCCCACCTGCTGGTACCTGGGCCGGCTCTGGGATCCCCGGGATGCCCAGGAAAGAATGGCAGTTCTCCGCTGTGTGGAGTCTCTCACCGGGCCTAGGCCTAGAAGGCAGGAATCCCAGGCCGGTCAGCCCGGTGGAGGGGGCGGGGCGGAGACACGCCCCTCCGTAGCCAGCCAGGCGTTCCCCGCGAAAGAGAGGCCACCGCCCTGCCCCGAACCACCCGACCCCGTCCCAACCCCGCGTCCTAAAGCTCCTCCAGCAGAGCCCGGTATTCTTCCTCGCTGAGGGGTGCTTCCAGCGAGGCGGCCTCTTCCGAGGCCTCCAGCTCCCCCGGGGCCTCCGTTTCTAGGAGAGGTTGCGCCTGCTGCAGAAACTCCGGGCTCGCCAGGAGCTCATCCAGCAGCAGGCCGCAGGGGAGTGCAGACCAGGGCGCCGGCTCCTGGAGCGCCTGGGAGGGCGCCGGGATGCCTTGCATCTGCCCCTGCCGCGCGGAGGCGTCCGGGGGCGCGGGCTGGGGAGGTGGAGCTGCCCCGGCTTGGGGTTCCCACGCCGCCCCGGCGACCTGGGGACCCCGGCCCCAGCCCCACCACGGACTCCCCTGGGACGTGGGTGGCGCAAGCACCCCTTGGCCCTGCGGCCCCGCTTGAGCGGGCCCAGGCTGTGCCACCGCGCAGGGGCCCGGCAGGCCGTCGCGCTGCGGGTCCCGGTCCTCCCGGCTTTTGCCCGGGTGCGGAGGCCACCGAGGAGCCTGAGGGTGGGAGAGCGCCCCGTCCGGAGGAGCCGGGGCGGCGTAGGCGAAATCCCCGCGCGCCGGGGCAGGTTGGGAGATCCCCTCTGCCGGCGCGGCCTGGCTGGGCTGCAGCGCGGGGGCGGCCCTCGCTGCCTGGCTCACGAAAGCCCCCTGTGGGAGAGCCCCAGGCGCGCAGGGCACGTGGGGTGCGGGAAGCCCCGTTCCCCACGCGCCGGTGTGGGCGAAGGCGACCCACGAGGGAGCAGGGTGACCCCCGCCGGGGGCCGCGCTGCACAGGCCGCCTGCCTGCGCGGGCGCCCTGCCACCCTGTCCCGGGTGCCTGGCCCTTCGATTCTGAAACCAGATCTGAATCCTGGACTCCGGGAGGCCCGTCTCTCTGGCCAGCTCCTCCCGGGCGGCGATGCCTGGAAAGCGATCCTTCTCAAAGGCTCGGAGGAGCAGGGCGGTCTGGAATCCGGTGACGGCGGTCCGCTTTCGCCGGCCTTCTGGCGGGCCGCGTCTCCCGGGCCAGGGCCGAGATTCCCGCCGGTGCTGCCTCAGCTGGCGTGACCTCTCATTCTGAAACCAAATCTGGACCCTGGGCTCCGGAATGCCGATGGCCTGGGCCAGCCGTTCTCTGGTGGCGATGCCCGGGTACGGGTTCCGCTCAAAGCAGGCTCGCAGGGCCTCGCTTTGGCTCGGGGTCCAAACGAGTCTCCGTCGCCGTCCTCGTCCCCGGGCTTCCGCGGGGAGGGTGCTGTCCGAAGGTGTCGGGAGGGCCATCGCGGTGAGCCCCGGCCGCAATTTCACGGACGGACGCGGGCAGAGAGAGGCCGGCGGGCTCCCGTGCACCTCAGCCGGACTGTGCACTGCGGCAGGTGCAGCCAGGAGGCCTGCCCGGACAGCCAGCCAGCCAGCCAGCCGCCCTTGTAAAGGCCCACGGGCAGGCAGGCTCCACCCCTTCATGAATGGCGGTGAGCCCCCCTGGGACAGCCCGCCCCACCCCGGAAGGGACCCAGGGCGTCGAGGCCTGGGGCCGGCCGGCGGGGTGGTGGTGGTGGTGGTGGTGGTGGTGGTGTGGGGTGGGGGGGGTGGTGGGGGAGGGCGTGGTGGCGGTGGTGGTGGTGGGGCCGGAGAGACGAAGAGGAAGGGGGAGAGGGGGGAGGGGGGAGGGGGGCGCGTTTCGGGGGCCGGCTCTCCGGACCTCTCCAGGGATCCCGCGGGAACGGGAAGCCGCTCTCTGGGCTCCCACGCGTCGGCAGCAGGGAGAAACCAGCCTGGGAGGGTGGAGGGGAGTGTGGAACTGAACCTCCGTGGGAGTCTTGAGTGTGCCAGGCCCTCTCTCCGTGAAGGAGGCAATGCCTGTGGGCGTCGCCGTTGCCGGGACGGTCTCGCACACGCAGGCGTGTGGCTCTCGTTCATTTCCACGTAGAAGACCAGAGCGAGACCCCAGAGAGGAGATGCCTCCCCGGCGTGATGGCCTGACGATGGATTCCCGCGTGCGGCAACGTGGGGAGTCTGCAGTGTGGCCGGTTTGGAACCTGGCAAGGAGAGCGAAGGCACCGTGCCGGGCTTGCACCCTCCCCTGCATGTTTCCGGGTGCCCGCAGAGCTCCGGGAGCAAACAGTCGGCATGGCCAGCCTTTCGGGGGCCGGAGAGACGTGAGCAACAGGCCGCCTTGCAGAGGGCAAAGCCACGCGGAAACCAAAATCACGCCTCCGTCGTCCTGCGTGTGGCTCCTCCGTGGCCGGGGCTGTCGGCCTCGCGCCGCGTTGCAGGGCTCAGCCTGGGGATGTGCGGTCTGTGAACCGCGCGGGTGAAAACCCGACGGCAACCCGAGTCCCGGTCTTTTGTCCCGGAGGAAACCGCCCACTCCCTGGGCCCCGGAACCGGGGCGAATGGGTGGTGCCCCGCCGGCCGGCGCGGCGGCTGTGGGCCCAGCCCTCAGCCCGCGCCGGACGCTGACCGTTTTCCCGGAGGGCGGGGGTCCCGCTACTCCCGGAGGCCGAAGACCGCTTTTCCTCCCTGCCTTCCTCCCCCCGTCCCCGGCTCCCTCCCGCCCGCCCCCAGTCCCTGCGTCGCTCTGTCTTTCCCTCCGTTCCTCCCTGCCTCCCTGCCTCCCTGCCTCCCTCCCTCCCTCCTAACGTCCCTCCGCCCATCCTTCCGCCCCTCTAGGTCTCCCGTTCCTCTCTCCATCTCTGCCCGCCTTCCCTCCCGCCTGGAACGCTCAGCGTCCCCGGTGTGCGCCGGGCCTGGGGTCTGCGTTCCGCCTCCAGGCGCTCCGTGCTGGCACCTGGGCGGCTGCAGGGGCCCGGGCGGGCGGGCCACGGTGGCGCGGGGGCGCAGAGGAGGCGAGCCGCCGGAGCGGTGTCAGGCCCGGACGCTGCGCGGGGCCCGGTGTTTCGCGGGACGGGGGTCTCCACCCAGCCCAGGGGACGACGCGTTTTCCGGGGGCGGGGGGTGGGGGTGGGGAGGGGGCGGTCAGGCGGTGGGGTGGGCTGGTGGAGAGGCAGGAGAGCTCTGCCCGGGCTGCTCCCACAGCCCAGGCGGCTG
Organism: Homo sapiens; assembly: GCF_000001405.40. Classification (NCBI taxonomy): domain Eukaryota; kingdom Metazoa; phylum Chordata; class Mammalia; order Primates; family Hominidae; genus Homo; species Homo sapiens. The sequence continues at coordinate 133,678,598 of NC_000010.11, read as the reverse complement.
CCCGCAAACCCGCGCGTGCGCAGTAGGCGGCCCACCTGCTGGTACCTGGGCCGGCTCTGGGATCCCCGGGATGCCCAGGAAAGAATGGCAGTTCTCCGCTGTGTGGAGTCTCTCACCGGGCCTAGGCCTAGAAGGCAGGAATCCCAGGCCGGTCAGCCCGGTGGAGGGGGCGGGGCGGAGACACGCCCCTCCGTAGCCAGCCAGGCGTTCCCCGCGAAAGAGAGGCCACCGCCCTGCCCCGAACCACCCGACCCCGTCCCAACCCCGCGTCCTAAAGCTCCTCCAGCAGAGCCCGGTATTCTTCCTCGCTGAGGGGTGCTTCCAGCGAGGCGGCCTCTTCCGAGGCCTCCAGCTCCCCCGGGGCCTCCGTTTCTAGGAGAGGTTGCGCCTGCTGCAGAAACTCCGGGCTCGCCAGGAGCTCATCCAGCAGCAGGCCGCAGGGGAGTGCAGACCAGGGCGCCGGCTCCTGGAGCGCCTGGGAGGGCGCCGGGATGCCTTGCATCTGCCCCTGCCGCGCGGAGGCGTCCGGGGGCGCGGGCTGGGGAGGTGGAGCTGCCCCGGCTTGGGGTTCCCACGCCGCCCCGGCGACCTGGGGACCCCGGCCCCAGCCCCACCACGGACTCCCCTGGGACGTGGGTGGCGCAAGCACCCCTTGGCCCTGCGGCCCCGCTTGAGCGGGCCCAGGCTGTGCCACCGCGCAGGGGCCCGGCAGGCCGTCGCGCTGCGGGTCCCGGTCCTCCCGGCTTTTGCCCGGGTGCGGAGGCCACCGAGGAGCCTGAGGGTGGGAGAGCGCCCCGTCCGGAGGAGCCGGGGCGGCGTAGGCGAAATCCCCGCGCGCCGGGGCAGGTTGGGAGATCCCCTCTGCCGGCGCGGCCTGGCTGGGCTGCAGCGCGGGGGCGGCCCTCGCTGCCTGGCTCACGAAAGCCCCCTGTGGGAGAGCCCCAGGCGCGCAGGGCACGTGGGGTGCGGGAAGCCCCGTTCCCCACGCGCCGGTGTGGGCGAAGGCGACCCACGAGGGAGCAGGGTGACCCCCGCCGGGGGCCGCGCTGCACAGGCCGCCTGCCTGCGCGGGCGCCCTGCCACCCTGTCCCGGGTGCCTGGCCCTTCGATTCTGAAACCAGATCTGAATCCTGGACTCCGGGAGGCCCGTCTCTCTGGCCAGCTCCTCCCGGGCGGCGATGCCTGGAAAGCGATCCTTCTCAAAGGCTCGGAGGAGCAGGGCGGTCTGGGATCCGGTGACGGCGGTCCGCTTTCGCCGGCCTTCTGGCGGGCCGCGTCTCCCGGGCCAGGGCCGAGATTCCCGCCGGTGCTGCCTCAGCTGGCGTGACCTCTCATTCTGAAACCAAATCTGGACCCTGGGCTCCGGAATGCCGATGGCCTGGGCCAGCCGTTCTCTGGTGGCGATGCCCGGGTACGGGTTCCGCTCAAAGCAGGCTCGCAGGGCCTCGCTTTGGCTCGGGGTCCAAACGAGTCTCCGTCGCCGTCCTCGTCCCCGGGCTTCCGCGGGGAGGGTGCTGTCCGAAGGTGTCGGGAGGGCCATCGCGGTGAGCCCCGGCCGCAATTTCACGGACGGACGCGGGCAGAGAGAGGCCGGCGGGCTCCCGTGCACCTCAGCCGGACTGTGCACTGCGGCAGGTGCAGCCAGGAGGCCTGCCCGGACAGCCAGCCAGCCAGCCAGCCGCCCTTGTAAAGGCCCACGGGCAGGCAGGCTCCACCCCTTCATGAATGGCGGTGAGCCCCCCTGGGACAGCCCGCCCCACCCCGGAAGGGACCCAGGGCGTCGAGGCCTGGGGCCGGCCGGCGGGGTGGTGGTGGTGGTGGTGGTGGTGGTGGTGTGGGGTGGGGGGGGTGGTGGGGGAGGGCGTGGTGGCGGTGGTGGTGGTGGGGCCGGAGAGACGAAGAGGAAGGGGGAGAGGGGGGAGGGGGGAGGGGGGCGCGTTTCGGGGGCCGGCTCTCCGGACCTCTCCAGGGATCCCGCGGGAACGGGAAGCCGCTCTCTGGGCTCCCACGCGTCGGCAGCAGGGAGAAACCAGCCTGGGAGGGTGGAGGGGAGTGTGGAACTGAACCTCCGTGGGAGTCTTGAGTGTGCCAGGCCCTCTCTCCGTGAAGGAGGCAATGCCTGTGGGCGTCGCCGTTGCCGGGACGGTCTCGCACACGCAGGCGTGTGGCTCTCGTTCATTTCCACGTAGAAGACCAGAGCGAGACCCCAGAGAGGAGATGCCTCCCCGGCGTGATGGCCTGACGATGGATTCCCGCGTGCGGCAACGTGGGGAGTCTGCAGTGTGGCCGGTTTGGAACCTGGCAAGGAGAGCGAAGGCACCGTGCCGGGCTTGCACCCTCCCCTGCATGTTTCCGGGTGCCCGCAGAGCTCCGGGAGCAAACAGTCGGCATGGCCAGCCTTTCGGGGGCCGGAGAGACGTGAGCAACAGGCCGCCTTGCAGAGGGCAAAGCCACGCGGAAACCAAAATCACGCCTCCGTCGTCCTGCGTGTGGCTCCTCCGTGGCCGGGGCTGTCGGCCTCGCGCCGCGTTGCAGGGCTCAGCCTGGGGATGTGCGGTCTGTGAACCGCGCGGGTGAAAACCCGACGGCAACCCGAGTCCCGGTCTTTTGTCCCGGAGGAAACCGCCCACTCCCTGGGCCCCGGAACCGGGGCGAATGGGTGGTGCCCCGCCGGCCGGCGCGGCGGCTGTGGGCCCAGCCCTCAGCCCGCGCCGGACGCTGACCGTTTTCCCGGAGGGCGGGGGTCCCGCTACTCCCGGAGGCCGAAGACCGCTTTTCCTCCCTGCCTTCCTCCCCCCGTCCCCGGCTCCCTCCCGCCCGCCCCCAGTCCCTGCGTCGCTCTGTCTTTCCCTCCGTTCCTCCCTGCCTCCCTGCCTCCCTGCCTCCCTCCCTCCCTCCTAACGTCCCTCCGCCCATCCTTCCGCCCCTCTAGGTCTCCCGTTCCTCTCTCCATCTCTGCCCGCCTTCCCTCCCGCCTGGAACGCTCAGCGTCCCCGGTGTGCGCCGGGCCTGGGGTCTGCGTTCCGCCTCCAGGCGCTCCGTGCTGGCACCTGGGCGGCTGCAGGGGCCCGGGCGGGCGGGCCACGGTGGCGCGGGGGCGCAGAGGAGGCGAGCCGCCGGAGCGGTGTCAGGCCCGGACGCTGCGCGGGGCCCGGTGTTTCGCGGGACGGGGGTCTCCACCCAGCCCAGGGGACGACGCGTTTTCCGGGGGCGGGGGGTGGGGGTGGGGAGGGGGCGGTCAGGCGGCGGGGTGGGCTGGTGGAGAGGCAGGAGAGCTCTGCCCGGGCTGCTCCCACAGCCCAGGCGGCTGCCCGCAAACCCGCGCGTGCGCAGTAGGCGGCCCACCTGCTGGTACCTGGGCCGGCTCTGGGATCCCCGGGATGCCCAGGAAAGAATGGCAGTTCTCCGCTGTGTGGAGTCTCTCACCGGGCCTAGGCCTAGAAGGCAGGAATCCCAGGCCGGTCAGCCCGGTGGAGGGGGCGGGGCGGAGACACGCCCCTCCGTAGCCAGCCAGGCGTTCCCCGCGAAAGAGAGGCCACCGCCCTGCCCCGAACCACCCGACCCCGTCCCAACCCCGCGTCCTAAAGCTCCTCCAGCAGAGCCCGGTATTCTTCCTCGCTGAGGGGTGCTTCCAGCGAGGCGGCCTCTTCCGAGGCCTCCAGCTCCCCCGGGGCCTCCGTTTCTAGGAGAGGTTGCGCCTGCTGCAGAAACTCCGGGCTCGCCAGGAGCTCATCCAGCAGCAGGCCGCAGGGGAGTGCAGACCAGGGCGCCGGCTCCTGGAGCGCCTGGGAGGGCGCCGGGATGCCTTGCATCTGCCCCTGCCGCGCGGAGGCGTCCGGGGGCGCGGGCTGGGGAGGTGGAGCTGCCCCGGCTTGGGGTTCCCACGCCGCCCCGGCGACCTGGGGACCCCGGCCCCAGCCCCACCACGGACTCCCCTGGGACGTGGGTGGCGCAAGCACCCCTTGGCCCTGCGGCCCCGCTTGAGCGGGCCCAGGCTGTGCCACCGCGCAGGGGCCCGGCAGGCCGTCGCGCTGCGGGTCCCGGTCCTCCCGGCTTTTGCCCGGGTGCGGAGGCCACCGAGGAGCCTGAGGGTGGGAGAGCGCCCCGTCCGGAGGAGCCGGGGCGGCGTAGGCGAAATCCCCGCGCGCCGGGGCAGGTTGGGAGATCCCCTCTGCCGGCGCGGCCTGGCTGGGCTGCAGCGCGGGGGCGGCCCTCGCTGCCTGGCTCACGAAAGCCCCCTGTGGGAGAGCCCCAGGCGCGCAGGGCACGTGGGGTGCGGGAAGCCCCGTTCCCCACGCGCCGGTGTGGGCGAAGGCGACCCACGAGGGAGCAGGGTGACCCCCGCCGGGGGCCGCGCTGCACAGGCCGCCTGCCTGCGCGGGCGCCCTGCCACCCTGTCCCGGGTGCCTGGCCCTTCGATTCTGAAACCAGATCTGAATCCTGGACTCCGGGAGGCCCGTCTCTCTGGCCAGCTCCTCCCGGGCGGCGATGCCTGGAAAGCGATCCTTCTCAAAGGCTCGGAGGAGCAGGGCGGTCTGGGATCCGGTGACGGCGGTCCGCTTTCGCCGGCCTTCTGGCGGGCCGCGTCTCCCGGGCCAGGGCCGAGATTCCCGCCGGTGCTGCCTCAGCTGGCGTGACCTCTCATTCTGAAACCAAATCTGGACCCTGGGCTCCGGAATGCCGATGGCCTGGGCCAGCCGTTCTCTGGTGGCGATGCCCGGGTACGGGTTCCGCTCAAAGCAGGCTCGCAGGGCCTCGCTTTGGCTCGGGGTCCAAACGAGTCTCCGTCGCCGTCCTCGTCCCCGGGCTTCCGCGGGGAGGGTGCTGTCCGAAGGTGTCGGGAGGGCCATCGCGGTGAGCCCCGGCCGCAATTTCACGGACGGACGCGGGCAGAGAGAGGCCGGCGGGCTCCCGTGCACCTCAGCCGGACTGTGCACTGCGGCAGGTGCAGCCAGGAGGCCTGCCCGGACAGCCAGCCAGCCAGCCAGCCGCCCTTGTAAAGGCCCACGGGCAGGCAGGCTCCACCCCTTCATGAATGGCGGTGAGCCCCCCTGGGACAGCCCGCCCCACCCCGGAAGGGACCCAGGGCGTCGAGGCCTGGGGCCGGCCGGCGGGGTGGTGGTGGTGGTGGTGGTGGGGGGGGGGTGGTGGTGGGGGAGGGCGTGGTGGCGGTGGTGGTGGTGGGGCCGGAGAGACGAAGAGGAAGGTGGAGAGGGGGGAGGGGGGAGGGGGGCGCGTTTCGGGGGCCGGCTCTCCGGACCTCTCCAGGGATCCCGCGGGAACGGGAAGCCGCTCTCTGGGCTCCCACGCGTCGGCAGCAGGGAGAAACCAGCCTGGGAGGGTGGAGGGGAGTGTGGAACTGAACCTCCGTGGGAGTCTTGAGTGTGCCAGGCCCTCTCTCCGTGAAGGAGGCAATGCCTGTGGGCGTCGCCGTTGCCGGGACGGTCTCGCACACGCAGGCGTGTGGCTCTCGTTCATTTCCACGTAGAAGACCAGAGCGAGACCCCAGAGAGGAGATGCCTCCCCGGCGTGATGGCCTGACGATGGATTCCCGCGTGCGGCAACGTGGGGAGTCTGCAGTGTGGCCGGTTTGGAACCTGGCAAGGAGAGCGAAGGCACCGTGCCGGGCTTGCACCCTCCCCTGCATGTTTCCGGGTGCCCGCAGAGCTCCGGGAGCAAACAGTCGGCATGGCCAGCCTTTCGGGGGCCGGAGAGACGTGAGCAACAGGCCGCCTTGCAGAGGGCAAAGCCACGCGGAAACCAAAATCACGCCTCCGTCGTCCTGCGTGTGGCTCCTCCGTGGCCGGGGCTGTCGGCCTCGCGCCGCGTTGCAGGGCTCAGCCTGGGGATGTGCGGTCTGTGAACCGCGCGGGTGAAAACCCGACGGCAACCCGAGTCCCGGTCTTTTGTCCCGGAGGAAACCGCCCACTCCCTGGGCCCCGGAACCGGGGCGAATGGGTGGTGCCCCGCCGGCCGGCGCGGCGGCTGTGGGCCCAGCCCTCAGCCCGCGCCGGACGCTGACCGTTTTCCCGGAGGGCGGGGGTCCCGCTACTCCCGGAGGCCGAAGACCGCTTTTCCTCCCTGCCTTCCTCCCCCCGTCCCCGGCTCCCTCCCGCCCGCCCCCAGTCCCTGCGTCGCTCTGTCTTTCCCTCCGTTCCTCCCTGCCTCCCTGCCTCCCTGCCTCCCTCCCTCCCTCCTAACGTCCCTCCGCCCATCCTTCCGCCCCTCTAGGTCTCCCGTTCCTCTCTCCATCTCTGCCCGCCTTCCCTCCCGCCTGGAACGCTCAGCGTCCCCGGTGTGCGCCGGGCCTGGGGTCTGCGTTCCGCCGCCAGGCGCTCCGTGCTGGCACCTGGGCGGCTGCAGGGGCCCGGGCGGGCGGGCGACGGTGGCGCGGGGGCGCAGAGGAGGCGAGCCGCCGGAGCGGTGTCAGGCCCGGACGCTGCGCGGGGCCCGGTGTTTCGCGGGACGGGGGTCTCCACCCAGCCCAGGGGACGACGCGTTTTCCGGGGGCGGGGGGTGGGGGTGGGGAGGGGGCGGTCAGGCGGCGGGGTGGGCTGGTGGAGAGGCAGGAGAGCTCTGCCCGGGCTGCTCCCACAGCCCAGGCGGCTGCCCGCAAACCCGCGCGTGCGCAGTAGGCGGCCCACCTGCTGGTACCTGGGCCGGCTCTGGGATCCCCGGGATGCCCAGGAAAGAATGGCAGTTCTCCGCTGTGTGGAGTCTCTCACCGGGCCTAGGCCTAGAAGGCAGGAATCCCAGGCCGGTCAGCCCGGTGGAGGGGGCGGGGCGGAGACACGCCCCTCCGTAGCCAGCCAGGCGTTCCCCGCGAAAGAGAGGCCACCGCCCTGCCCCGAACCACCCGACCCCGTCCCAACCCCGCGTCCTAAAGCTCCTCCAGCAGAGCCCGGTATTCTTCCTCGCTGAGGGGTGCTTCCAGCGAGGCGGCCTCTTCCGAGGCCTCCAGCTCCCCCGGGGCCTCCGTTTCTAGGAGAGGTTGCGCCTGCTGCAGAAACTCCGGGCTCGCCAGGAGCTCATCCAGCAGCAGGCCGCAGGGGAGTGCAGACCAGGGCGCCGGCTCCTGGAGCGCCTGGGAGGGCGCCGGGATGCCTTGCATCTGCCCCTGCCGCGCGGAGGCGTCCGGGGGCGCGGGCTGGGGAGGTGGAGCTGCCCCGGCTTGGGGTTCCCACGCCGCCCCGGCGACCTGGGGACCCCGGCCCCAGCCCCACCACGGACTCCCCTGGGACGTGGGTGGCGCAAGCACCCCTTGGCCCTGCGGCCCCGCTTGAGCGGGCCCAGGCTGTGCCACCGCGCAGGGGCCCGGCAGGCCGTCGCGCTGCGGGTCCCGGTCCTCCCGGCTTTTGCCCGGGTGCGGAGGCCACCGAGGAGCCTGAGGGTGGGAGAGCGCCCCGTCCGGAGGAGCCGGGGCGGCGTAGGCGAAATCCCCGCGCGCCGGGGCAGGTTGGGAGATCCCCTCTGCCGGCGCGGCCTGGCTGGGCTGCAGCGCGGGGGCGGCCCTCGCTGCCTGGCTCACGAAAGCCCCCTGTGGGAGAGCCCCAGGCGCGCAGGGCACGTGGGGTGCGGGAAGCCCCGTTCCCCACGCGCCGGTGTGGGCGAAGGCGACCCACGAGGGAGCAGGGTGACCCCCGCCGGGGGCCGCGCTGCACAGGCCGCCTGCCTGCGCGGGCGCCCTGCCACCCTGTCCCGGGTGCCTGGCCCTTCGATTCTGAAACCAGATCTGAATCCTGGACTCCGGGAGGCCCGTCTCTCTGGCCAGCTCCTCCCGGGCGGCGATGCCTGGAAAGCGATCCTTCTCAAAGGCTCGGAGGAGCAGGGCGGTCTGGGATCCGGTGACGGCGGTCCGCTTTCGCCGGCCTTCTGGCGGGCCGCGTCTCCCGGGCCAGGGCCGAGATTCCCGCCGGTGCTGCCTCAGCTGGCGTGACCTCTCATTCTGAAACCAAATCTGGACCCTGGGCTCCGGAATGCCGATGGCCTGGGCCAGCCGTTCTCTGGTGGCGATGCCCGGGTACGGGTTCCGCTCAAAGCAGGCTCGCAGGGCCTCGCTTTGGCTCGGGGTCCAAACGAGTCTCCGTCGCCGTCCTCGTCCCCGGGCTTCCGCGGGGAGGGTGCTGTCCGAAGGTGTCGGGAGGGCCATCGCGGTGAGCCCCGGCCGCAATTTCACGGACGGACGCGGGCAGAGAGAGGCCGGCGGGCTCCCGTGCACCTCAGCCGGACTGTGCACTGCGGCAGGTGCAGCCAGGAGGCCTGCCCGGACAGCCAGCCAGCCAGCCAGCCGCCCTTGTAAAGGCCCACGGGCAGGCAGGCTCCACCCCTTCATGAATGGCGGTGAGCCCCCCTGGGACAGCCCGCCCCACCCCGGAAGGGACCCAGGGCGTCGAGGCCTGGGGCCGGCCGGCGGGGTGGTGGTGGTGGTGGTGGTGGGGGGGGGGTGGTGGTGGGGGAGGGCGTGGTGGCGGTGGTGGTGGTGGGGCCGGAGAGACGAAGAGGAAGGTGGAGAGGGGGGAGGGGGGAGGGGGGCGCGTTTCGGGGGCCGGCTCTCCGGACCTCTCCAGGGATCCCGCGGGAACGGGAAGCCGCTCTCTGGGCTCCCACGCGTCGGCAGCAGGGAGAAACCAGCCTGGGAGGGTGGAGGGGAGTGTGGAACTGAACCTCCGTGGGAGTCTTGAGTGTGCCAGGCCCTCTCTCCGTGAAGGAGGCAATGCCTGTGGGCGTCGCCGTTGCCGGGACGGTCTCGCACACGCAGGCGTGTGGCTCTCGTTCATTTCCACGTAGAAGACCAGAGCGAGACCCCAGAGAGGAGATGCCTCCCCGGCGTGATGGCCTGACGATGGATTCCCGCGTGCGGCAACGTGGGGAGTCTGCAGTGTGGCCGGTTTGGAACCTGGCAAGGAGAGCGAAGGCACCGTGCCGGGCTTGCACCCTCCCCTGCATGTTTCCGGGTGCCCGCAGAGCTCCGGGAGCAAACAGTCGGCATGGCCAGCCTTTCGGGGGCCGGAGAGACGTGAGCAACAGGCCGCCTTGCAGAGGGCAAAGCCACGCGGAAACCAAAATCACGCCTCCGTCGTCCTGCGTGTGGCTCCTCCGTGGCCGGGGCTGTCGGCCTCGCGCCGCGTTGCAGGGCTCAGCCTGGGGATGTGCGGTCTGTGAACCGCGCGGGTGAAAACCCGACGGCAACCCGAGTCCCGGTCTTTTGTCCCGGAGGAAACCGCCCACTCCCTGGGCCCCGGAACCGGGGCGAATGGGTGGTGCCCCGCCGGCCGGCGCGGCGGCTGTGGGCCCAGCCCTCAGCCCGCGCCGGACGCTGACCGTTTTCCCGGAGGGCGGGGGTCCCGCTACTCCCGGAGGCCGAAGACCGCTTTTCCTCCCTGCCTTCCTCCCCCCGTCCCCGGCTCCCTCCCGCCCGCCCCCAGTCCCTGCGTCGCTCTGTCTTTCCCTCCGTTCCTCCCTGCCTCCCTGCCTCCCTGCCTCCCTCCCTCCCTCCTAACGTCCCTCCGCCCATCCTTCCGCCCCTCTAGGTCTCCCGTTCCTCTCTCCATCTCTGCCCGCCTTCCCTCCCGCCTGGAACGCTCAGCGTCCCCGGTGTGCGCCGGGCCTGGGGTCTGCGTTCCGCCGCCAGGCGCTCCGTGCTGGCACCTGGGCGGCTGCAGGGGCCCGGGCGGGCGGGCGACGGTGGCGCGGGGGCGCAGAGGAGGCGAGCCGCCGGAGCGGTGTCAGGCCCGGACGCTGCGCGGGGCCCGGTGTTTCGCGGGACGGGGGTCTCCACCCAGCCCAGGGGACGACGCGTTTTCCGGGGGCGGGGGGTGGGGGTGGGGAGGGGGCGGTCAGGCGGCGGGGTGGGCTGGTGGAGAGGCAGGAGAGCTCTGCCCGGGCTGCTCCCACAGCCCAGGCGGCTGCCCGCAAACCCGCGCGTGCGCAGTAGGCGGCCCACCTGCTGGTACCTGGGCCGGCTCTGGGATCCCCGGGATGCCCAGGAAAGAATGGCAGTTCTCCGCTGTGTGGAGTCTCTCACCGGGCCTAGGCCTAGAAGGCAGGAATCCCAGGCCGGTCAGCCCGGTGGAGGGGGCGGGGCGGAGACACGCCCCTCCGTAGCCAGCCAGGCGTTCCCCGCGAAAGAGAGGCCACCGCCCTGCCCCGAACCACCCGACCCCGTCCCAACCCCGCGTCCTAAAGCTCCTCCAGCAGAGCCCGGTATTCTTCCTCGCTGAGGGGTGCTTCCAGCGAGGCGGCCTCTTCCGAGGCCTCCAGCTCCCCCGGGGCCTCCGTTTCTAGGAGAGGTTGCGCCTGCTGCAGAAACTCCGGGCTCGCCAGGAGCTCATCCAGCAGCAGGCCGCAGGGGAGTGCAGACCAGGGCGCCGGCTCCTGGAGCGCCTGGGAGGGCGCCGGGATGCCTTGCATCTGCCCCTGCCGCGCGGAGGCGTCCGGGGGCGCGGGCTGGGGAGGTGGAGCTGCCCCGGCTTGGGGTTCCCACGCCGCCCCGGCGACCTGGGGACCCCGGCCCCAGCCCCACCACGGACTCCCCTGGGACGTGGGTGGCGCAAGCACCCCTTGGCCCTGCGGCCCCGCTTGAGCGGGCCCAGGCTGTGCCACCGCGCAGGGGCCCGGCAGGCCGTCGCGCTGCGGGTCCCGGTCCTCCCGGCTTTTGCCCGGGTGCGGAGGCCACCGAGGAGCCTGAGGGTGGGAGAGCGCCCCGTCCGGAGGAGCCGGGGCGGCGTAGGCGAAATCCCCGCGCGCCGGGGCAGGTTGGGAGATCCCCTCTGCCGGCGCGGCCTGGCTGGGCTGCAGCGCGGGGGCGGCCCTCGCTGCCTGGCTCACGAAAGCCCCCTGTGGGAGAGCCCCAGGCGCGCAGGGCACGTGGGGTGCGGGAAGCCCCGTTCCCCACGCGCCGGTGTGGGCGAAGGCGACCCACGAGGGAGCAGGGTGACCCCCGCCGGGGGCCGCGTTGCACAGGCCGCCTGCCTGCGCGGGCGCCCTGCCACCCTGTCCCGGGTGCCTGGCCCTTCGATTCTGAAACCAGATCTGAATCCTGGACTCCGGGAGGCCCGTCTCTCTGGCCAGCTCCTCCCGGGCGGCGATGCCTGGAAAGCGATCCTTCTCAAAGGCTCGGAGGAGCAGGGCGGTCTGGGATCCGGTGACGGCGGTCCGCTTTCGCCGGCCTTCTGGCGGGCCGCGTCTCCCGGGCCAGGGCCGAGATTCCCGCCGGTGCTGCCTCAGCTGGCGTGACCTCTCATTCTGAAACCAAATCTGGACCCTGGGCTCCGGAATGCCGATGGCCTGGGCCAGCCGTTCTCTGGTGGCGATGCCCGGGTACGGGTTCCGCTCAAAGCAGGCTCGCAGGGCCTCGCTTTGGCTCGGGGTCCAAACGAGTCTCCGTCGCCGTCCTCGTCCCCGGGCTTCCGCGGGGAGGGTGCTGTCCGAAGGTGTCGGGAGGGCCATCGCGGTGAGCCCCGGCCGCAATTTCACGGACGGACGCGGGCAGAGAGAGGCCGGCGGGCTCCCGTGCACCTCAGCCGGACTGTGCACTGCGGCAGGTGCAGCCAGGAGGCCTGCCCGGACAGCCAGCCAGCCAGCCAGCCGCCCTTGTAAAGGCCCACGGGCAGGCAGGCTCCACCCCTTCATGAATGGCGGTGAGCCCCCCTGGGACAGCCCGCCCCACCCCGGAAGGGACCCAGGGCGTCGAGGCCTGGGGCCGGCCGGCGGGGTGGTGGTGGTGGTGGTGGTGGTGGTGGTGTGGGGTGGGGGGGGTGGTGGGGGAGGGCGTGGTGGCGGTGGTGGTGGTGGGGCCGGAGAGACGAAGAGGAAGGGGGAGAGGGGGGAGGGGGGAGGGGGGCGCGTTTCGGGGGCCGGCTCTCCGGACCTCTCCAGGGATCCCGCGGGAACGGGAAGCCGCTCTCTGGGCTCCCACGCGTCGGCAGCAGGGAGAAACCAGCCTGGGAGGGTGGAGGGGAGTGTGGAACTGAACCTCCGTGGGAGTCTTGAGTGTGCCAGGCCCTCTCTCCGTGAAGGAGGCAATGCCTGTGGGCGTCGCCGTTGCCGGGACGGTCTCGCACACGCAGGCGTGTGGCTCTCGTTCATTTCCACGTAGAAGACCAGAGCGAGACCCCAGAGAGGAGATGCCTCCCCGGCGTGATGGCCTGACGATGGATTCCCGCGTGCGGCAACGTGGGGAGTCTGCAGTGTGGCCGGTTTGGAACCTGGCAAGGAGAGCGAAGGCACCGTGCCGGGCTTGCACCCTCCCCTGCATGTTTCCGGGTGCCCGCAGAGCTCCGGGAGCAAACAGTCGGCATGGCCAGCCTTTCGGGGGCCGGAGAGACGTGAGCAACAGGCCGCCTTGCAGAGGGCAAAGCCACGCGGAAACCAAAATCACGCCTCCGTCGTCCTGCGTGTGGCTCCTCCGTGGCCGGGGCTGTCGGCCTCGCGCCGCGTTGCAGGGCTCAGCCTGGGGATGTGCGGTCTGTGAACCGCGCGGGTGAAAACCCGACGGCAACCCGAGTCCCGGTCTTTTGTCCCGGAGGAAACCGCCCACTCCCTGGGCCCCGGAACCGGGGCGAATGGGTGGTGCCCCGCCGGCCGGCGCGGCGGCTGTGGGCCCAGCCCTCAGCCCGCGCCGGACGCTGACCGTTTTCCCGGAGGGCGGGGGTCCCGCTACTCCCGGAGGCCGAAGACCGCTTTTCCTCCCTGCCTTCCTCCCCCCGTCCCCGGCTCCCTCCCGCCCGCCCCCAGTCCCTGCGTCGCTCTGTCTTTCCCTCCGTTCCTCCCTGCCTCCCTGCCTCCCTGCCTCCCTCCCTCCCTCCTAACGTCCCTCCGCCCATCCTTCCGCCCCTCTAGGTCTCCCGTTCCTCTCTCCATCTCTGCCCGCCTTCCCTCCCGCCTGGAACGCTCAGCGTCCCCGGTGTGCGCCGGGCCTGGGGTCTGCGTTCCGCCTCCAGGCGCTCCGTGCTGGCACCTGGGCGGCTGCAGGGGCCCGGGCGGGCGGGCCACGGTGGCGCGGGGGCGCAGAGGAGGCGAGCCGCCGGAGCGGTGTCAGGCCCGGACGCTGCGCGGGGCCCGGTGTTTCGCGGGACGGGGGTCTCCACCCAGCCCAGGGGACGACGCGTTTTCCGGGGGCGGGGGGTGGGGGTGGGGAGGGGGCGGTCAGGCGGTGGGGTGGGCTGGTGGAGAGGCAGGAGAGCTCTGCCCGGGCTGCTCCCACAGCCCAGGCGGCTGCCCGCAAACCCGCGCGTGCGCAGTAGGCGGCCCACCTGCTGGTACCTGGGCCGGCTCTGGGATCCCCGGGATGCCCAGGAAAGAATGGCAGTTCTCCGCTGTGTGGAGTCTCTCACCGGGCCTAGGCCTAGAAGGCAGGAATCCCAGGCCGGTCAGCCCGGTGGAGGGGGCGGGGCGGAGACACGCCCCTCCGTAGCCAGCCAGGCGTTCCCCGCGAAAGAGAGGCCACCGCCCTGCCCCGAACCACCCGACCCCGTCCCAACCCCGCGTCCTAAAGCTCCTCCAGCAGAGCCCGGTATTCTTCCTCGCTGAGGGGTGCTTCCAGCGAGGCGGCCTCTTCCGAGGCCTCCAGCTCCCCCGGGGCCTCCGTTTCTAGGAGAGGTTGCGCCTGCTGCAGAAACTCCGGGCTCGCCAGGAGCTCATCCAGCAGCAGGCCGCAGGGGAGTGCAGACCAGGGCGCCGGCTCCTGGAGCGCCTGGGAGGGCGCCGGGATGCCTTGCATCTGCCCCTGCCGCGCGGAGGCGTCCGGGGGCGCGGGCTGGGGAGGTGGAGCTGCCCCGGCTTGGGGTTCCCACGCCGCCCCGGCGACCTGGGGACCCCGGCCCCAGCCCCACCACGGACTCCCCTGGGACGTGGGTGGCGCAAGCACCCCTTGGCCCTGCGGCCCCGCTTGAGCGGGCCCAGGCTGTGCCACCGCGCAGGGGCCCGGCAGGCCGTCGCGCTGCGGGTCCCGGTCCTCCCGGCTTTTGCCCGGGTGCGGAGGCCACCGAGGAGCCTGAGGGTGGGAGAGCGCCCCGTCCGGAGGAGCCGGGGCGGCGTAGGCGAAATCCCCGCGCGCCGGGGCAGGTTGGGAGATCCCCTCTGCCGGCGCGGCCTGGCTGGGCTGCAGCGCGGGGGCGGCCCTCGCTGCCTGGCTCACGAAAGCCCCCTGTGGGAGAGCCCCAGGCGCGCGCATCCCAATGTCTCCCCATCTCCCCTCACACACTGCTGACTTGAGGCACAATAGATTTATAAAAAATGGCCTGACAAGGGTCTCCAGAAGTGTGCACAGATTTTCCCAGATCCCCAAAAGCAATGCCAAACTAGTCAGATCATTTATGTTTTCACAAGTTTCTGGGAGGATTTTGCCTGTGCGTTCGAATGCACTTTAAGATTCTGGGAGGGAGAGAAAAAGCCTTAGGGGACTGCAGAGTAGAATAAGCATAAGACAGGAAATGTTCCTCTGTTACAGCAAGGAAAATAAAAGCAGGCTTTCTGAAAACAGTTTGCACTGGAGCGGAGATGACCACAGTATATTCAAACTCTGGCCTTGTCCGTGACGTTTAATAGGGTTTTTTGTTTTTCTCTTGTAAATTTTTTTTTCATTGCTGCAGAAATTTGATGAAGTCTGGCTTACAGCCTGTCCACTGCAGTTTCTTTTTTCACCCAGAACAGTAACTGGGCTAATCAGAAAATGCCCAACTCCCAGTATCTCCTTCAGGAGAGAATTAAAACAGTAGAATATGTGTTGAAATGTTTGGCTTTTTGATAAATTGTCTAATGACTAGATTCTTTCTCTCCTGATGTGGAGTGCTGAAGGACATGATGGAGTCATATAGATGAGAGTTTGTGCCTGCTGAGAAGAAAGATGAGTGTTTGCTACAGCACTAGTGAAACTGCAATACCACAGACAGCCAACTGGGGAAGAAAATAGACAATAGAATCTAAAATACATTGAGAAAAAATTCTCTTTAACTTGGAAACACACCCAAGTCCAGAGAAAATATATTTGGGAATGTGTTTGTGAAGCACCTAGAATCTATAGCCTGGACTATTGCTGTCGGTATCCCCCTTTACTGAGCCAGTCTTTAAATGCTAGATTTGATGAGTGCTGTATAGATCCCCAGATCTCTTTTAAAAAAAAAAATCACAAGGCACACAGAGAAGGCAGAAAATATTCCCCATTGGAAGAAAAACATAAATATTCAGAAACTGAATTTTAACAAATAAAGATTTTTGCATATCTGATGGAGAACTTAAAATAATCATCTTATGCATACTCAGTGAGCAAAACTATAACAGAAAGAGACAACTGAGTGAAATTTAAAAATAACGAATGAGCAAAATATCAACAAAGAGATAAAAACTATTTTTAAAAACCCAACAGAAATCATAGAGTTGAAGAATATAATAACTGAGTTTTATAAATTCACTACAGAGACACAACAGCAAACAATGGAGCAGAAAAAAGAAAGTTGAACATATATTATTCACAAATATTGAGTCCTGGAAACTAATATTTTAAAGAATGGGAAAATTACGGGTGAAATATAAGACTTACTGGACACCATCAGGTAGACCAATACATTCAGAGATAGAGTCTTTTAAAAAGAATAGAGGGAGAAAATGGCATAAACATTATTTCAGAGAAAAAGCGGGGATGCTAAGAACTTTCCAGATTTCAAAGCGATGAAAGAAAAAATACTAGCAACCAATAATAATTGATCTGGGAAATACTGTATTTCAAAAATTAGAAAAAAATAAAGACTTTCAAAGATTAAAATAAAAAAGCTGAGGTTGTTAACTACTAGAATAACCCTAGGGAAAAAAATGCTAAAGAGAATTATGTTGAAAAATTAAATGATGCTGGACAGCATCATAAAACCACATGAAAATATAAAGCTCTCTGTTCAATGTAAATATATACACAGATATACAATTTTCTACTATAATGGTGCATTAAATTCTTAAATCTCTGTGAAAATACAAATCATATATAAAGATACAATTTGTAATGTTAAGAAAGTGACGGAAGTAAAAATGAATATATTTTGTATGTTGTTAAGGTGAAGTTGAAGGCAAAAGCCATTTGCCCTGGGGACCTTAGCACTGGTCAAGGGAGGAGGCAAGGCTGCCATTTTCTCTCCCTCGTTTCTTCCATCTCCCCTTACTCTGCATAGGGATTTTTCTTGGTCTGCAGGAATAGTCAATGGGCCAGGCTCTGTCCTGCGTGCACAAACACACACACACACACACAGGTGCAGGTGGGCATGGCATGTATACGCGGAACCTGGGATTTTAATTTTAAAATTTTTAAAAAGTGGGAAACCAAGGATTTTTGGCATGATTCTCAGGACTTTGGGCTGGGGAAAGGGTAAGTCTTTGCTTTCTGCCATGTGGCATGCCATCAGTTGTTGGGGCTTTCTCCCTCAAGGTGTCCCCCAAGGAGATTGTGCAGGAGATTTACCCGGTGCTCATGGTCCGTGAAGACATGTGTCACCGCACCTGCTTCTCACTGCTCCTGGACAGCAACATGCTGGACCACTTCTCAGAGATGTGCAACATTGAGGAGCGGCAGGAGGGCTCAGGGCTGTGTGTGAGGGAAGGCTGTTTTGGAAGTTCGGTGGACTGCCTTGGGGACGGCCCCCAGAAGCAGGGCCAGGAAGCACTTCCCCACTTCTCTGAGGGCTCTGCGTCAGATGAGCGCATGAAGGTGGGATTGGAGCTGCGCTCTGCTTGTCAGGCTGTCACACCAGCACCTTCTAACTTCACAACCCGTGAGTTAAAGAACAGCGTTCTGATTCCAAAAAAAATGAGGCAGTACCAAGCCAGGCTTGATATCAGCCCA
Organism: Homo sapiens; assembly: GCF_000001405.40. Classification (NCBI taxonomy): domain Eukaryota; kingdom Metazoa; phylum Chordata; class Mammalia; order Primates; family Hominidae; genus Homo; species Homo sapiens. Next base: position 133,661,773 of record NC_000010.11, on the reverse strand, counting down.
ACAAAATTCTATAAAGAAAAATAATGTTTAAAAAAAAAAGAAAGAAAAGCTTCACAGCCTTTGAGTAGGGAAGTCTGCCCAGTGTAGCACTGCCAACTGCTGAGGTGAGATTGGCATGGTTGTAAAGCAAAAGTTCTCATGCACTCAAGTTACCTGCAGGGAAGCTACTCATGTTCTCAGGGTCTACCTGCTTGTTAAGAGCAATTGTGAAAAAGATCTGTAGCTCAATGTGTCCCATAATTGATCACAGAACCTTTCCTTTTTCCCAAAAGAACCACCATTAAAATATCGTGAAACACACATTGGAAGACAGTGCTGAACTTGTGCGTCCTGAAAAGTTCTTAGGACACCCCTGCATGAGGGCTGCCCCTGGACAGCAGGGCAAGGTTGTGGAGGCCCCAGAGCTCTGAAAGCTATGCCTACCCAAGACACTAGTGCACAAAGAGGAAGTGGCCTTGTGGCTCCCCAAGACCTGCCTGTGCTTCAGAGGCATTTGGCAGAAGGTTTCTTGTTAACAAGGATCCTTGCCCACTAGCAGGAAGGAGAGAGAGAGAGAGACAGAAAGAGACATACAGAGAGAGAGAATGTGTGTGTGTGTGTGTTTGTGTGTGTGTGTGTGTGCTGAAACCAGAACTCCACCTTATGTGTTTATTGTGGAATTTGAAAATGAAAGCCTAAAGTTGAAAACTAAAATCACACATGACCGCACCCTGCCAACTATTTACTGTCTGAGAAGGGTCGTTCCAGGGTGTAGGACCCGGGTAACACCCTTTTCCCTTCCTTCCTGAAAGAGCTACACACACTGCTCAAAGCCTGTATCCACATGTTCCATGTCCAAGACGAGCTCAAGAGCCTGGAACCATCTGCCACTTTCAGCAGGGTTAACTGCAGCTGCTTGTTCTTCCTGAGCATCTTCTCCAATGGTGACCTGAGAGTTGAGGGAGGCATTGGCGCCAGGATTGAACAGAGGAAAAGGGAGCACGGACGCCAGGTGGTGAGGACCAGGCCATCTCACCTGGAGGGTTCTGGCCCTGAGACATCCAGACAAGCATCACATTTAGGTGCAGACAGCTGGCCTTGGGTGGCTCTGTGCTTGTCACCGGCCTCGGGTCCCTCAAACAGTGGGAAATGGAAGAATGGCTTGGAAATGGGCCCCATCAACTGTGTGTCACCTGAGCACATTCTCCCAGGGGTCCAGGAGGGGCCATCGTGTCTCCAGAACCAGAACTGGAAGGTCCAACTTCCAGGGGAAGCAAGGAAGAGTGTTCTTAGTGAAGTGGAGGGCCTCACAGCAAGATGCCTGGCTTAATCAAGCTTGGACATGCCTGAAGCATGTTCAGTGACTAAAAGTGCCTACCATGAGCAGCTGGAACCCACTCCCTGAGAGCTTCAAGATGCATGGGTACCTCATGTACCTGTTTGTAATTACAGCCAAGGACCAGCAGGCAGCATTACTGCATCCACATGGGGCTTTTACTGGAACCAGTAAGTCTCTGCCAGCCCCTCACAGGCTCCTGGGATGCCACTCATTCTGCGTCTATGGACAGACAACCAGGTCACTTGCTCAGTGCCCACCCACTCCTTGTGGCCCACAGCCCATCACTCAACCCCAGCCCCACCATCCCCTGCTTCCTAAGCCATTCCTCATGCCAGAAGAAAAGGCAATACCTTTGTCCCACAGCCTCTGCCTTGTGTCATGTCATGTGGGCGTATGGAATGAACTGGCCAGCCTAAACTCCAGTGCTTATGCCTGAGGAATCTGTCCCCACTGTCTGAGTCCCCCTCTAGGGAGCTGTCAGTGGGGGAGAGAGCAGCCCTGGAAGAGAGGCCCACCTGCTTCTGTTTGACTTCAGGGCAGCCTCTCAGGGCAAGAACCCAGAGCAGATGGAGGCCTCACAGAAGCCTGTGGCAGGGCTCTGGGCTTGGTGGCTGAACATCTCCCTCTCTGCTGCCAGCCATGGGGCCCAGAACCACCCATTCATGAGGGTCACCACCACATTGCAGGTGTGCAGCTGGACGGCTCCCCAGGCAGAGCCTGCCATGGACTCCATGCACACAGAGGATGCACACCTTGAGGCTGGACTATGAGGAGAACATTCCTGAAGAGGTGCATGAAGCCTGGTCCTGCCCTCACTGGGAACCCCCTTCCCTCTGGGTACCAGATAGAATTCTATGCACTTTCCTGGAGGCTCCATGCTGGTCTGTTCATTTGGAAGTTTAAGGCTGTCCATGAGGAAGTAACAAAAGAGATATCTCAGAGCAGGTTGTGGGGCACAGGCTGAGCCCTTGCCTAGTCCCTCCCTAGTCCCTTTGCAGAGCCGGGGCTGGAACAAGGACCTGTGGATAATGAGGGAACTGCTCTGCAATAACCGGCCTGAGCAGCTGCTTCAAGAAACAGCCACAATCAAGGCACCTATAGCCTCTGGTGAGTGACTGGCAGCCTCAGGCCCACCTGCCATCTGTGAGCAGGTTTTCTTGCTAACAGAATGAAAGCAAAGAAAGCTGGAATAAGCCCAGCCCTCTCAGGCACCTTGAAGTCTGTTGGGGTTCCTTGCAAAGCCTTCTAGCCTTCTGCTTCTTGGCAGCCCACACAAGCACCTTTTTCCAGCCTCTAAGACTTTGATGCTCTGGAAGGAGAGGGCCCTAGTTTTCACTAGGCTATGGGGCCAGGCCCATCCAACTCCCTACTTCCACTAACAACCACAGGGCTCTCACCTGGGCACACACTGCCCAGCCATAACCCTTCTAAGGCAGAAGATCATTTGTCTTGCAGTTTCAGCTTGCTAGGGCTTAAAAGTTATCAGTGCTGTTATTAAGATAGAGAAGTGAGATCATCAGCACAGGTGACAGCACAGGCCGGGCTGCTGGGGAGGCTGAGGGAGAGTGTCCAGCCTATTCTGCCAGCTGGGCCTTGCCAGGGGTGTCTCGTGACCCAGTCCCTTAGAGAAACATGCAGACATCTCAGCAAGGAGCTGGAAGGTGCAGATCAGGGCAGCCCAGCACCACTGATGGTGGAGTGGGGCTACCTCCCATCAAGCTGTGTCTCCACAGCTGACCCGTGGAGCCAGGAGGTGATTTACAACATCTGCAAGGCAGTCAGCCCCATCAGCTCTATGCCCTTCAACATTCACTTCAACTCAAACATCCCACCAGAAAGCAGTGGGGACTGGCCAATGCAGCAGCCCTGCAAAGTGGAACAGATCATCCTGGGGTGCGGAATCTGGGGCCTGCCTGCTCATCTGAGCACTGCTCCCTGGGTGTGTGCTCTGCAGGATCCCTGAAGGAGGGCTGTGAGCTCATCAGGGAGACCCTGAGCCTGTGGAACATGCCTGAGGCCAAGCCCATGGGGATTTGTGTCTACTTGCACCTCCTTGCTCATCTCACTACGCTATTGGTGACTGTGCTGAGGTGGGCCTTGAGCATCCCCTGGGCTGTGTCAGCACAGGGCTCTGGGCCTGGCCTGGCATTGAGGGATGGCAAATAAGGGGCCTGGGTTTGCATTGTCGCCTCCTGTGGTTCCAGAAAATGAGGAGGTCCAGACCTGCAGTACTGGAACCCTATCAAAGGGGTTAGGAGGCCGCTCACTTTCCCTCAGGGCCCCATGTGGAGGAGCTGAGGGAGGTTAAGGAGACCCTGGGGACTCACTTGTTCTGTCTGGGCTTCCCCCAGCTCCACCCTTTGATAACCATTTTCTGGGAAGAGCTCAGGAACCTCTCGTGCTGTAGTGAGGTGGGGCCTTCCCTCACAGGGTATTGGTGAGGAGGCATTCTGAGACTCTGTGAGTGAGAAGCTAACACAGTGCCTGAGAATACTCATGGGAGCTGTCATCCTCTGTGACCATCACGTGACCTTGTAGTGTTCAGACTGCCTGGCCTGGCTTTGGGCTCGGTAAGGCTGTTTTGGGGTCAGCTGCTTTAGACTCCCACTTTCTCTGCATTCAAACAGTGACTGTTTTAGTGTTTGTTTATGGGTTTAAAAAATCCTAATATTTCATTTATAGTAGTTTCAGCTTGTATGTGTGTATTTGTATAAATTTTATTAGAAGAAAGAGGGCTTAAGGCAACAGCATTTTAAGAAGGTCTTAATGGGGCATAGACTTTTATGTCACAACAGCTAATACTGACCTCTTTTTCTACCTTTGCATAAAGTATACGTAGAAAGTGTAGCCAGAGGTGGTGAGGCTAAGTGTCTAGAGCTGAGCTGCTGGGCTTGCTTGCTGGCCTGTAGTCAGGTGGACTCTGGCTGTGAGGCAGTGCCCACCCTGGATCTACATCCCCCACCCCCTCTCCTTAGTCCCTGAGTAACCAACACAAGGCAGTGCTAATAAGCAGGGGAGTGATGGGCATCGGGAACCCCAATACTATCCGGGAAGATCTGAATGCCATCTGGGCTGGGGCTGTTGGGGGTAGGGGCTGTGGCTGCCTTGGCTTGTCAGGGTGCCACCCACAGATGTGCCTGCCCTGTGCTGCTTCTCCAGCAGCCGGCTGCCTATGGCCCTGAGCCTGTCACACCATGCTTGCTACCTCATGCTACTTGTGTTTGAAAAACCATCCCAAGATGGTGCTGCTGGATGTGAGTGCTGAAAAGGGGGCAGCACCTTTGTCCTGGGGGATTAGGAGCTGACCAGATTCCTCCTGACTCCCTCCCGAAACAAGTGGGGCTGGTGCTGCAATCAATGATGCCCCCCAGAAGATGTGTTTGCACTGGCTGAACAAATACATGATGCAGAGGCCTAAATGAAGACACATGAATGGGGTGTGTGGACATCAGCTAGCAGCTGGGAAACAGGTGTCTCTCAGGCCTCTCATTCTTCAGCAAGTGTGGAATGTGCCCATGCCCTTGAGTGTATACATCTGGAGTGTATACATCTGGCTGTTGCTTTTGCTGCCACTATCCCCAGGCCCAATCTGGCTTAAAGTCCAGGTTTTAAGTAAAAAAGATAAGAGGATTTTCTGTGTTCTGGGATAGGAAGCCAGGGATCTGTGTAGGGCTGCAGTTGGGTGCACATTAGTTTTGTGACAGGATGAGAGCTGCAGTGGTTTTATTAATCGTGATAGCCTGGGCTGGTTGTAGCTTCAGGTGAGGGGAGGGAGTCAGCAGTGGTGGTCCCGGAGACATCCATGTGCCCAGCCCTGGCCTTCCTGCCCTCAGGCACAGCAAAAGGCACCGCCACAGGCCCCGACTTCCTTCTCTACTCTCTGCAGCCCAGATGGGAAAACTTGGAGGCTACGATCTGAATATATTTTTCTCCCATTTTAACCCGAGCTGCCTAACACACAGTGGGGGCAGGGTGGGTGAAGGGCCTGGGGGAAAGCAGGGCTGGATCATGGATCCTGGGGGAAATTTAGAGATACAGAAGTGGCTGTCACCTCTCTGTGGAACCCAGCTCCATACCTGGTCCTTGCCACACCGCCCTTTCTACAGAGAATAGCTCTGGGGCGTTTGGGGATCCCTATGGCCCCGGGTGGCTTCCTGTCCCCCGCTGCCTGTGCTGCTTCCCTTGCCTGCTGGCAGAGCCCAACATGGAGGAGGAGGTTGCAGCCCTGGGAGCCTGAGGGAGCTCTTCCCTTGCCTGCTGGCAGAGCCCAACATGGAGGAGGAAGTTGCCGCCCTGAGAGCCTGAGGGAGCTGTGTCTGACTGGGGCTTCTGCCTGGGGGTTTGCAAAGAGCTACTTATGAATATAGTCTCTCCAGATTCCTTGTTTCAAAGGAAGTGAGCATGAGCTAGCAAGTGTAGCAACCCCACAGCTGATAAACAACTTTGTCTTGGTTTTAAACCATCACATCTTCATTTCACATTGGAATAAAGTAAGTGAAACCTGCTACCCCAGCCTTGCCCATGTGTTCTGTAACCCAGTCTCCTTTGGTTGTGAGGGCTATTGTCAGAAATGTTATAAGAAAAGATTATGCATAAATTAAATCAAATGTAAAATTATGCTTATAATGTCACTTGAGTGAAAGGTAAGAGGGTAGAGTCACAGGCACTCAGCTGGGGTTTACCCACCCATCACTTACCACACTCATAAGAGTGTGGCACAGGTGAATGTCACTTGACATTGGTGACAGAAGAGAAAAGGCTGGCATGAAGGCCAGGTAGGGGAGAGGTGCCAGGCTGTGGGGCCAGGCCCTGGGCATGCTGGACCTGTGAGGTCACTGAACATCTAACTGCCCAGGCACTGGCCCTTTTCACATCAGTTGAGGTAAGAGGATGGGGGAGCACTCTCTGGAAGTCACACTGCACTGGGAGAATGGAGGAGAGTCTACAACTCACCATCCTAGTGTAGGTTTTAGAGTGAGATGGACTGTCTTGGAGAGCTAATGAAATGGGAGGAAAGCAGTCCCCCAGGTGCATCTGAGGGCCACAGCCTATGAAGTAAGCAGTGTGTGTGGGAGTGGCCTGTCCCTGTGAGAGGAGAAGTTTAAAGTTATTACAGCTGGTGGCTGCTGCTCAGCCATCCCTCTGCAGAGCAGGCAGGTCCTCAGCTGCATGTATATCTGAATGTCTTTTGGAGTGTTTAGAGAGTCCTCTATGTCTTAGAAATTTTGAAAAGAAAAACAAATTTCAATTCTAATGTTTATTAGTTTCCCTGAGCCAACTGGAAAAAAAATGTCCTTCACCTTGAAGTTTTAAGTGACACCCAAGGGTAGCCACCAGTGTCTCAGCCACTGAAGCCTTGTGCATGCTCCCACTACCAGTTTGATTTGCAGCCTCATGGTTGTGTTGTACTAAATGTTCTTTCTTCTGGCCTTGTCCAGTGAAAACGGTTCACATGGCTAACACCACTTCTTGAGATACGGGCACCACGTAAAGCTGAGAATGGATTGGTTTAGTTACTATTGTGCCTCCTCCTCACCCGAGAGGCCCATTTTTCCTGCTTTATTCATTAAGTGTATTAGTGCTGTCAGTCGCCTTTGGACAACTCAAATGACAAGTGGCTGTTGTTTCATAAAGAAAATGAAGGCTTTAGATGTGAAACACTCCTTTTCTCTTCTGCTTCTCTTAGGTGAAAGATTTTATTTTTTAAAAAAGGGTACATAGTCGTATCCCAGCAGGTGTAGTGTGATAACTGGCATGTGCTAGGCTATGGTTTCAGTGTGTATGGGCAATTCTTCAAGATGGAAAACCAAGTTTCACTGAGTTGCTGGAGCCGCACTCACCTTTCTCCACATCCCCCACCATGGGCTTTCACTTTTCTCCCGGGCTTGAATTTTTTTCACATCCATATTGTTTATACACACACACACACACACACACACACACACACACACACATCTGTCTGTCAGTGCAGTGGCTGAATCATGGGTCAGTGCAGCCTCAAACTCTTAGGCTCAAGTGATCCTTTCACATCAGCTTCTCAAATAGCGAGGACTACACTACAGGCATGCAATGCTACACCCAGCCAATTAAAAAAATTTTTTTGTAGAAACTGAGCCTACTTATGTTGCCCAAACTGGTCTTGAACTCATAGGATCCAGCGATCATCCCACCTTGGCCTCCCAAATTGTTTACATTACAGGTGTGAGCTACCAAACTCAGCCAAAAATATTTTTTAAAGAACAGTTACAACCAAATTATGAGTTATGATTGTGCCACTGCCCTCCAGCCTGGGCACCAGAGCAAGACCTTGTATCCAAAAAGAAAGCAAAACAAAACAAGAACAAAAAACCTTATAACCAAATTAAACTTCGAAGATTGTGTCATCTGTGTCCCTCTCTGCCCTCCAGTTATCACCGTTAAATATAATGGTTATTGAGAAAACGGTTAGATATTATTAAGAAATTTCTATATCTACTCCAGCTGAGAATAGGTATTCTGATGTGGCCAAAACATTTTCTCACTGCTACCTTCAGGGTCTAAACTAGCAGACAAAATCAGGACACCTGCAGAGGACAGTTGGCCATTTTCAAATAGAAACAGAAATACCCCCATTAATGAGAGTAATCCAGTGATTTTCAGAAAGACAAGTCAGACTGACATGCAGCACAGTCAGGGCACAATTACCCTGGAATAATCACTTCACACAGAATGGTTGTGGAGCCTTTCTAAGATGAGCAAATATGGGCAACATCATTCTGGCTTATTTATTCCCAGCCCCCGCTGCCCGCCTTATTCTGGCCTGATTCTGGCCCGCCTGATAATGGCCACCCCACGATGTGGTCAGCAGTGAGGTGCAGCGTGGTGAGAGAGGGGCTCAGGGATGGGATGAGGGTCTTTCCTGCATTATGAAAATGCCTAATAAGTTGTTGAAAAGATGTCCAAATATTCTACTTCCTACCCTTAAATAGCTGCTAAGATGCATGACTCAACAGATCCTGGTAAGGGAAAGAGCATGCGCATTTCAAGTCTCAGCTCACTTCTTAATTAGCTGTGATACTCTGCGCATGTGACCCCAACTATTCGAGCCTGTTTGCCTGTCCACCCAAGACAATCCTAAGCAAAAACAACTGGTAGCTGGAGGCATCATGCTACCAGACTTCAAACTATACTTCAAGGCTACAGTAACCAAAACACCACGATACTGGTACCAAAACAGATATATAGACCAATGGAACAGAACAAAGACCTCAGAAATAACACCACACATCTACAACCATCTGATCTTCGACAAGCCTGACAAAAACAAGCAATGGGGAAAGATTTTCTATTTAACAAATGGTGCTGAAAAAACTGGCTAGCCATATGCAGAAAACAGAAACTGCACCCCTTCCTTACACCTTAAACATTATCTCAAGATGGATTAAAGTCTTAAATGTAAAACCCCAAACCATAAAAACCCTAGAAGAAAACCTAGGCAATACCATTCAGGACATAGGTATGAGCAAAGACTTCATAACTAAAATACCAAAAGCAATTGCAACAAAAACCAAAATTGACAAATGAGATCTAATTAAAGAGCTTCTGCACAGCAAAAGAAGCTATCATCAGAGTGAAAGGCAACCTACAGAATGAGAAAATTTTTGCAATCTATCCATCTGACAAAGGTCTAACATCTGGAATCTACAAGGAACTCAAACGAATTCACAAGAAAAAAAAAACCATCAAAAAGTGGGCAGAGGATATGAACAGACTCTTCTCAAAAGAAGATATTTGACTGAGTGTGGTGGCTCACACCTGTAATCCCAGCACTTTGGAACGTGGAGGCAGGTGGATCATGAGGTCAGGAGTTTGAGACCGGCCTGGCCAACATGCTGAAATCTTGTCTCTACTGAAAATACAAAAAATTAGCCAGACATATTGGCAGGTGCCTGTAATCCCAGCTTCTCGGGAGGCTGAAGCAGAAGAATCACTTGAACCTGGGAAACAGATGTTGCAGTGAGCCAAGATCCTGCCACTGCATTCCAGCCTGGGTGACAGAGCAAGACTTTGTCTCAAAGAAGAAGAAGAAGAAGGAGAAGAAGGAGAAGAAGAAGACATTTATGTGGCCAAAAAATATTTTAAAAAAATCTCATCATCACTGGTTATTAGAGAAAGGCAAATCAAAACCACAATGAGATACCATCTCACGCCAGTTGGAATGGCAATTATTAAAAAGTCAGGAAACAACAGATGCTGGTGAGGCTGTGGAGAAACAGAAACGTTTTTACACTGCTGGAGGGAGTGTAAATTAGTTCAACCATTGTGGAAGACAGTGTGGTGATTCCTCAAGGATCTACAAGCAGAAATACCATTTGACCCAGCAATCCCATTACTGGGTATATATCCAAAGGAATATAAATCATTCTACTATAAAGACACATGCACATTTACGTTTATTGCAGCACTGTTTACAATAGCAAAGACTTGGAACCAACCCAAATGCCCATCAATGATAGACTGGAAAAAGAAAATGTGGCACATATACACCATGGAATACTATGCAGCCATAAAAAAGAATAAGTTCATGTCCTTTGCAGGGACGTGAGTGAAGCTGGAAACCATTATCCTCAGCAAACTAACACAGGGAACAGGAAACCAAACACCATATGTTCTCACTCATATGTGGGAGTTGAACAATGAGAACAGATGTACACCGGAAGGAAACATCACATGCTGGGGCCTGTTAGGGGGTTGGGGTCAAGGGGAGGGAGAGCATTAGGACAAATATCTAATGCATGTGGGGCTTAAAACCTAAACGGCAGGTTGACAGGTGCAGAAAACCACCATGGCACATGTAAACCTCTGTAACAAACCTGCACGTTCTGCACATGTATCCCAAAACTTAAAGTAAAACAAAGAAACAAACAAAAATACACTAACGCTCAGGGTGAGTGGGGCAGGGGCCGGGGTGGGGTGCGGATGGGTGGGTCCTGGCGTTTTATTCAATCAGTGGCGCTGGTGTGGGAACCACCCAATCGGGCGCACAGTTTGAGAAGAGAGGAGGGCGTGGCTTCCGGCGTTTGGCGGGGCCTTTGTCTCTCGCTGGTGCTGGTGCAGGAGCTTGGGATCCATCTCCTCTTTCGCCTCCTCCACCTTGGGAAATCCAGACAACTCCCTCACAGCCCCTGTTGCCCTGTGATCTGTAGGTCCTTGGGGACACACAGTTAAGGTGCTGTTACCATGGGGCGGTCTTTGCTCCCAGAGCGCCCAAGATGGTGGCGGGCCACTTCCATAATTTTGGCAGACCACTTCCAAGATGGTGGCAAGCCTCCTGTTCTCTGACCTGGGGCTCTTGGCCTCACGGATTCCAAGGAATGGAATCTTGAGCCATGCGGTGAGTGTTATAGCTCTATTAGAAGCTGTGGGTCACGGAAGAGAACCGTGGAACCCAGTGACTAGTGTTCAGCTTGATTAGGATGAACCCAGGCGCTTAGCTGTGCAGGAACAATGGCAAGCCTTTAGCCCGATCGGGAGTGGCAATGGATGCCTCGCTGGATCAGGAGCAGAGCGGACACCTTGCTAGCCAGGATGGTCTTGATCTCCTGACCTTGTGATCCGCCCGCCTCGGCCTCCCAAAGTGCTGGGATTACAGGTGTGAGCCATCGTGCCCAGCCAAGAACTGTCTTCACAACAACTGGTGCTGGGGAAATTAGGTACCCACATGTAAAAGAATGAACCTGGGCCCTTCACTTATACTGTAAGAAAAAATTAACTAACTGGATCAAATACCTAAATGTAAGAGCTAAAACTACAAAATTCTTAGAATAAAATATAGGGGAAACACGTCATAACACTGGATTTGGCAGTTTTTTTTTTAAAACAGGACACCCACAACACAAGAAACAAAAGAAAAATAGACGAATAGGAATCTATCCAGAATATGCAAAGAACAATTCAGCAACAATAAAACAAACTACTTGTTTAAAATATTGGCAAAAACTTAAGCAGACATTTCTCTAAAAATTATGTAAAGTAGCTAATAAGCACATGAAAAGACACTCAACAAAACTCATCATTAGTGAAATGCAAATCTAACCCCAAATGACATATCACTTAATACCCATCAGCATAGCTACTACCAAAAGAAAAAAAAAAAAAAACAGAAAATCCGAAGTGTTGGTGAGGATGTGGAGCAATTAGAATCCTTGTACACTGTTGGTGGAAATGTAAAATGCTGCAGCTGCTATAAAATAACAACACAGTAACTAAAAAATTTACACATAAAATCACCATACGATCCAGCAATTTCACATCTGGGTATGCAGCAAAAGATATGAAAGCAAAGACACAAAATAATATACATACACCTAGGTTCATAGCAGCATTACTCACATCACCAAAAAGGTGTTTGAATTACTCAACTGTTGTTTGAATTACCATCAATGATTAATAGATAAAATGTGATTTATACATAGAGTGGAATGTTATTCAGTTATGTAAAATAAGGAAATTCTGACACATGGTACGTCATGCATGAACCTTAAGGACATTGTGCAAAGTGACATGAGCCAGTCATAAAAGGACAAATACTGAATCATTCCACTTATGAGATACTTAGAGTAGTTAAATTCTAGAAACCCAAATAGAAGAGTGGTTCCTAGGAGCTAGAGGGGGAGTAACAAGGAGCTTATTTAATGGGTATAGAGTTTTGTTTCTGCAAGTTGAAAGAAGGTCCCTATGAGTGGTAATGACAGTTGCAAAACAATGTGAAAGTAGTTAATTTTTCTGAGCTGCACACTTAAAATAGCTAAAATGGCTAATTTTATGTATACTTTACCACAATGTAAAAAATAATTTTTAAATAAACTATAGCTATCTGCAATATCATGAATATCATAAATATAATGTTGCATAGAAGAAAGTAGATGTAAAAGTATACATATTACACAATCTCACTGATATAAAATCCAAAAAGTGAACACAACTGAGCTTCTGGCTTCCAGTAATAATGAAGTAAAGTAGTTTGTTGAACACTTCACAGATAACTATAACAAAGCTCTTTGGTCACAGGGCTGCAGCACTGCAATCCCAGCATGCACCAGGCTCAGGGAGAGTGCGCTAATCACTGGAGGAAGGGACGAGGCTCCGCGCCTCTCGCTGGTCTTGCTGGGAGATGCAGTCTCATAAACACTCCCAGCCCTTTGGTCACAGGGCTGCAGCACTACAATCCTAGCATGCACCGGGCTCCGGGAAAGTGCGCGTCACCGGAGGAAGAGGCAGGGCTGTGCGCGCCTCCCTAGGATTGTTGGAAGATGCATTCTCATAAACACTCCCAACCCTTTGGTCAAAGGGCTACAGGACTACAATCCCAGCATGCACCAGGCTCCAGCGCGAGGCGCAGCCCTGGAAGAAGGGGCAGAGTGGTACCCGCCCCACCTAATATGCTGGGAGCTGTAGTCCGTTACCTACTCTCAGCCTGTTTGTCGGTAAGCTTCAGAGCTATAATCCCAGCATGTACCGGGATCCGGGGTCCATAGCCCTGGAGGGAGGGGCAGAGCGGTGTGGACTTCCCGGTGTCCAAAGCACTGCTGAGTTCTGATGCTATGCCGACTCTTTGCAAGGAGAGTGAGTACAGAGGTGCACCTGGAGGGCAGGTCTGGGCTGAGCATTGAGGAGGGTATTACCCTACAAAGATACCTTACCTTTTCCCAAATCGGGCGGGTTGTCCTCACCCGCTTGGCCCTATCCTTCTCAGGTTCCTCTTTCAGTTGCACCCAGGGTTCTTTCCAGAGGAGTACGTCTTCTGCAGCCCAGGGTGCTGCCTTCTTTCCTAAACTGCGTGAGAACTTTCCTGATGTCCAAGACACTGTCCATTGTGCCGCAGCCCTCTTTTTTCTCTAGCCAGAGCACGCACTCAACCGTTTTTGAGAGAAATCTTCCACCTGGCCTGCTTGTGAGCAGCTTCAGAGCTCTGCAGGGGTGACAAGGGCTGTGGCTTCTTGGAAAGGTCACTTTCAATGGCGCCTTTTTCACGAATGTGAAAGTCTAGGCATCAGAAAGGTTAATTATTGGGTTGCATAAAATCTGCTAAGAGCAAAGGAAAAAACCCCATTTCTGAGGCGTGAGTCTTGGGAGCCATTTTCATCAACCCACTTAAGTGGACAAGCTCCAAAATGCAACCTGAAGCTACTGAGTATTTAGGCATTTTACACTTGAAATCATTGGTCTCATCTCAAGTCAGGCCTGGCTTGCCAGTGGCTCAGAGCCACAAATGGGACCTGATACCTCAGGAACAGATAGTGTTCCAGCTTTACCGGAGGAACTTTTAAGACGTGGAGCACTTGGGGTCATTTGAAACCCGCTATCTTCAGTAGGGACTTTTAATTCTACAGAGCATGTGCATTTTGATTTTATCTGTCCTCAAGCTGACCCTTTGTTCATTTTTATAGTAAAAAACACATTCCTGGGTGGAGATTTAAGATGCTAGTGAGGCATGCAATGTATGCACAAATATGTACAGCTACTGCACATGTATAACCAGAAGACCAGTCAGAACATGCTTACCGTAACACTTCTTTCCACCTTCTTATGAAATAATCATGCAAAACTCCCATAAAGAGGGTTTCTCCAGCAATAATTAATGCTGTCTCACTTTTATGAGCAGGCTGCCCTGGAATCTCTTTCTCAGACTGTACCGTCTATTCTGCACTTAATTTTCAAAATATTCTTTTTTTTTGCAATAAATTATGCTGTACTTCTTTTGCTGTGTGTCTCTTGTTTAAATTCTTTTAAACTAAGAAGATAAGAACCAAGGTATTACATCAGCCATCAACATTTCTGGTGCCATGACCTGCGGAGACGTTTGTCTGCTTCATTAATTTCAGTTTCCCTTTACTTGCAGTGAATACTATGGCAGTTTCAGACTACCTGGTTAACTATCGCTGCTGGTTCCAGCGCTGTTCCAGTAAAGTTCTGGGGGAAACGTTTTTAAGTCACCCGCATTCTTTAGAGAGAGAATATATGTCCGCTCTCCTTTTCTCTGCGGCTTCTGTAGTATCGATAAATACGCTAACCACATGGGTTGCCCTCAACATTTCATATTTGGGCTATTTGCCGCTCAGTTTCACATCTTTCTGGCCACAGTTTAGACTCAGCTTGTCGTTTGCTGTCCGTTCAGCAATACTCGATCGCCACCTAGTGGCTATTGTAATTTATTTTCTGGTCAGGTTTTCTGTTTACAAAATTTTTGTCTTGTTTTGAGCAGCGCATTAAGAGAACCCTGTCCCTTCAGGCTTTATGCATTTCCCAGCTCCTTGAAATTGTTCTTCAACCGGCTTTCTTTGCTGAACAAAAGATGCACAGTCAAGCAGATGCCAAGTCGTAGGGATTGCATCTGAGCATTCCAGGTGTTGTAACTGGGCATCACAAATGGCAAACCAGTGAATTAGAGCAAGGCTTGTCAGCCAAACATCTGCCCCCCAGCCCGCAGTGGGGGTCATCTCCGTAGGGCTGGAGATGTCCACCGCTGGGGGAGCTAGGACGGCGTATAGCAAATGCCTATGACCTCCTAGAGCTTCAGTTAATGGGGTTTCGAGGGGATGCGCTGGACCCCTTGGTGTTTTCACTTGGCTCATGAGGACGCCCGCAGCCTCCTGGACTTCAGTAAATGTTCTGTCATTGCAGGATTCTCTCGGCACCATGGGAGCCGCTTCCTCTACTGTCACTGAAACACACCTGGGATGTATATCTAAAAATTAGAACAGCTTTTGGCTAAATGAACTTAGAAAAAAGAAAACCTTATCTTCTTTTGTAATACTATTTAGCCTGCCTACAGATTAGCTGACAAAACATGGCTGGAGAATGAGACTGTGAGCTTTAACTCCATCCTACAGCTAGATCTTTTCTGTAGCAATCAGGGAAAATGGTCTGAAGTACCCTATGTGCAAGCCGTTCTGGCCTGACAACAAAATCCAGCTCTATGCAGCACCTGTGGGCTAAAGCCTAGTAAGCCAGAAAGCCCCTCAGAACAATTGGAAGATCATCTCTTATTAAGGGGAAGGGACCCCAGACCCCACAGCCCAACACCAGCTCCAGACAGGGGCACTCAGGGGTCCACACCTCCTTTAGAATCCCCAGCATCCCCACACTATCAGAGTCTTCTGTAGAATCTAAGCTTGTTTCACCTCCTCCTTATGCTCCTTTCTATCGGCCTTTGCCAGGTACAATAGAGACCAGCCCAGCTGCAGTTACTCAAAGTGGGACTTCACACCATCCAGGGCCAGAGAAATTTCTCCCCTTACAGAAAGTCCCAAATGGAGAGAGGACCATCAGAGTGCTTGTTCTACTCTCAATAAATAATCTAATCCAATATAAGCAACAACTCTGATGGCCCTCAGACAACTTCAGCGCATTTACTAAAGGCTTCCAGGCTCTAACTTTGACCACCATTCAACTGCACCGTCCATAAATGGACCGAATGACTGCTGCCAACTTAGCTGCACAAAATTTTGCTTATTAGCAAAAAATAGAAAATACTTAAAACGTTTGTTGCTTTCACCATTTTAATGCAAAATACTTTTGCAGCATAAATGTCACCATAAGGTGGAGCCTTGGGAATCCAGTATAAACTATCTCAGAAAACCTCAATGGGTCTGCAACAAGCAGCAGAGGGCCTCAATAGACTTCAACAATGTCTGGACTCCATGGCCACTGTAGTCCGACAAAAGCAAAAAGCCTGGGATCTTCTCCCAGCCGGGCAAAGAGGAACATGTTTATATCTAAAAGAAGAATGCTGTTTTTGAGATCAATCAGCCTGGTTTAGTCCAAGAAAATATTAAAAATATCATCACCCAGGCAGACAAAATTGAATCTCTATGAACTTCCATGGGACCATGAAAGCAATGTCTATTACCTGCCTTACTCTCTTTAATAGTAACAGCCATTACTATACTTTCAGCTTTTACTTTTGTTCCAATTTTGTTTAAAATGTTAACTGATTTCTTGCTCTCTTGCTTACGGCAACTCCATGTTTGCATGATGGTTTTGCAAGGCTTTCAACATTTGGCTGCCAACATCTTGCCCACTGGTTCCACGAATTACATGGTTTACACCCAGTTAGATCACACAGGAAGAAACTTTAGGGCCCAGACTAGGCAGAAATAACACCCACTCAGCAGGAAACAGCTCCAGAAAAAGTGACCTAGCCCATCAACCTCCAATATGATTATGACCCTAAGATCTCTTAGGGGGAAACTGAGGCAGAATAGATCAGAATAGATAGTCAAGAAAATGACCATGATCTCGGGATACAGAAATGTGGGGAAATTATAAATAGAACTACCATATGATGCAGCAATCTCATTGCTGGGTTTATATCAAAAGGAAACAAAATAAGCATGTCAAAAAAGACAACTGCACTCTCATGTTTATTAAGCAGTATTCAAAATAACCCAAACCACTATTTCTTCTAAGTATTTCTAAATTTACCTTTTTTTCATATATTACACCCTAAACTTTTAAAGGTTTCATGTCTGGTTTCCAATTTCTGAAACTTACAAGTCACTGATTCTTTGTTGCCTTCCTATTTAGAGTCTGGTAAAACAATTAAATGCTTTTTATTTCTTCTCAATCTAATCTTCATATATAAATATATTTATATTTTCTATTAATTTGCCTTCTATAACATATATGACTACATTAATTGTGATCAGCATTTCACTTTACTAGCCCTCTTTTTGGCTCAGCCTATTTTAATATGTAATTTGTATGTTGTACATTAAATTGTTTTACAACCCTTTCAATACTTTACTTTTCATTTGCCTCTTTTCCAAAGATAGCTTGACAAGCTCATAGTTTCTTTCCACATTATTTTGGTTTCTTGTTTTTCCATTATATTGACTTAAACATTTAAATATAAATTCAATATCTGAGATTTATGTGCCATATAATTTCTTCTGATGCTTCACCCCAGTAGCTCATCTCCTTGTGTGCGACATAATTTATAATTTAATCCTCACATATGGGAGACACCGCATTCCAATGCCTGCAGGCAGTTTCTCTTTGTTTATTCCATTTGCCTTGTCAGAAGGGAACAACCCACATGGACCTGACATTCTTGTAATCAGACACATCTGAGTGGAGCCCTGGCCTCTTAGGTTGATTACTTCTCTGGATCATTACCTTTATTTACTTCCAGTCCTGGGAGGTTTTCTTAATTTCCTTTCAACTATATTAGGCATTCTGTGAATTCTTGTAACTTCTTGGTGATTTTAATTGTCTGCATTAAGTGTTTAAAGTATATTATTTTTCTGAAAAGCAGAAATATCAATAATTGCATATATGAGTGAAATATTTTACATAGATTTTCTATGGCATCTATCACCATGAGAAATTCCAAGTTTTTTTCATTTGAAACACCCCTCTCATCAATAGACCATATTGTAATAATTTGTAGAATGTGATTACTTTTATACCATTAGAAAATTAATTATATATTATGTACATATTTTTGAAATACTCCACTGCAATAAATAGTATATGGTCAGAAGTATTGTTTTCTCTAACCTAAAACTAATATGAGTAAAATTATCTACCTGAATTCAGACCTTTTGGCTTCAATGGCCATTCTGTCTCATTAGCACTTCCCTGATCCATAAAAGACATCATTCGTATTTTTTGTTTAATTCATAATTTATTGAAATGAGTAATTTAATGTTATAATGTTTTATGGCAATTTAGGACATTTTCAATAAATATATTGAGCTCGAGGCCCTGGCTAAGTATTCCTTTTGTACTCAAAATCAGATTTTTCTGGCACAACTTCATTGCCTGCAATGGTATTTATAAAAAGTATGAATGCCAGCACATGGACTATTTCAATACTGTACTCATTTTTTCATGTATAAACATTTCATTAGCTATGAAACAAACCAAATACAAATGCTGAATGTACAGTATATATCAACAAATACAGATTCTTCACCTAAGAAAACAATAAAAGACGAATTTTCTGTGACATGTCACCTGTTCATTAGTTCTTTAATATGATTTAGGCTATTCCAAATATAAGAAAATGTATGCATCACTATTTATGTTGTCTCAACATTTTTTATCTAGGTCCTGAAGGACATAAAAAAGAATGTATATTGTCAGATTTATTTTTATAGATTTTAGATGTTTCTTTTGCTGTATTTTCTGTGCATACTACTATGAATATATGGAGACAAGGACAAATGAGCATTTAAGTGGTTATATGAATTTTGCTTATATGGCTAATTGCTTATATGGATGTTGTAAATGACAAGATAAAATAGTAAGTTTGATAAACTTATCTGTGCCCTGTGAACTTTAGTTCACTTACTGTATAACTTAATTCAGTCACTAATAATTAATTTAAAAAGTGTTTTTTAAAAGCTGCAAACCACATTTTATTACACATTTCTGAATCAGGAAGGGGTAAACTGTGACACAGCTTTCTCATGCCACTGACTTTTTTGGGGAGAAACATTCTGCAATAAAATAAGAGTTTCCAAACTCTATTTATAAAAAAGCTTGAGTTTTCTTCTGTGATTAACCTTCACTCCTCAGTCCCTTTTACCCAAGGAATGGTTCCTAGGTCATCTTTTGGAAGTTTAGTTTCTGGAAAGTTTTCGGCAAACCTCTCCTGAGCTTTGTCCCAGTTGTTGTTGTTCTTGTTTTGGAGAAGGTGAGTCTCTTTAATTGAGGATGGTTTGTCTGTCTCCAATCCTGCATGTGTTTGCCAAGGCTGAAGCTGTACTGGAGTTTTTATTCTCCCACCATCCTTCCCCAGGCCTTCTCCTGTTTTCAACACATCTTTTTCAACATCTTCTGACCTTTGTCGCTATCAGTAATTTCAGAATGAACAGATGCAGGAGCATCATCTCTTTGGAAATTTCCTTCACTTCCAATCTGCTCCCTATGTTTTCCAGCTCTATCTTTATATTTTTGATTCTCCAGTATCTTATCATCTTTGTAGTCTGTATTCTGTAAACCATATTTTACTCGTATATTTTTAAAATCCTTTTCTTCTTTCCAACTCGTTTCCTTCTTAGTTAATGATGGACCAACAAATGATTCATCTTTCTTGTCAAGGAAAAGGTGAGCTCTAACCTGCCCTGGTTCACATCCAACACAGCTATTACTGCCAGGGTGAATGTAATAAGATAACACAGTGTCTCCAACTTTCACTTTATCTCCATGCTCAGGTTCATAAGGGTCACATTTAGTTTTCAGCTGAACAATCCATTTTACATTAACAATTGTTCCATTTTGACTGTCTGATCCAAAAGGACATAACTTTGTAAGTCAAGGTCAAAATAGATTTCTGCATGAAACTTACACCAACTTCAGGGATTTGAAGAGTATTCTCCATATCATTTTCTCTTCCAATTGTAGCAGGTTTTGCAGCAGTAATGATGAAGAATGATCCTGTCTGTAGCACAGGTGATCTAATGACAATCACTCTCATATATGAGGCCACACTTTTTCCTCATCTTCCTCCTCAGTATCTTTTGCAGTTGCATTGCCTTTACTGGTAATGCCTTCATCGTAACTACCCTCGGTATGAGAGTCTGTAATTTCACCTTCTTCTGGTTCACCATCAGTCTCTGTGATTTTCTCATCCTTAAAGATGAATTGAGATGTTTTCATTAAAAGGAGATTCCATAGGATTTCCACTAACTGGAACAGTGAATTTTGGGGATTATTTTTGTGATGAATGCCTATTTTGGCTTTTTTTTTCACATTTGTGAAATTGTCTTTCCCGTTGCAGCTTGTATGTTCAACACTGAAGGCTTCTTGATCCTCTGAATTCAAATCCTTTTCCTCATCGTTTTTTTGTAGAAGAATCCTTTCTTTTCTCAATTTTTCGTTTTTGTTTCGTGCTATAAGTCTGATAAGGTTGCAAATCTACTCGAGAATGAAATCGATAGCGACCACTTTCCACATCACAGTAGTAATAAATTAAATCATAATATATTTGATTCTCAGAATCTTAATAGAAACCAGTGCTGTGGTCAAAATACAGTCCAGTATTTTCATCATCACTAAATCCAGTCTGTGACAAAGCCGCTTCCGCTGCAGCTCTCAAACTTCCAGCTAATGACGAACCTTCTAAGGACGTATCTTGTGCTGCTAATGCAGATGCTGGCTCCTGTGAATTGGAGGCAGATGACCCTCTTGTCTACACTTAACATTTGCTGTCCTATCAGTACCAGGGTGAGTGTCATTTTCTACTTATAACTGGTCGTTAGAATTCAAAGCAGGACTTTCAATATCCTGATCTTGCTGATTTGACAGTTCAGTCACTCACTTTATTTGGAAGACTAACGTCATTAGGGTAGGTCTGATAATAATAATCTGAGATTGACCAAGAGCATGGTTCTCTGCGAGTACTTCTACATCAGACTTTTATTACCTCCATGTCTCCCACAGCGGAGTACGTTACTGAGTTCTTCCAGCTGCGTGCGGAGCTCCTGGCGGTTGCTCGTGTCGCTCTGAGCAGCCGTCCTGGGCGAGGCCATAGCTTCTCCCGTTCCCGCACCTGCCGCCTGCAGCTCCGCGTTCGGGTTCCAGCTTCTCCGCCCTCCTTCTCCGCTGGGCCAGCTCGGGCTCGGGGAGGGGGAGGAGCGGCCACAGCGAAGGCGCTGGCGGCGGCTACGGGCAGAGGCCGCGAGTTCGGGACCAGACGGCTGCGTTCTCGGAGGGGCTGCGCGGGGCCGGAGCGGGGGCCGGCGGAGCCACAGCCCCGGGGGCGCGCGGGCAGCCACAGGCAGCCTCCCCGGCCAGGAGGCCCCGAAACGCGGAGCCTGACGGGGCTGCGGCAAGAGCAGGGGACGGCGATGGCCCTGCCGGATCTGCGTGCCTGGAATCCGGGGAACGACTGCGCCTTCCCCAGCCCCGGGGGCGCGGGAGGAGCGTCGAAGTCCAGGGGCCAGAAGCGCTCCGGCCCTTCCCGAGTTGAGCTGCGAACAGCGGCCAAGCGTGTTTTAAATCGAGCTTCCGTGTGGCGAGCTATGACCTGCTGGTTACTCTTATTTTTTTTCTCCATTCGTTGAGCTATGATTGACAAATTGAAAAGTGTGTATTTTTAGGGTGTACAATAGAGTGTTTTGAGATGTCAGTGGTCTTTAAATCACCTCAGTTAAGCTAGTTAGCCTGTCTATCCCCTCACATAGTGAATACGCCTCTGTGTGTGGTGAGAGCACCTGAGATCTACTCTTGCAGCAAATTTCAAGTACACAGTATTGTTAACTATAGTCACTATTCTGTACATTAGGTCCCCAGCAGTTACTCACCTTGTAACTGAAGGTGCGCCCCTTCCATGGAAATCTCCCCACTTTCCCCACTTCCTAGCCCATGGGAACCAGCGTTCTACTGTTTCCATGGCTTTTTTTAAATTTTTATTTACTTTTTTAGATTTTACATACAAACGAGATCATGCAGTAGTTGTCTTTCTGTATTCAGCTTATTTCGCTTAGCATAATGTCGTCAAGATTTATCAATATTGTAGTGGATGAGTTTCATTTTTATTAAAGCTGAAATTATGTCTCTCAGTTTATCTGTATCAGAGGAGTGCAGATACCCTTGATGATCCTGATTTTATGTCCTTTGGCTATATACTCCTAATTGGGATTAATGGTAGTTCTAGTTTAACAATTTTAAGGAACCTCCATACTGTTTTTCATAATAGCTGCACCAATTGACATCCTCAGCAACAGTGCACAAGTGTTCTCTTTTTCCACACCCTAACGCTTTTTGTCTTTTGACTTTTTGATAATAGGTATCCAAACACCACGATAAGGTGATACCTCATTGTGATTTTGATTTTAATTACTGTGATAATTAGTGATGTTGAGCATTTTTTATATACCTGCTGGCCATTTGTATATCTTTGGAAAAATTGCTATTTATATATTTTGCCCAATTATTAATCAAGAAATTGCTTTTAATTCTGCTGTGGGTTTTTTGTATTGATTACTATGACATATATTTTGGATAGTAACATATTATCCTACATATGGTTTACAAATATTTTCTCCCATTCCATATAATGCCTTTATATTTTGCTGATTGTTTCCTTTATTGTGCAGAAAATTTTTACTTTGACATAGTTCCACTTGTTTATTTTTGCTTTTGTTGACTGCGCTCCTGGTGTCAAATCCGAAACATCATTGCCATGACCAGTGTCAAGGAGGCTTTTCCCCATTTTTTTTTTAGAGGATTCATGATTTCAGTTCTTATGTTTAAGTCTTTATTTCATTTCAAATTCATTTTGTGATGACATGAGAGAAAGGTTTACTTTTTGTCTGTGCATATCGAGTTTTTCCTACACCACTCCTTGATGTGTTTATCCTTTCTCCATTCTGTGGGATTGGTCGACTGTATATTTGTGAGTTTATTTCTGGGTCCTCTATTCTGTTCTATTGGTTTTTATGTAGGTACTATACTGTATTAATGACTACAGCTTTGTAATATAGTTTGAAATCAGGAAGTGTGAGGCTTTCAGCCTTTTTGTTCTTCTCAGTATTTGGCTATTTGAGGTCTTTTGTGGTTCCATACTAATTTTAAAATTGTCGTTCTACATTTTAATAAAATGGCATTAAAATTTTGATAAAAATTTAACTCTGTAGATCACTTTGTGTAGTATGGATATTTTAACAATATTAATTTTTAGAATCCATGAACACATATTTCCCATTTTGTATTCTTCATTTTCTTTCCTCAACATTTTATAGTTTTCAGTATGCAGATCTTTCATATTCTTTGTTAACTCATTCCTAAGTATTTCATTCTTTTGATAATATTGTAAATGGAACTATCTTTATTCCTGTTTCAGATATTTTGTTGTTACTGTAAAAAAATGCAACTGATGTTCATATGTTAATATTGTATCCTGAGAATTTACTGACTTAGTTGGTTAGTTATAACAGGTTTTTTTTTTTTCTGGTAAAATGGTGGTTATTCTGAATTCTGGTTAAACTTTAAATTGATAATTGCTATTATCATTTCAAAATTATTTAAAATATGACCAGATGGATTCCTGCTTCCATGAATTCAATGGAATTCAAATCTTCCCATTTAAAATAATTTTGTCGGTTGACCTAGACCCCGGGGATCGGGGGCACCCCGTGGGAGCCCGGAGATTCGCCTGGGGGTGGGAGGGAGAAGCCGTCAGAGAGGGGGCTGAGCTGGGGAAGCAGAGAGGGGCTCGGGGACAGCCGGGAGGAGAGAGGGTCGTGTCGGAGACCCAGTGGGGAGAGAGAATGGGCCGGGAAAGGAGGAAGGGTGAGAGTGGGCAACAGGACGGCTTCCCGGCGCGGCAGGGAACTTTGCTGAAACTGCGGGCCCCAGGGAACAGCGCGGGCAGGGTGGGAGGGAGTGGAGAGGACCCAGCAGACCCGAAGGTCAGTGTGGAGAAAAGGGACGTTTCCCGGTTCCTTCGCCTCTGCCCAGCGTTCTGCGGGCGTGGCCCCCTCCAGGGGCAGGGGAGGAGGTGGCTCCCGGCGGGCTCGGAGAACTAAGGGGCGCACACCCGCTTCGCAGGGCCGGGGTGACAGGGGAAGCCTGAGACGGCTGCGGATCTCGCTGGCCCCGTGGGTGGGCGCGGGGGACGCGGGAGGGGCCGAGCTCACGGGGCCAGCGCCGGGGCCTGCAGGTGGCCCTGGAGGAATCTGCAAGCACCCGCCCGTGCAGCGGGCCTTCCGGGAGACCAGTGTGGACAGCGCCCTGGACACGCCCTTCCCAGCTGGAACATCTGTGAGGCTGGAATTTAAGCTCCGGCAGACAGGGAAGCGGCTGGAGGAAGGCCTGGAAGAAACCCAAGTGCAAAGCCCAGCCCGAGAGGAGGAAGCAGAAATGCCTGACCTGCGTCAAAATGGACTGTGAGGATAAGGTTCTGGGCAGGATGGTTCGCTGCCCTCCAGAGACGCAGACTCGGCGGGAGCCTGAGGAGCACCAGGGGGCCGGGTGCAGCCCGGCGGAGCGGGCGGTGAGGACCCCACGGCTGCCGCTTCCCTGCACGGTTCGCCTCCTCCAAGGCCCGGCCCCCAGCGGAGCCCAGCGCTGAATCGCATGGCGCCCCCTGGAGCCCTGGCGGGGAAAACCAGTGGAAGACCCCACCTCCCAGGGAGAGGACCCCACTGTATCCCCAGATAATAAAACTGTCCTCTCCCCCAAAAAATAAATAAATAATTTTGTCTGGTCTTTGAAAATGTGTATCCCCTGTGTACTGGTCAAAATGCTGCCCATTTATCTATATGCCTAATTAGCCAACTTTTTAATGAAGTTATTTAACATTCTTTTTTATTATGAAACAAAACAGTAAATTTGTCAATGGTTTTAATATCATCTAATATTATTGAAAATATGTCAATTTGTCATTGCCAATGAATCTTTGTGTTATTTATTTTACTCTGTTACATATTCTGTCTATAAAGGTCTAAGTGGCTTAGAATCTTGCCTAACATATTGTATGTGCTAAGTACTAACTACTCTAATTCATCAAATTATCTTTCTATACCATTCTTAAAATACAATATTATTTTCTATTTATTTTTATTAAAATTTTTTGCCTAATCTAATTATTTATGAAAATTATGAGGTCTATTCAGTTTGTCCTCTTGATAAAAGCCAAAGTTTTTTTTTTTCTCTCTTTTTTTTTTTTTGAGACGGAGTCTCCCTCTGTTCCCCAGGCTGGAGTGCAGTGACACGATCTCGGCTCACCACAACCTCCACTTCCCGGGTTCAAGTGATTCTCTTGCCTCAGCCTCCCAAGTAGCTAGGACTACAGGCATGTGCCACCACACCTGACTAATTTTTGTATTTTTAGTAGAGATGGAGTTTCACTATATTGGCCAGGCTGGTCTTGAACTCCTGACCACGTGATCCGCCCTCCTCAGCCTCCCAAAGTGCTGGGATTATAGGCTTGAGCCACCGCACCAGGCCTTTTTTTTTTTAATCTCTTTATTAATACGTTAAAGAGTACAAATGCAGCTCCCTTACAGAAGCATGTTGCATAGTGATGAAGTATGGGCTTTTGGTGTGACAATCATCTGAATGTTGTTTATTGTCCCAATTAGTTATTTTCTCATTCCTAAACCCTCTCCAACCTCCCATCTTTCTGAGTCTCCAGTGTCTATTTTTCCAGTCTCTATATCCAAGTGTATGCTTAATTGAGTTCCCACTTACAAGTGAGAAAATACTGAATTTGATTTTCTGTTTCTGAGTTTTTTCACTTACAATAATGGCCTCCGGTTTTATTCATGTTGTTGCAAAAGACATGATTTTATTCTTCTTCATGGCTGAGTAGCATTCCATGGTATACTCGTATAGCACATTTTCTTTATTCGATTATTGACTGATAAATTTAAATTGATTTCATATATCGGCTATTATGAATAGTGCTGTGATAAACATGTCAGCATGGGTATTTTCTTTATGTAACAAATTATTTTCCTTTGGGTAGATACCAAGTAGTGGGAGTGCTGAATCAAATGGAAGTTCTATTTTTAGTCTATTTTGAAATCTCCATACTGTTTTACAGAGGTTGTAGAAAGTTACTTTCCCACAAACAATGTATAAATGTTCTCTTTTCTCTGTATCCTTGCTGATAGCTCATTTTTCTGCTTTTTAGTAATAGCCATTCTGCATGGTGTAAGTTGGTATCTCGTTGTGGTTTTTAATTGGCATTTCTCTGATCATTGACAAGGTTGAGCATCTTTTACGTGCTTGTTGACCATTGACCATCAGTGTCTTTTTTTT
This sequence comes from Homo sapiens, assembly GCF_000001405.40. Taxonomy (NCBI): domain Eukaryota; kingdom Metazoa; phylum Chordata; class Mammalia; order Primates; family Hominidae; genus Homo; species Homo sapiens. Next base: position 133,635,696 of record NC_000010.11, on the reverse strand, counting down.
TTTAATGTTCATGTTCTTTGCTTGCTTTTTAATGAGGTTACTTGTTTTATTTTTGTTGAGCTGTTTGAGTTCCTTGCATATTCTGGACATTAGATCTTTGTCACATGCAAAACTCATAAACATTTATCTCATTCCATAGGTTTTCTGTTCACTGTGTTAATTAGAAAGCTCATTTTCAGGAGCTTTTTAGTTTAATTGAGTTCTTGTTGTCTATTTTTGTTATTGTTACATCTGCTTTTGAGATCTTAGTCATAAATTCTTTGTCCAAGTCAATGTCTAGAAGAGTTTATCCTAGAGTTTCTTCTAGCATTTTTATAGTTTCAGGTCTTACATTTTAGTCTTTTAATCCATATTGAGTTGATTTTTGTATATGGTGGGACATAGGGGTCCCATTCCATTCTTCTGCATACGGAAATATAATTTTTCCAGCACAATTTGTTGAATAGGATGTCATTTCTCCAGTGTGTGTTTATGTTGACTTTGTAAAAGATCAGTCGTTTGTAGGTATGTGGCTTTATTTCTAGGTTCTCTATTCTGTACCATTGATCTATGTGTCGATTTATATCAGTACCATGTTGTTTTGGTTACTACAGCCTTCTAGCATAATTTTAATTCAGATAATGTAATATCTCCAGCTTTATTCTCTTTGCTTAGATTTGCTTTGACTATTCAGGCTCTTTTTGTGGTTCCATAAGAATTTTAGTGGTTTTTTTTTCTAATTTTATAAAAAATTACATTGGCATTTTGGTAGGAATTGCATTTAATATGTAGATTGTTTTGGGCAGTAGAGTCATTTTATTGATCATAATTCTTCCAATCCATAAGCATGGGATGTTTTTCTCATTTGTGTCATGTACAATTTCTTTCATCAGTGTTTTGTAGTTTTCCTTGAAGGCATCGTTCATCTCTTTGACCAATTGTATTTCTAAGCATTTTACCTTTTTTTGTAGCTATTGTAAAAGGAAGTGACTTTTTAATTCAGTTCTCAGCTTGATCATCATTAGTGTATAAAAATGCTATCAATTTTTGTACGTTGATTTTTGCATCCTGAAACATTATTAAATTTATTTATCAAATCTAAGAGTTTTTTGGTGGTCTTTAGAATTTTTGTATATATGATATTATATTATCATCAAAGAGGGACAATTTGACTTTCTAATTACAACCACATAGATGCTCCCACCAAGATCAATAGACAGAGTCTCTGGGGAGGGCACAGGTGATGGTATTTCTTTAAGCTGGCCATGTGATTACGGCTGGAAGCATGGGCCGAGAGCCACTTAGCTAAGCATCACTCTCAAGTCTTTCTTTTCTTTCTTTCTTTCTTTCTTTCTTTCTTTCTTTCTTTCTTCTTTCTTTCTTTCTTTCTTTCTTTCTTTCTTGTCTTTCTTTTCTTTTGACAGAGTTTTCACTCATTGTCCAGCAGGAGTGCAGTGGCACCATCTTGGCCCACTGCAACCTCCACCTCCCAGGTTCAAGGGATTCTGCAGTCTCAGCCACCCGAGTAGCTAGGATTACAGGCACCAGCCACCACACCTGGCTAATTTTTGTATGTTTTAGTAGAGACATGGTTTGGTCATTTTGCCCAGGCTAGTCTTGAACTCCTGACCTCAGGTTATCTGCCCACTTCCGCCTCCCAAAGTGTTGGGATTACAGGCATAAGTCACCGCACCCGGCTGCCTCTCAAGTTTCAATGTGCATATGAATTATTTCCGATTCCAGGCTCTCTCTTAGTAATGTGATTCTGCAGGTTTGGAAGGGGTCCATGAATTGGCTTCTTTAAAAAGTCTCCTCTTAATGCTGATGTTTCTTCCACTACATCCAATAGAGTAGCACTCAGCTAGAGAAAGTAGGCACAGCACAGAGCTCCTGACACCCAACACTGTTACCACAACACAAATACTTTTGGCTCAAAGTGGAAGCCACCAATCGCCATTTTCAAACATGTCATTTTCTGCTGGCTCTTTGCAGTTTAGAAAGCCTAGAGAAGGCATCAATGTTTGAGTAAGTCTGCATTTGGAAAACATGTACACATGAGTTAATACAATGTTTATTGAGCACGTACTATGTGTTCAGAAGTCTGTTACAGAGCACTGTTCAGGAAACATTACATGATGTGAGTTAATCCTCATAGCACCCTGGGAGTTGGGTGCTAAGTTTTCTGTAATTTTCAGGATTTAAATGAAGGGCCTAGCGTTTCTATTTTTTCTTCCATTTTAAAAATTATTTACCTGGAAAATAAAATGTGCAGAATAAAAGCTATATCGACAGATGAAGGGATAAAGAAAAAAGGATGAACTGTTCAGAGAGATGTTTTATATTTATATTTACCTTCTTGTGCCTTGTGGAGCAGCTACTGAATTTGCAGGAATGGAAAACAAGTTGCTAGGTGGGGTGTCTCTAGAAGCACTGGCTTCAATGAAAAAGAAATTATAACCCCCAAATACAGAATTATTTGCTTCCACTTATCTGCTTTTCCATTTTAGGAAATTGTGGGCACCAGCTCAGGAGAGGCAGCAGGAGCCCGCGCCCGAATCTCTGGTCTCCTTTAATGAGTTCTGTGAGAGAAGATTCTAGGGTGAGGCCAGACCTGGATGAGGCCTTAGAAGAGGGTGGATCTGGGCAGGGCTGGAACAGAAAGTGGACCCCATGTTTCTGATGTTCATGCTGGTGGAGTATTTCCAGTTCTGTCTTTCCTAAGCCTCCCCAACAGAGACTTGACTCTTGGAGCTTGTGTAATTTTAATCTGTTTTAGCCACTTCCCTGTCAATTTTTATAACACATGATAACAAGAAACTTAAGCGAAACTCTTAGGGTTTTTTAGGACAATTATATGAGAAGCTAAAAACTTATTTTTACCAAGATAAAAGAAATAGAAATAATCACAACAATAACAATAATTCTTCTGTCCATGAATAGCCCTTCAGGTAGTGACATCGGAACTCAAGGAACAGCATAAGGGAAATGGAGCAAATGCAGCCAAGGCCCCCTGTGCAGCTCCCTTCTCCCTTCCGACTACAGGATGCTGAATTCAGCCATTAATCCATTTCCCTTCCGACCACAGGATGCTGAATTCAGCCATTAATCTGTTTGCTCTAGATGAAAAGTTTCTGGACAGTAGAAACCATGAATTCTTCATCTGTTTTTCTGATGGTCATGTGATATAGTTTAGATGTCCCCTCCAAATCTCATATTGAATTTTAATCCCCAATGTGGCAGGTGGGACCTGGGGAGGAGGTGGTTGAATCACTGGGTGAGTCCCTCATGGATCTGTGCCGTCCTTGTGATAGTGAGTACTCGTGAGATCTGGTTGTTTAGAAGTGTGGCCCATCCCTCCCCCATCTTTCTTGTTTCTGCTTCTACCATGTGAGATGCCTGCTTCTCTTTCACCATGATTGTAAGCTTCCCGAGGCCTTCCCAGAAGCAGACGCTGGTGCTATGCTTCCTGTACAGCCTGCAGAACCATGAGCCAATCAAACTCTTTTCTTATAAATTACCCAGTCTCAGGTTTTTTAAATAGCAATGCAAGAATAGCTTAATACCTCATATGAAAAGAAAGCAATTGATATATTTACCAGTTTGAGTACTTACCAGTTTGAGTCTCCAGACCTCTGCCTTGCTTCAACTCAAAGAACAGGAAGGGAGCAACCTCCATCTACTGCTCCTGATTATGGGAGAATCTTCAGTTCATCTTAAAACATTTCAGTCAAAAGCACTGTGTTTTATGTAGAAGAATGAGGGTGTCTGAAAGAATGGGTCTCTTTATTTATTTTTATTTCTGAGACAGGGTCTCTTTCCCTGTCATTCTGGCTGGGGTGCAGTGGTTCACTGCAGCTTTGACATTCTGTGCTCCAGCGATTCTCCCACCTCAGCCTCCAAAGTAGCTGGGACCACACGTGCACACTACCACAACCAGATAATATTTGTATTTTTGGCAGAGATGAGGTTTTTCTATGTTGAGCATGCTGGTCTTGAACTCCTGAGCTCAAGTGATCCTCCAGCCTCTGCCTTTCAAAGTGCTGGAATTACAGGTGTGAGCCACCACGCCGGGCAGATGGGTCTTAACTGATTTTAATCAGGATACATGAGCATGGAAGACATGCCCTTAATTTTTTTCCTAATACAATATTTGACAGTTATATAACTATGATTTTTTTATTCCTGTGATTCATAAGGATATGATAGTAAAAGGCCTTGAAAGCCTGTAGGAAAAAAGTGCTATATTGTGCTTGAAACCACCTTTTACTCTGAAAGCAAGTGCCATCCAGATACATCTTTTGAGAAGATATTTTCTCCTGCTGCATTTTAGTCAAACAGCTGAGTGTGTCTTGAAGTAGTTTTTTGATTTTTAACAGGACAAGTGTATTTTCTAAGACCCCAAACTCAGGAGTGGCCATGGGGCAAATCACCGCTGCACACATGGAATGCATGCACAGCAAATGCATTTCTCATCCCGAACCAGGGGTTGTTCCCCCTGGGTGCACACAGGAATCACCAGGGAGGCTTTTAAAATTACCTAAACTCAAAAGGCAATAGAAAAGTGAACTCAGAATCCCTGCAGTGGGACCTGAGCCATAGTGCTGTTTAAAGCTCTCTGGGTGACTATGGGGTACAACCAAGCCCCCAAACTGCTGCTTTAAATCAGCCTCTTTGGGTGAACTAGTGGCAAATGGTTTCCTGAAATGAATGGTTTAAATCAGCCTTTTCTGGTGAACTAGTGGCAAATGGTTTCCTGAAATGAATGGTTTAAATCAGCCTCTTCCGGTGAACTAGTGGCAAATGGGTTCCTGAAATAAATGGAAAGATTTGCTGCTGGGTTGTGCTCTTCTGATCTTACCTGCATTACCTACTTTTCCTTGCCGAACTGACCTCTGCTACGTATTTTATTCCTGATTCAATCCAGTTCTACTCATACCAAATGCATAGTATGCACTAGGTGCCCTTGCATTGCTGAACCTCACCGTGGGGAGAGGACTTTGCTGAATAATAATTGCATCCTAAAAAAACTCAAAATACTGGACTCAAATGATCCTCCTGCCTTGGCCTCCCAAGAGCTGAGACTGTAGGCATGAGCCACCGTGCTTGGCCTATACCCTAAAAAATTAAAACTATCTTACTTACTAAATTGATGTAAACATGGGAAGACCTAGAAGGTCACCGAAGTGTTACAACATAAGTAAATACCTTGGAATATTAATATCCATCTGATGATGCCCCGAGAAAACATGTCCCACTTTAAAACAGTACAAAACAGTGCTATTATTCTGAGATATGAAGTTAAAATTTTGTGCAAATAGGTAATATTTAAATTTTTATATATGTATAACATTCATGCAGAAAGACATATACAAAGAAATCATGTAAAGTTCAATGAATTATTACAAAGTGAACACACGTGTGTAACCTAGAAATAGAACCAGCTTCACAGATGTCCTGGTAACCACTTTCTCTCTTTTGCTCCCCCAAAGTCACTAAGATCTTAAGAGCTAACAGTGTAGATCAACTTTGTATTATTATACATGTTTTATTACAGAAAATTTAAAACATACACAAAATAAAAGAAACAGTACAATAGGCCTGTTACCCAGGCTCAACAACAACTAATAACATGCCAATTTTGTGTTATCTATACTTCAACTCATTTCTCACACAGACTTTGTTATTTATTATTATTTTTTGTGGTATAAAATGTGTGCTCATTGAAGGTAAAATCTTGGCTGAGCACAATGGCTTAAGCCTGTGTAATCCCATCACTTTGGAATGACAAGGCAGGAGGATCATTTGAGGTCAGGAGTTTGAGAGCAGCCTGGGCAGCATAGTGAGACCACATCTTTATTAAATTTTTTTTTTAATTAATCAGGCGCGGTGGTGCATGCCTGTAGTTCCAGCTACTTGGGATGTTGACATAGCAGGATCCCTTGATTCTACGAGTTTGAGGCTACAGTGAGTTGTGATTGTGCCACTGCACATCAGCCTGGGTGACAGAGTGAGACTCTGTCTCAAAAAAAAAATAAATAAAGGTTCGACCTTAACTAGCTTTTTACACATAAACACACCCATATAAGCAATCCCTCTTTTAACAATAGAAGTACCAAATTAAAAATCATTAGTGTGAACCCATTTTTAACTCAGACTTTATCTTTTAATAAGTTTCTTTTCTTTTTTTTTTTTTTTTTTTGAGGTAAGATGTGCACTCATTGAAAGGTCTAATCTTGGCTGGGCATGGTGGCTCACATTCGTAACCTCATCACTTTGGAAGCCAGAGCTCAGGAGTTTGAGACCAGCCTAGGCAACATAACAAGGCCTCACTGGGGCAAGAGAGTGAGACCTCATCTCTACAACAATTTTTTAAAAGTTAGTTGGGCATAGTGGTGCACACTTCTAGTCACAGCTATTTGAGAGGCTGACTTGGGAGGATCACTGGAGTCTGGGAGGTCAAGGCTGCAGTGAGCTGTGATTGCACCACTGCACTCCTTCCAGAGGGACAGAGTGAGGCTCTGTCAAAAAAAGGTACAATTTTAACTGTACATGTTTGATACATCAACACATCCATATAAACAATCCCTCTCTTAAAAATAAAAGTACCCAATTTAACAGTTATTAATATTCATATGAATTACCTAGAAACTTTTTGTTTGTTTTGGTTTGGATTTTTATTGAAAGGGGACACCTAGAAATGTCATTTAAAATCTAGATTTTGATAAAAATAAGGCTGAGTTTTTTCTTTTTTTGAGATGGAGTTTTGCTCTGTCGCCCAGCTGGAGTGCAGTGGATTGATCTCGGCTCACCAAAACTTCTGCCTCCCGGGTTCAAGCAATCCTCCTGCCTCCCAACTAGCTGGGATTACAGGCATGAGCCACCACATTCAGCTAATTTTTTTTTTTGTATTTTTAGTGCAGATGGGGCTTCCTTATGTTGGCTAGGCTAGCCTTGAACTCCTGACCTAAGGTGATCCACCCGCCTTGGCCTCGCAAAGTGCTGGGATTACAGGCATAAGCCACCATGCCCAGCCAGTCCTAAGTTTTGCCTGAGAATTTCTCTTTCTAAGAAAGTACATCATATGGCAGTTACAAGGTCTCTTTTGTCTAAAATAAATAGAATTTAATAAATAAAAATTTAAAAAATTTACCTGAGATTAAAGGACAAATAAAAACACATGGGTAATATGTTCTCTGTAGGAATATATTTTAACAATGACATAAATTATTAATAATCACTAAATGTTATAATAATTTATTAACTAAAATTAACAAAATTCCTATTACGATATCTAGGAAAATACTTTCTTAGAGTAAAATATTCTCATATCTTGAGAGAGCATTGGTTAAAAACAGCAAAGATGTGCAAGTCGATGTCTTATCAAGTACTTACTATCACGTAAGTAGCAGACCCCTCTTCACAGCTTTTACAGAGTTATCCAAAACGCAGTCATTTACACAAGAGCAGACAATTTTCCTAGCTTTCTATTGAGTTTATAGGTTAATGTTGTTACAAAATTTATGAAATTACCTGACCAAATTTTATATATTATTTCATAATATATCAAAATTTATTTAGATGTCAAATTTCATATCATAATATTATAATATATAACGATATCATATTATGATAAGTTCCATTTACTTTCAGACAATTTCACTAGGCAGTGTCTGTCTACCACTAATTCTTTTTTCGTTCCACTATTTGCACAGGCAGCACAGCTGGGAAAACACAGACTCACCCAACACAGTCTCTTCCCTGTGTCTTTCTCCTCCTCAAGGAATCAGTTCATCAGTCAATCAAGTCATCTGGGACTGGAGGCTGAGTACTCCTTAACATAGAAGGTCTCGTTCCTGCATGCTTTCCTCAGCAGAGGGGGAGACAAGAAGGTCCTTTTAGGGGACACTTGCTTGGACATAGACTAGGCTAGTTGGAGGGCTCTGACCAGCAGAGACAGACTCCGCCGCAGTAGGAAGGGATGAGGCAGCTGTTCTGAACCTGGAGCTCCACCACACCTTGTCCCGTCTCACTGAGGCAGTTTTGAGAGGCTGCCCTGGAATACGTCTTGCTGGTGGATGTTGAGAAACAATGTGGGCTTTGACGGGATTCAGGTGGTGTCCGCAGTGTGAAGACAGGAGCTGATGTTCAGAATCTAGGCTGTTTGTCTTGTGATCAGTTGGGTTACCTGTTTGAGACCAAGTCCATTTTCACTAGGGAGGGCTGAATAAAGCCCACAGAACACAATGGCGCTCCCAGGATGACTGAGGAAGGGTGAGAATGGGGGAAAGTTTTTCCACCGAGACTTTTTGCTACCTCAGGAATCAGGGGCTAATTAGGTTAGCACTGACTCAACCTAATCAATTCAATTTTATTGCATTTGATCTAATTATCTTCCCCATTTTTAAGGTAGGAAGGGCCATTTCATTTGGTATTTATTTTTTCTCTGCATTTTTATTTCATCATATATGTGTGGATCTAATACAATCAACCATAATTTGACATTTGTTGTTTCCAAGCATTTAAGAAATTATAATATCTATGCATACAATGTTAACACTATGTATAATAAATTCTCTTTCTGTGCAAAATATATAACATATGACAATATAGGCATGTTTAATTGTGCATCTTGAAAGGTGAACAGGATCATAAATCCTTCCAGGTAGGAACTGGGACAGAAATAGGAAGAAATGCTTCCCCGATTTTCCGGTCCCTGTGCTCCCGGTTCTTTGTTTTCTGGACACCATGACAGGATCCTGAAAATGTCTCCCTTTAACTGTGTCTAGGTCCCCAGTAGAACTACAGCAAGAAACTTCTGATTGAGGCTCTAAGAAGCGGCAGGAATGAGAAAACTCTTCAGCCAATAAGAGTAAGCCACGCCCAGCCGAGGGACGTATAAAAGGCAGGTCTAGCAGACTAACCCACACTCTGCCTTTGGACGTGAGAGAGAGCGCACCTTTCACTTGAGCTTCAACATGGGAAAGGGAAATGAAGACCCCGATCTCCACTGCTCCTCCATCCAGTGCTCCACTGACCAGCCCCCTTTCCAACAGATCTCCTTTACAGAAAAGGGCTCAGATGAGAAGAAACCATTCAAAGAAAAAGGCAAGACCGCCTTCTCCCATTCCAGTGAGAAGCACATACAAAGGCAAGGTAAGGCCTTGGGCTGCTCCTATGGAGTCTGGAAGGAGGGTTGGAATCAGGGATACTGAGCTGTGTCTTTAGCAGGGTTTTATTTTGAGATTTGGGGATGGGAAATGGCTTAGTGCCCTCAGGGGACTTGAGAAATGTGTTCACTCGTGACACTGGCAGAAGAGCTTCACATGAAAGACTGATCCGCAAAAATGCATCAGAGATAGACTGTGGGACTCTGCCTAGGGAGAGGTGAGTCACCTAAACCTTCTCTTGCAGCAGGATCGGAGCCCAATCCAAACAAGGAGAATTCTGAGGAAACCAAGCTCAAGGCCGGGAACAGCACTGCTGGATCAGGTAAGATTTGACTCTTTCAAGGTGAGAAGGGACAGGGAAGCAACACAGGCTCCCCTGGCAAGGAAACTGGGAGCTCCTTGGCAGCCAGGGCCGTACAGATCCTGGACACTGGAGAACAGAAGAGAGCTGGGGTTTGGTGGTAACCTCAGCTCCTGTGTGTCCAGGATGGACTAGGAATTTCAGGGTGTTCAGTTGGAGGCACTTTCTCAAACTCTCATTGTGTTCACAGAACCAGAGTCCAGCTCATATCGGGAAAACTGCAGGAAAAGAAAAATGAGTTCCAAGGACAGCTGCCAAGACACAGCAGGTAGAATCTTGGTGTTTGTTGTTGTTGGTGGTGGTTTTTTTGTTTTTGGTTTGCCCCAAAAGGCAAATAATCAGGAAACTTTTATACGAGGCTTGAGCGGAAAGGGAGTTACTTATTGACGAGTAAATTTTTGAGATCTTAGCACTCTGAGAATATTTGGGGACTCACAAGGGGTTCAGCCTCACTTCATTCCAGTGCTGAGATGGTCAGGAAGGAGTGGGAGAGACAAGTGGGGTTCACCTGGGTGTACAGGGGGTTCTGGAAATCAGGGTCTGTGGGGACTGCTCTGGTGAGTCTCTCACATGCTTTCTTTGCAGGGAACTGTCCAGAAAAGGAGTGCAGCTTGTCATTGAATAAAAAATCAAGATCCTCCACTCCTGTGCACAACAGTGAAATCCAGGAGACCTGTGATGCCCACCATAGGGGACGTTCCAGGGCTTGCACTGGGCGCAGCAAGCGGCATAGGTCTCGGGCCCTAGGAGTCCAAACACCGTCAATTCGAAAAAGCTTGGTGACCTCTGTGCGAGCTATGTCAGAGGCTGTTTATCAAGACCTAGCCCAGGTGTGGGCACAGCAGATCCATTCTCCACTTACCTGTGAGCAGCTGACACTGCTCACTCGGCTCCGGGGGCCTCTGTGTGCCCAGGTGCAGACCTTGTATTCCATGGCCACCCAGGCAGCTTATGTCTTCCCTGCTGAGAGCTGGCTTGTCCCAGCCACACTGCCAGGTCCTGGGGAATCAGCCCTGGATAGAGAAGCCCATCCCTTCCCTGGGCAGGAGATAACTGAGACTGTCAGTGGATCAGATGAGGCTAAGCTGTGAGCACCCTGACCCTATTCAGCAGAGATGCAGCTCTGGGAATGAGAACAAGGATCTGCTTCTTCTCAGATTCTTCCAGATGACCAGCAGTGACAATTTTAGACACACTGTGTTAATAAATGACAGAACCTGAAGAAGTCATAGGAAAGAAACTTGAGCGGTATACTCAGAATGGTGAGAGCCCTGAATTTTGCAGACCGCTAAGACTATAGACAAATTTTATATTTCATGTTAGACATTTGATGCCTTTTGGATGTCTGATGACAGTCATGCATTTCTATATAATCAGAAAAACATTAGAATGTAATCGTGAATTTGCATATTTTAGATTGTAGAAAAGTAAATATAAAATTATGTGCTCCTTTTTTGTTTTTTTTTTTGAGACAGTCTTGCTATGTTACCCAGGCTGGAGTGCAGTGGCACAATCTTAGCTCACTGCAACCTCTGCTTCCTGGGTTCAAACAATTCTCATGCCTCAGCCTCCCAAGCAGCTGGGACTACAGGCATGTACTGCTATGCCTGGCTAATTTTTTTTTTCCTGTATTGTTAGTAGAGACAGAGTTTTGTCACTTTGGCCAGGTTGGCCTCGAACTCAGGTGATCTGCCAGCCTCCGCCTCCCAACGTGCTGGGATTACAGGCATGAGCCGCCTTACCAAGAAATTGCTTCTCTTTTAATCCAGAAAAGGTTGTAGGCTCTCACTCTTCCAGCCTGAACCCATGGAGTACTAATATCCACAAACCATTAATAGCACTCCCTGTGGGAAAATGTCTATATATTTTGTTTGATATAATTATAGTAAAATTACTATGCAAGCTGTTTACTTTTAATATTTCTACATAAAATTTAAGTCAAGATATAGTAAATGGTAAATGATTGTACTTATTTATTGACCTGCCTCATGTTTCATTTCATTTTAAACATCCTAAATTTATATTTTATTATATTTTATACATTTCAATTGATTGTACTATATTGCAGGATATGGAGATTTCATCACGTACTACAATACAGTGTATTTTGTTATATTTGACGTATATTCTACTTGTATTTTGTACTGAGATCATACACTATTTCATTATCTAAGTGTATTAATTGTTTGGTTGCTTTATAATTTTCATTTTATGTAATGAAATAAACAATGTTGTTTGGAATTTTAAATTTCTTTCATATGGAATTTGTATTTAATAAAAATGTGAAAAAGAGAATGTCTTATTGTCACTTCCGTGTCATCCTATCCCTGACCTCCCCACAGCCCACAGCTCTTGTCATAGTGCGGGAATAGTGTTCTATCACTACAGGAAATGGGGCCAATTCAATGGTAATATACAGATATGAATTGGAGATACAGAGATTTTATTCTCGAGCACTGCAGTATAAAAGAATCACAGTAACGCGAGTCACACAATTTTTGGGTTGACCCTGCTTATGAGTTATGCTTACACTCTGCTGTAGAATAACGCTGAAATAAATCATGTCTATTAAACAAATGCACATACATAAATAATGTGTCTAAATAACAATGTACATAATGAAAGTGAATTTTATTGCTAAAAAAATGTTAACACACAGATACACACAATGGGATCATATAATGTTGAAAAATAGAGATGGGGAGAGGAACAGAGACAGAGAGAAAGGGAGGAATGGAGCGAGAAAAGGACGGATGGATAGAGGGACATTGGAAAGGAGAAAGTGGGGAGCGGGGAGGGAGGGAGGGAGGGAGGGAAAGACAGAGGGAGAAAGGGAGCAAGAGACAGAGAGGAAAGCAGAGAGGAAAGCAGAGAGGAAAGCGGTCTTCCGCCTCCAGGGCCAGCGGGACCTCGCACTCCGGGAAAACGTGGGGTGCCCGGTGCAGGCCGAGAGCTCGGCCCACAGCCGCGTCTGCTTGCGGGGCGCCCACCAGCTCACCAGCCCTCCGGATCGCCGGCCCGGGTCACTTCATCCCGGAGCAATTCGGACGAATTCCGCCTCCCAAGGAATGAGAGCAATGAGCCGAGACGCGGGTGATTGTCCGTTTTCCATCCACGTGGTTCACAGACGACACGGCCCCGCGTTGAGCAACAGAGCGCGAGGCGGACAGGCCCGTCCACACGGGAGTCACACTCGGGCCGAGTGAACCGTGATTCCGGGTTCCACGCTCCTTCGCCCTCTGCAAGGGGCCTGTTGCTCGCGTGTCTCCCGCCCCCGAAAGCGCGACCACGTTGGCTGTTTCCCGAGCTCTGCGGGGACACAGAAACCTCCAGCGAAGCGTGGAAAAGCAGCATCGTGACTTCGCTCTCCTTTCCGGTTTCCAGACCGGCCACAGTGGAGACTCCCCTTGTTGCAGGAAACAGGAATCCGTGGTCAGGCCGTGATGCACCCGACGTTTCTTTTCTCTGCAGTTTCGCTCTCGTTTTCTACATGAAAACGAACGAGATCCACACCCCCGCGTGTGTGAGACTATCACGGCAACGGCGACACCCACAGAGGGCCTGGAAAACTCAAGACCGTCACGGAAGCTCAGTTCCACACTCCACCCTTCAGGGTGGTTTCTTTTAAACGAAATCTTCCTTTTTAAAAAAAAGTTGGTTTGGCCGGGCGTGGTGGCTCACGCCTGTAATCCCAGCACCGTGGGAGGCCGAGGCGGGCGGATCACGAGGTCAGGAGATCGCGACCATCCTGGCTAACACAGTGAAACCCTGTCTCTACTAAAAATACAAAAAATTAGCCGGGCGCGGTGGCGGGCGCCTGTGGTCCCAGCTACTCGGGAGGCTGAGGCAGGAGAATGGCGCGAACCCGGGACGCGGAGCTTGCAGTGAGCCGAGATCGCGCCACCGCACTCCAGCCTGGGCGACAGAGCGAGACTCCGGCTCAAAAAAAAAAAAAGTCTCAGTGGACCTTTGCAGTAATTATACTCCATTGTATACATGAAAACAAGGCTTTCTGGAAACGTGTTATTGATCAGAGGCAGCAGAGTGAGAAGCCAGTGTGTCATACTGTCCAACACACACTTCCTGCACAGCCCTGCCGTGCTCACTCATGACTTTCTGACAAACTGCCTTGTCACTAGGAAGCCCTTAATTTTCCTCTGTGCCTCCCTGAAAGAGGGCCTCCCCGTGAGTTAACAGCTGGAGGGGAATGAAAAAATAAGCTTTTTCTTAGCACAAAACCTTTTTTTTAACTTTTATCTTAGGTTCAGGGGTGCATGTAGAGGTTTATCACATAGGTAAACTCATGTCATGGGGGTTTGTTACGGAGATTATTTCATCACCCAGGTACTGAGCCCGGCCCCCAATAGTTCTCTCTTCTGCTCCTCTCCCCCTCCCACCCCCCACCCTCAAGTAGGCCCCAGTGTCTGGTGTTCCCTTCTTTGTGTCCATGTGTTCTCATCATTTAGCTCCCACTTACAGGTGACAATGTGCAGTATTTGCTTTTCTGTTCCTGAGTTAGTTCACTTAGGATAGTGGTCTCCAGGTCTGTCCATGTTTCTGAATAAGATGTGTTCTTCTTTTTTATAGCCGCATAGTATTCCATGGAGCATACGAACTACATTTTCTTGATCCAGTCAGTTATTATGGGCATTTAAGTTGATTCCCTGCTCCTGCAGAAGCCAGACTTCTGTGTATCACCGCATGGCCCCGTGACACAGGAAAATGCACGTCTCTGGGAGAGGATGGCCCTTTCTCATCCTGCATGGTGACAAGTTTCCAAAGTTCACGAGCATTTATTCAGCACCTGCTCTGAGCTATGCCGATGCTGCCACAGGACAGGTGGTGGGGACACAGCCTGCAGTAACAGAGAATGCCCTGCCCTCAAGAAGCTGTGTTCTTCTTAGGGGAGACAGACAACAAGCCAAGTCCTGGAGCCGCCTGCATGGGGAGTGAGCGAGGAAGAAATGTAATGAGGGGCAGGGAGCAGGGGAGAGCTTCACGCCCACCGCCGGGTCCACACTCTTGTGCTGTCCTCCCTTGGAGGGTCTAATTAGGACCATGTAAACTTCCTGGGTAGCTGACATCTATTTGGGTAATGTAGACTCTCTTGAGCCTTTCCAAGTTTTTTATCTTGTGATCATTGGTCAGAAGGCGTCTTTCACAAGTTAACAGGTGGGTTACGGTAGGATCCCCAGAGCTCCGGGCTTCCCCCAGCCCCACTTCATGGCCCCGAAAGAGACTCCACAGGTACCCTTTGAATCACCTGGACTAGATGACTCTTACAGATTCCTTTCCCAGTTGAATAATCCAGGGCCCCTTGAAAAGGTCTTGTTAAGCCAGAATCCCAAAACATACGTTTCATTTCTCTTGGGTTCCAATGCCTAGGGGTGCGATCGCTAGGTTGTATAGAGAAAGTGTATATAACTCTCTAAGAAGCTGCCAAACTGTTCTCAAATTATGCATTTATCAAAACCCACAGTATAAGCTAAAAGAGTGTTTTATTCTATGCAAATTAAGAAATGAATTTTTTAAAACCTACAGGTTTGGCAGTAAATGTGGTTGATGGTTGAGGTTGACCCCCTACCCCTGAATGTTGATTTTATTCTACTAGGGATGCTCAGTAAGGCATCAGGGCATGACATCCCCTGGAGATGAAGCAGTCCCCAGATCTGCAACTGGCCAGCTGGAACCCCGAAAGAGCTGATGGAGTTCATCCCAGTCTGAAGGCTGGGCACTCAAGACCCACAGAGCCTGTGCTTAGGTTCAAGTCCAAAGCCTGGAAAAGACCAAGGTCACAGCTCAAGGCAGCCAGGCAGAGCATGTCCCCAGCAACCCCCAGGACACATCAGTGGAAGCTGGAGGATGCCGGCCGCCTGGGCCTGGAACCTCAGAGCCTGCATTGAGGTTAATTTCACATGTCCGTCTGACGGGCCCACAGAGGACAGACATTTGGCCAAACATTATGCTGGGTATGCAAGAGGGGGCTCTGGGTGAGATTGACATTTGAATTAGTGCAAAGCTTTGGGAAAGCTTTTCAGTCCAAATGGCTGGCCTCAATTAGCATGGATGTGAACAAATCGGCAGACCTCCATGAGGACTGCTATGAACATTGGACCTGGCTCTAATGTGAGTGACAGAACATCTTAGCTGACTTACATGAGAACCACAGGGAATAACTGTACAGGACCCATGAGGACAGCTGTGAACACCTGGGCTGTGCACAATGAAGACAGCTACGAAAAGGTCGGTTGAGCTCAAGGAAAACAGCTCTTAAGCCCTGGGCAGGTCCCCCATGAACAACCAGCCAGAACACCTGGGCTGGCTGCCTTATTGATTGTTATGAACACCTTAGATCACCCAAATGAGAATGGCTGTGAACAACTGGGCCAGACCCAATGTTGACAGCTGTGAAAACCTGAGGGGGCCGAAAGAGGACAGCTATAAACACGGGGATTGGCTTGGATAAAGGTAGCTATAGTATCTTGGCTGGCCCAGTGAGCATGGGGTGAACACACTGGCTGGCCCTCAGGAGGATGGCTGTGATTAAGTGGGCTGTGCCTAGTGAGGACAGCTGTGAAGAACTTGGCTAGAAACAAAGAAGATGGCTATGGACAACTGGGGAGGCTGAGATGAGGGAAGCTGTTAGCAGCGGGGCTGGTCCCAATGAAGACAGCTATGAACACCTGAGACGGGTCAGATGCAAACGGCTGTGAGCACTGAGCTGCACCCACTAAAAAAAATTTAACAACTGGGTTTTCCCCAATGAGGAAGGTTGTGAACACCTGGCCTGCACCCAGAGAGAACAGCTTAGAACACCTGGATTGACCCGATGAGGATGGCTGTGAACACTGGTCTAGGCTGAGAAGGACAAGCGTTAACACCTGAGCTTGCTACTGACTGTGAACGCCTTGGCTGGGCCCCACGAGGAAAACTTTAAATACCTGGGCTGGACACAGTGTGGACAGATGTGAACACCTAACCTGGGTCCTGTGAAGGCAGCTATGAAAACGTAGGCATGGCCCAGTGAGTGCAGCTGTGAACACCTGGCCTGGGTCCAATGAGAACAGTTGAGAACACTTGGGCTAAGCCAGTAAGAACAGCTGTGGCATCGGGGCTGATTGCCACGAAAACAGATGTAAACACCTTGGCTGGTCTCCACTAGCACAGCTGTGAATGGCTAGGCTGGGCCCAATGAAAACAGCCAAGAACACCTGGTGTGGGGTCAACGAAAGCCATTGTGAGCGTTTGGGCTTGCCACAATGAAGATGGCTATAAACACCTGGCTGGGCCCAAGATGAATGGCTGTCAACATCTAAACTCACCCCGACAAAGACGGTGTGAACAGCTGGGCTAATCCCACTGAGGACCACTATTAACGCCTGGGCTGGGCCCAAGCGGGGGCGACTTCAGCTGGACCTGGAAAGGATGGCTGTGAACACCTTGGCTTCTGACGAAGATGGCTATGAACCCCTGGCCTGGGTATGAACACCTTTGCTTCTGACAAAGATGGCTATGAACCCCTGGCCTGGGCCCAATGAGGAAAGCTGTGAACACCCGCACTGGCCCCAGTGAGGGAAGCTGGGAAAACCTGGGCCGGGTCCAGTAAAAGCAGCAGTGAACACCCAGGCTGGCCACAGTGAACGCCCAGGCTGGCCACAGTGAGCGCCCAGGCTGGCCACAGTGAGCGCCCGGGCTGGCCACAGGACAGCTTTGAACACGGACACTGACCATCATCATGAGGACGGCTGTGGATGCCTGGGCTGGCCCAGATGAGGAGCACTATTAACTCCTGAGCTCGCACCCAGTTAGAACAGCCGTGAATACCTGGTCATGCCCACGTAATGACAGCAATGAACAACTGAGCTCAGCCAATGGGAACGGCCGTGAACACCTGTGCTGAGACAAATAAGGATAGTTGGGAACACCTGAGCTGGCCCCAGTGAGGATGACTATGGATACCTGAGCTGTGGGCAATGGGGATGGCTATGTATACCATGGTTCAGCCAAATGACAGCTTTGAAAAATGTGGCTGGCACCAGCGAGTACGGCTGTGAAAGCATAGGCTGCTCCCAGTAAAGGCAGCTTTGCATACCTGGGCTGGGCCCAGTGAGATTGGATGTGAACATCTGGCCTACTGCTGCAAACACCTGTTCTGGGACAAATGAGGATGCCTATGAATACCCGGGCTGGGCCCTAGGAGAACAGCTCGGATTAACTGTGCTGGGCCCAAAACATATGGCTACGAACACCTGGGCTGACCCCAGTGTGGACAGCTATAAAGACCTGGGCTGGGCTCAGGAGGACAGCTGTGCCATTTTGGCTGCATCCAATGAGGACAGCTGTGGATATCTGCACCTGGCCCCATTAAAACAGCTGTGAACACCTAGCCTATCCCCATTGAGGACACAGGTTAACACCTGGCCTGGGACCATGGGAACTGCTGAGAACACCTGGATTAAGTCCAATGAGGAAAGCTTTGAACACCTGGGCTAGGCCCACTGAGGACAGCTGTGGACACATGGGCTGGCCCCAGTGAGGATGGCTGTCAGTACCTGGGATGGCCTCTTGAGGGTGGTTGGCCCCAATTAGCATGGGTATAAACAGATTTGCTGGCCTCGATGAGGACTGCTATGGACATCTGAGCTCGCTGTCATGCGGATGACAGAGAACTCCTTGACTGGCTTAGATGAGGACGACTGTGAAAACCTGTGCAGGCCTGGATGAAGACAGCTGTGAACGCCTGGGCTGGGCACAATGAAGACAGCTATGAACAGGTGGTCTGGGGCCAATAAAAATGGCTCTTAATCCCTAAGCTTGATGCCATCAAGGAAATGGGTGAACACCTGGGCTGCTCTGATATTGACTGCTATGAAAAACAGCTCATATGAATGAGGACGGCTGTGAACCCCTGGCCTGACCTTGATGAGGACGGCTGTGAACATCTGGCCTGGGCCCAGTGAGGACAGCTATGAAGAGCTAGGCAGGGCCCATTGAGCTCAGCATTGAACACCTGGATTGGCTTAATGAGGATGTCTGTGAACACTGGTCTGGGCCCAGTGAGGACAAGTATTAACACCTGGGCTAGCTACCAATTGGGACAGCTGTGAATGCCTTGGCTAAGCCCTAAGAGGAGAGCTTGGAGTATTTGGGCTAGGCCCAAAGTAAACAGCTGTGAAAACCTTAGCTGAGCCTAGTGAGGACAGCTATGAAAACCTAGGCTGGGCCAGTGAGGACAGCTGTGAACACCTGGCCTGGGTCCAAAGAGAACAGCTGAGAACACTTGGGGTGAGCCAATAAGGACAGCTGTGTCACCACGGCTGAGTGCAATGAAGACTGCTGAAAACATGTTGGCTGCCTCCATGAGCACAGCTAACAATGTCTAGGCTGGGCCCAATGAAGACATCAGTGAACAGCTAGCCTGGGGCCAATGAAGGCCCCTTTGAAAGTCTGGGCTTGCCCTCGTGAGGACGGCTATGAACAAACACCTCACTGACCCCAGTATGGATGGCTCTTGACAGACACCTGGACTCACCCCAATGAAGACCGCTGGCAACAACTGGGCTAATCCCACTGAGGATGATTAACACCTGGGCTGGGCCCCCCACCCCTGCCCCGGGGACGACTTCAGCTGGACACAAATGAGGATGTCGGTGAAAACTTGGGTGTTCTCAGAAGACGACAGCTATGAACACATGGCCTGGGCCCAGTGAAAACTGCTGCTAGGCTGGGCCCAGGAGGACAGCTTTGAACAGATGGACTGATCATGACAAGAATAGCTGTGAATGCTTGGGCTGGCCCAAATAAAAAGGGCTATTAACTTCTGGGCTGGTCCCCAATTAGGACATGAGAGAAAACCTGGACTTCCCCAAGTAACGACTGCAACGAACAACTGGGCTCAGTCCAATGAGGATAGCTGTGAACACTTGTGCTCTCCTCAATGCGGATGACTGTGTACAATGGGGCTTGGCCAACGACAGCTTTGACAAATTTGGTAGTCACCAGTGAAGAAAGGTGTGAAAGCATGAGCTATTCCCAGTAATTAAAGCATTGCATACCTGGGCTGGGCCCAGTGAGACTGAATGTGAACATCTGGCCTGGGGTCAAGGAGGATAGCTGTGAACACCTGTGCTGGGACCAATGAGGATGGCTGTGAATACCTGTGCCGGGACCAATGAGGATGGCTGTGAACACCTGGGCTGGGGCCAATGAGGATGGCTGTGAACACCTGGGCTGGGGCCAAGGGGACAGCCTGGAATAACTGGGATGGGCCCAGAATGTATGGCCATCAACACCTGGGCCGACCCCAATGTAGATAGCTAGAAACACCTGGTGTGCGCTCAGGAGGACCTTTCTGTTCGTTTTGGCTGAGCCAAATGAGGACAGCCATGAACATCTGCACCGGCCTAATTAAGACAACAGTGAACAGATGGGCTGTCCCTGTGGGGGACATCTGGGAAGCCCTGGCCTGGGACCATGGAAACTGCTGGAACCAACGGGAAGAAGTCCTGTGAGAAAAGCCATGAACACCAGGGCTAGGCCCAATGGGGACAGGTGTGGACACCTGGGCTGGGTCCAGTGTGGATGGCTGTCATTACCTGGGATGGCCTCTATGAGGGTGGCTGGAACCAATTAGCACACGTGTGAACAAACTAGCCGGCCTCGATGAGGACAGTTGTGGACATCTGGGCTGGCTGTCACGTGGATGACAGAGAACTCCTTGGCTGGCTTAGATGAGGACCACTGTGAACACCGGCGCAGGCCTGGATGAAAACAGCTGGGAAGCCCTGGGCTGGACATAATGAAGACGGCCATGCACAAGTGGCCTGGGGCCAATGAAAACGGCTCTTACCCTGGGCTTTGTGTCATTGAGAGGAAGCGTGAATTCCTGGGCTTGCCTTGATATTGATAGCTATAAAAAACTGTTGCTATAAAGAGCTAAGCTCATACAAACAAGGGAGGCTGTGAACACCTGGGCTGACCTGGATGGGGATGGCTGTGAACACCTAGCCTGGGCCCAGTGAGGACAAGTACTAACACCTGGGCTAGCAGCCAATGAGGACAGCTGTGAACGACTTGGCTGGGCCCTATAAGGACAGCTTGGAGTGTTTGGGCTCAGCCCAAAGAAAACAGCTGTGAACCCCTGAGCTGGGCCAAGTGAGGCCAGCTATGAAAACCTGGGCTGGGCCAGTGAGGACAGCTGTGAACACCTGGCCTGGGTCCAAAGAGAACAGATGAGAACACTTGGGCTAAACCAATAATGACAGCTGTGGCACCAGGGATGACTGCCATGAAGAAAGCTGTAAACACTTTGGCTGGTCACCATGAGCACAGCTGTGAATGTCTAGGCTGGGCCCAATGAAGACAGCCAAAAACACCTGCCCTGGTTTCAGTGAGAGCCACTGTGAGCGCTTGGGCCTGCCCCCATGAGGATGCCTACGAACAGCTGGCGGGGCCCAAGATCAATGGCTCTAAACACCTAAACTCACCCCGAGAAAGATGCTGTGAACAACTGGGCTAATCCCACTGAGGATGACTATTAACACCTGGGCTGGGCCCAAGTGAGGGCAACTTCAGCTGGACATGGAAAGGACGGCTGTGAACACCTTGGCTTTCTCTGATGAAGATGGCTATGAACCCATGGCCTGGGCCCAATGAAGAAAGCTGTGAACACCTGTGCTGGTCCCAGTGAGGGAAGCTGGGAAAACCTGGACTGGGCCCAGTAGAAGCAGCAGTGAACCACCACGCTGGCCTCAGGAGGACAGCTTGGAACACTGAAAATGATCATGATGAGGATGGCCGTGAATGCCTGGAAAGAAAGCTACCCGAAATCATTGCACCTCATTTTTATAAAGGGAGTACTATTTCATCTGTTAACAGCAAAAATTGGCAGAATCATCATGCTCTGGCTTTTATGAAGCTGATCCCCATGATGAGAAAAATCCTATGAAGCTGAAATCAGAGATAACTGTTTAAAAAGCTAACTCCAATGGTTCACATTAATGAGCTCTTGTAAAGCCCTTTTGGATACAGCATTCCGTCTGATGTCTTTCAAGGGAAAAAAAGGGGGGGCTCTGGGCAGAAAGAGACAGAAGAAAGTGGAAGTCCATTCCTGGGGCTCACGTGCCGGCTGTGGCTTATCTCTGGCTAGGGCACTGCATAGCCAACCCAGCTTGTGCTTCCTTTCAGACCCCAGCTCCCCGCCAGGCTGGCTCCTTCTCTGGAAGCCTCCCTGCTTTGGGAATGATACTTCATTGATTCATTTGTTTGCAATTTTCCAGATGACATCATACTCAATTTTTTTTTTTTGCCTTTCTCTCCTCCCTCTGTTCACCTCTCGCCTCTTAAAATTCCCATTTGTCCCACTTCCCTGTCCTTTAGAAAAGTAGTAACACCTCCCGGTTACCATCCTCTGCAGTCCACACTAGCTGCCTGCTGACTCCCTCTCCGTCATCATTAATAAAGGTGACACTGCAGCTTGGCATGAATGCAGGTCCTCCCCGACATGCCCTACCCTCCCATCTCTTGGAGAGTATAGTTCCCTGACTGCAAAACCCCTGCCTTTGAAGGTTTCTTCCTGCATCCAGCTCCCTTATCTATATTCTGATCCACATTCAATTAAAGAAAAATCAAGTAACACAGTGAAAAATGCCATTCAGAGAGCTGGCCTGGTGGACCCCAGATATCAGATCAACTTATTAAAGCCCCATATCTAACAATGCCATCTAGAAAATAAAAGATGTCACAGTTGTCTGGACTGATTTGTTCTTCAAAATCTCCCCTGACTCTGTCACCCTGGCAGGGCCAGAGAAATTCCAGCAAAAGTCTAATCAAAGTTAAAGCTTAGAGTTAGAGAGCTGATGAGGAGGATGCTTCTTAGGAACTATCCTGCAAGCCAGCCGCCCTGCAGCACAGATGGGGAAACCATGGACCAGAGAGGTTGGGTGGTTTCCCCATAGTCACATTACAACCCAGTCACATGATCACAGTGTTGAGTTAACTCTATCACCCTCCACCACCTTCAAACAGCAGTCCCCTGAACCTCCAAGTTTCCCACAAAGTGATTGTTCTTTCCCAGCCTTATTTCGCCAGGGGGCTGTGCAGGGTCCCAGCCCTGGCCTGGGACCATGGAAACTGCTGGAACCAACGGGGAGAAGTCCTGTGAGGAAAGCCACAATTGGGGTCAAGCTCTAATTCTTTTGGCCATTTCTCATGAGATTACAAAGTGTTGTTAGCTTTGGGGTCTTTTCTGATAAGTAAAGAGAATTCTAGGAAGGTTTTCTCTCCTTAAAGCTTCAGACGTGTGCATCCACCATCTAACTTCCTCCTGGACATTTCCACCCCCCATGGGCAGCTCATATTAACATGTCAACATGATCCTTCCCCTCTCAGTCCTTTCTTCCTCATTCCCCTGTGCTCCTTCTCAGAACCAGCCACTTTGGCCAGGGCAGTAGTCCAGCCATAGTCCTTTGTTCCACCCTTTCTTTTGCTCGTCCCACATTCAATAAATCACCAAGCCCTGATTTCCTAGTGATTTTTATTCTTTTGTGAGATTTTATCATGGTGGTTAAGATCCTTTCACTTCTAGATGTAGGACTCCCTTAAGCATTTCTTGTAGGGCTGAGCTAGTATGATGATCAAGGTTTGCTTGTCTAGAAAAGACTATTTCTCCTTCATTTCTGAAGGACAGATTTGCTGGCTATAATATTCTTGCTGGCCAGGTTTTTTTCCTTCAGCACTTTGAACATATCATGCCATTCTCTCCCGGACTGCAAAGTTTCTGATGAAAAATCTACTGTTAGTCTTATTGACATTCCTTTATATATTACTCAATACTTTTGCTGTTTCTAGAAGTTTCTATTTCTCTTTGACTTCTGACAATGTGACTATAATGTACCTTGGAGAGGACCTTTTTGTATTGAATCTATTTGGAGATATTTGAGCTTCTTGTATCTGGATGTTCATATCTCTCCCTAGACTTGAGAAGTTTTCAGTTATTATTTCCATAAATGGGTTTTCTATCCCTTTTTCCATGTCTTCATCTTCTTGACCTTCCATAAAGTGAATATTTATTAGCCTACTCTTGTTCCATAAGTCCCATAGGCTTTTTTCATTTTTAAAACTTATTTTTTTGTCTGAGAAGGTTATTTCAAAAGATCTGTCTTCTTCAAAGTCAGGAATTATTTCTCATGCTTAGTCTAGTCTATTGTTGAAGTTCTTGATTGTATGTCTATTTCATTAATTGAATTCTTCAGTTATGAGACTTTTGTTCACTTTATGACATCTATCTCTTTGTTGAATTTCTCCATATTAGGAATTGTTTTTCTGGTTTTGTTGAATTGTCTCTTTATATTGCATTGTTTCTTGCTGAGTTTCTGTGAGATCATTATTTTGAATTACTTTTCATGCATTTTGTAGATTTTCTTTTCTTAGGGGTCTGCTACTAGAGAGAGAATTGTGTTCCTTTTAAGGTGTCATGTTTCCTTACTTTTTCGTGTGTCTTTTCATGTTTCTACATTGGTGTCTGCATATTTCATGGAATGGTTGCTCTCTTATTTTATGGAGTAGCTTTCATAGAGAAAGCATTTTTCCTGCAGATGTATCCTATAATGTTGATTGGATAGGGTGTTTTGGCTTTGGTTCTGAGTGGGCACAGTAGTGTAGTCTCTGTAAGACTTCTTCTACTGTGTTCAATGTCAGCAGTGTCTGCAAATGCCTGAGTGGCCTAGATTGTAGGTGTTTTGGGGGGATATGGCATGTCTTTTCTTGGGGCAGAGGCTGCTGGGTGGGCAAGTCCTTGAGCACAAGGGGGAAGGGGGCAAGCAGGCACATGGTGGCTCTGCCACTGGAATGGGTGGGGTCACCAGCATTATCAGGCCCAGGTGGAGGGGGCATGTGGATGCTGGACAGCTCTGCTGCAGGCGTGAATGAGGAACAACAGTTTTTACTGCTGAAAGAAAAGATCTGTCAATGCTAAATCCTATATCTGGTGAAGCCATCTGCTGGGGTGATTGAAGGGGTGGCCTGCCCCTCCACACCTGTGGGTATTTCTCGTCGGGGAGGACGAGAGACTGAGAAAAGAAATAAGACAGAGACAAAGTATAGAGAAACAACAGTGGGCCCAGGGGACCGGCACTCAGCACACCAAGGACCTGCACCAGCACTGGTCTCTGAGTTCCCTCAGTTTTTATTGATTATTATTTTCATTATTTCAGCAAAAAGGAATGTAGTAGGAGAGCAGGGTGATAATAAAAAGAAATAAGACAGAGACAAAGTATAGAGAAACAACAGTGGGCCCAGGGGACCGGCACTCAGCACACCAAGGACCTGCACCAGCACCGGTCTCTGAGTTCCCTCAGTTTTTATTGATTATTATTTTCATTATTTCAGCAAAAAGGCATGTAGTAGGAGAGCAGGGTGATAATAAGGAGAAGGTCAGCAAAAAACATGTGAGCAAAAGAATCTATGTCATAATCAAGTTCAAGGGAAGGTACTATGCCTGGATGTGCACGTAGGCCAGATTTATGTTTCTCTCCACCCAAACATCTCAGCGGAGTAAAGAATAACAAGGCAGCATTGCTGCAAACATGTCTCACCTCTCACCATAGGACAGTTTTTCTCCTATCTCAGAATTGAACAAATGTACAATCGGGTTTTATACCGAGACATTCAGTTCCCAGGGGCAGGCAGGAGACAGTGGCCTTCCTCTATCTCAACTGCAAGAGGCTTTCCTCTTTTACTAATCCACCTCGGCACAGACCCTTTATGGGAGTCAGGCTGGGGGACAGTCAGGTCTTTCTCATCCCATGAGGCCATATTTCAGACTATCACATGGAGAGAAACTTTGGACAATACCCAACTTTCAAGGGCAGAGGTCCCTGCGGCTTTCCGCAGTGTATTGTGCCCCTGGTTTATTGAGACTAGAGAATAGCAATGACTTTTACCAAGTATACTGCTAGTAAACACTTTGTTAATAAGGCACGTCCTGCACAACCCTAGATCCCTTAAACCTTGATTTCATACAACACATGTTTTTGTGAGCTCCAGATTGGATCAAAGTGGTTGGGTCAAAGTGGCTGGGGCAAAGTGGCTGGGACAAAACTACAAATTAACAACATCTCAGCAAAGCAACTGTTTAAAGTACAGCTCTTTTTCAAAATGGAGTCTCTTATGGCTTTCCTTTCTACATAGACACAGTGACAATCTGATCTCTTTTTCTTTTCCCTACAGGTGATCAGACCCAACACCAGGCCATGGTGGCTACAAAGTCTGGCAGAGTCAAAGGAATGAGAAAAGGCTAAGAGTGCATAAGGTTGGTCCAGGGGGCCAACGCTAGTATGGAGGCAGTGAAGGCCCTGAGCTCTGGGAGCCCACACTATTTATTGGTGATCAAACAAAGAAGCAGGTGGTGAGGACGTGCGGATGTGGGGGTAGAAAGGTAGTGGTGCATCAAGCGTAGCTGTGACGGTTTAGCATTTTCTTTGAAGTACATGGAACATGCTCTGCTACGTGAGATAATGGAGAACATGTTCTTCCAACTCAAGATACAATCAATTTACGATTCTGGGAGAGCAAGAAGCAAGGAGCCAGCAAGTCGGTGCACATTCAAAAGGCCACGAGGGGTTTTATGGTCTGAGCCCTGGATTCCATCAAAGCCACAAGGGGTTTTATGCCCTGAGCTTAGATTGTGGTGCCACAGGGCAGCCTTCCACCCTTTGGCACAGAGCTTGGTGTTCCAAAGGCCATGAGGGGGTTTAGACCCTGGACCCAGGACATGTTCCAAGACTCTTTTACATTATGACAGACAAGCTAGTCCTGCCTCAGCTCTTCTACCAACATGTCTCCCTTTTATTTTTGCAAAACTGCCACAGCTATCATTGCTTGTTCTCTACAGGGGCTTCCTGTCCAGAGGCAGCTTCCACATCTGCAGACTAAAAGGAGACAGCACAACCACACAGTTACTAGAACAAAGTTTACAAGTGTAGAGTTTCCAATGGTCTTAATCCATTTAAGAGGATAGATTGCAGACAACTCATCAGCTGCCTTGTTTAAAATATCAGTGCCAGGGGGCAGGGCCAAGTGAGCCTGAGAGGCTTCAAAAACCTGCTCTTTCAGTTTTACAATATTGAAGGTGAGATTTTCCTCTCTGCCCTCTAGATGGCGTTTAATTCTTTCCCATTGGTGTTCTGTCTCATTGTAACTATGAGGAGTAATGCAAAAATCGGATATATTCCAAACACAACGCATTTGAATTCTAGTTTCTAAACTTAGGATGTGATCCCCCATCCAAATTACTGTCTGACAGAGATCACTGATTTGACTATCTTTTGATCTATTTGGGCCTGAGAGTTCCATAATTTCGTAGAATTCTTTTGCCATTTATCAACAAATTCAACAGTCTGCACAGATGAGTGTAAAGCCACACCAGCTACTGCAGCAGTAGTGGTAACAGCAATGAGGCCAATTATAGCAAATACAAGAGCAACTGTGAATCTTTTTGAATGGGATAACAGGTTTTTAAGAATCTCAGTTACAATATGAATGGATGGTGATGCATCCCGTGGTCTATTTAGAGACACAGGGATCCAAACTCCTTCTCTGGCTCTAATTAACAAGAAAGTTTGATTTTTATCAAAGGTTGAGTTAATGCAACTAAACAAGTGACATTCGGGGCATGTGATAGAATGGGTATTTATGTCAAGAATAACATTTCCTATTGCTAACATAAAAGGTGGCTGGACACAACTTTGAATCCAAAAGGTCTGCCACAGACAGTACTGCCAGCATGGCCACCTTTAACTTACTAGTTGTTTTTGGTTTGTTCTGTGCTCTGAGGTTGGCCTCTGCCATCTGTGCCAGTTTGACTTGGCCCCATGTTGGAAGATCCACCTGGCGAGTATTCACAGTCTTTTTCTTTGTCTCTGAGATGTTCATTCATGCCATCACTTGTATAGGGAGCTCTGGCTCTTCCCAGGGTCCTCTCTTCCTGGTGTGGCTCATGATGGATCTTCAGATGTTTGGTGGGCACCCACAGACAACTGATTGTCACCTGGAGAGACAAAAGCAAATCCTCTTCCCCATGTAATTATTTTTCCTTTTTCCCACCTTTTTGTATGTGCATCCCTCCACCATATATCTTGTCCAGCCTTTTATTTTCCTTTTGTCCTGTCAGATGTTGTTCAGCTGCAGTCATGGGTTGATCTTTTTGTAAATTTAAAATAAAGCTAAGTGTAATTGCATATGTGGGGATTTATATGTCTGATTTCCCCCTTTTTGTTTTTGTATTTGAGTTTTTAAGGTATGATTAGCTCTTTCAACTATTGCTTGTCCTTGTGAGTTTCATGGAATTCCTGTAGTATAAGTAATATTCCACTGCTGAAAAAATGCAGTCATGGCTTTACTGCAATACCCTGGGCCATTATCAGTTTTTATTTTTTTTGGAATTCCCATAACTGCAAAGCAAGATAAAAGATGTCTTTTAACATGAGCTGTAGCTTCCCTGTTTGACATGTGGCCCAGATAAAATGTGAATAAGTATCTACTGAAACATGAACAAAAGACAATTTTCCAAAGGCGGGAACATGTGTTACATCCATCTGCCAGATGGAATTTGGAGATAAACCTTTAGGGTTAACTCCTGCTCCTTGATGTGGTAGATGTAAAACTTGACAGGCAGAGCAGTTTCCTTAGCCTGTTTCCATGATAAATTATATATTTTTCTCAGACCTGTGGCATTAAGATGGGCTAAAGAATGGATTGTCTGTGCATCATCAAAAGCTGCAGAAACCAGTGCATCTGCCCTTTGATTAAGTTTAGTCAAAGGGCCTGGGAGGTTAACGTGTGCTCTTATGTGAGTGATATAGAAAGGGGAGTGTCTTTGTTGTACTGCTTGCTATAAAGAATGAAATAAAAGATTAAGTTGTTCATCAGTCACATTGTGAATTAAAGCACATTCAATATTTTGTGTGGCTTGTATCACATAAGCTGAATCAGAAACAATATTAACTGGCTGTTTAAAGGTTTTTAACACCATAATTACAGCCATAAGTTCAGCCCATTGAGCAGATGTGAAGCCAGTTTGAAAAACTTGTTGTTGAGGTCCTACAAATGAGTCTTTTCCATTACCAAACCCGTCAGTAAAAACAGTAATGGCCCCTTCAATAGGGGCTTTTTGAGTAATGGAAGGCAATATCCATGATGTTAACTTAAGAAACTGGAATATTTTGAATTTAGGATAATGTCTATCAAGAACACCAATAAAACCAGCCAAATTAACTTGCCATTCCTGGGAATTAATATAAGCTTGCTGAATTTGTTGTTTGTTTAATGAAACTATAATCCGATTTGGATCATATCCCATTAACTCTGTTGTGTGCAGCCTTGCTTGTCCTACTAGTAAAGCAATTTGATCTAAGTACAGGGTGAGCGTTTTAGTTGCATTGTGAAGTAGAAAAAGCCACTCAACCAGATCATTCTGTTGAACAATAACTCCTGTAGGTGAACGTTTAGTGGGAAAAACTAAAAACTGTAATGGCTGTGTAGGGTCAATTCGTTTCACCTGTGCTTTTTCTTCAATTAATTGAAGTTCTTCTAATGCTTCTTTGGATACAGAGCGTTTACTATTAAGCTCAGAATCACCTTGTAAGGTAGCAAAGAGGTGAGACATACCATAAGTAGAAATGCCTAATGTGGGATGAATCCAATTAATATCTCCTAAAAATTTTTGAAAACCATTTAGAGTTTTTAAATTATCTCTTCGAATTTGAACCTTTTGAGGCTTAATATAACTTTATTCTACCTTCACTACTAAATATTGAAAGGGGGTAGAAGTTTGGATTTTATCAGGGGCTATGATTAACCCTATTGCCATTACAGCCTTTTCTAATTGTTTGTAGCATAACATTAATTCCTCCCTAGTTTCAGCTGCACATAAAATATCCATGTAATGGATACTATCACATTTTAAAAATTGTTCTCTAACTGGCTTAATAGCTTGTCTGACATAAGTTTGACAAAGAGTTGGGCTACTTAACATGCTTTCTGGTAATACTTTCCAATGGTATCTGTCCACTAGTTCTTTGTTATTTACAGCAGGAACAGTAAAAGCAAATTTTTCATAATCTTGGGTAGCTAAAGGAATAGTAAAGAAGCAATCTTTTAAATCTATCACTATGAGAGGCCAGTATCTAGGAATCATAGTTGGGGAAGCCAGCTCTGGTTGCAGCATGCCCGTGGGTTGAATTACAGCATTAATAGCCCTTAAAGCTGTTAACATTTTCCATTTACCTGATTTTTTCTTAATAACAAGCACAAGAGAATTACAAGGAGAGAAAGTAGGCTCTATGTGTCCCTTTTGCAATTGTTCCTGCACCAATTCTTTTAAAGCCTCCAGTTTTTCCTGTTTCAGCAGCCACTGCTCTACCCAAACTGGTTTGGCAGCTAACCAAACAAGAGGAATGGGAGCCAGAGGCTCAGCAATGGCCTCTCCTAAAAATGATACCCTAATCCAGTTCGATCTGTGTGCCCTTTTAATTCTAAAGGTTCTGGTTGGCCATTTTCATTTTTTCCTAGTACTTTCCCCAGGAGATATCCCATTTTTCTCATCATTTCTTTACTGTTATTACTATACTGATCCACAGGAATAGATATTTCAGCAACCCATCATTGTAATAAGACTCTACCCTATAGATTGACAGGAATAGGTGTAAATGGGTTGAATTGTCCCTTCTTGGCCATCCAACCCTTGGCATGGCAAAATTAAAGAACTTTGAAAAACTTCTGAGGCAGTCTCTATGCCAACAATACCCACTGAAGCCTTTTCTTTGGGCCATTTCGGGGCCATTGATTTAAAGCAATAATAGAGACATCAGCTCCAATGTCTACTAATCATTCAAAGTCTTTACCTTGAATGGTTATTGTACAAATAGGTCTTTTGTCAGACACTTGATTAACCCAATAGACAGCCTTTCCTGCTGGATCTGTACTACCAAAGCCTCCTGTTCTTTTTACTGTACTACTTCCTAGCTTGGTGTAAGGTAATAGTAATAACTGAGCAATTCCTTCTCCTGAGGAAGCAGACACGGAGTTGAGGAACTAATAACTAATTGAATTTCTCTGGTATAATCAGAATCAATTATTCCTGTATGTACAGTGACACCTCTTAAATTTAAACTAGACCTTCCAAGCAATAGCCCAACTGTTCCCGAGGGTAAAGGGCCCCTAACTCCTGTGGGGACCTTCTTTGGTGGCTCCCCAGGATGTAAGGAAATGGGAACTGTGCTGCAAAGATCTGCAGCGGCACAGCCTGCTGTGGCAGGGGACAATTATTGTACATTTGTAACGGCACTGACTGTGCCGGATTCACCTCGGTTTGTTGAGGGACCTGAGGCGGGCCCCTCTTCCCATTTCCCAAAAAAGGTTGCCCATCTTTGCTAAATTTAGAATGACACTGATTTCCCCAGTGATTGCCCTTCTTGCATCAGGGGAAGATACCAGGACTTCTTTGTTGCTTACTGGTAGTATCCCTCGCCTGTTGATTTCCTTTTTATATTACTTTTTTTTGTGTGTCCAAATTGCCCACAATTAAAACAAGAGCCTGAGAAACAGGGCATATTTTTCCCACCTTTAGTCCAGTCATAGCTTGAGCTAGAAGAGTAGCCCTTATGTAAGTTACCCCCAATGCATCACAAGCCTTAATATATTCAGCCAAATGACCTTCCGTCTCATAGGTTTAATAGCAGCTTGACACTCTATATTGGCATTATCATATGCAAGGAGATGTATTACAACATCTTGAGCTGTTCTGTCAGTTACAGCTTTATGCATAGTCTCTTGGAGCCGAGCAATAAAATCAGTATATGGTTCTTTAGGTCCTTGTTGGACAGAACTGAAAGAAGGATATTTTTCTCCTGTAACATTTATTCTAGCTTCTTTCAGTCGTCCTCAGGTGTCCTCTGATGATGCATCCTCCACCTCCACACGCTCTAGTGTTCCTTCACCAGGGTATTCATAGCACCATGTTGGGAGCTAGGAATACTGGCATGATCAGACCCAATACCAGGCTGTGGGGGCTACGAAGTCCAGCAGAGTCAAAGGAATGAGAAAAGACAGGTTAAGAGTGCATAAGATGGGTCCAGGGGGCCAATGCTGGTATGGAGGCTGCAAAGGCCCTGAGCTCTGGGATCCCATACTATTTATTGGTGATCAAACAAAGAAGCAGGTGGTGAGGATGTGCAGATGTGGGGGTAGAAAGGTAGCGCTGCATCAAGCATAGCTGTGACGGTTTAGCATTTCCTTTGAAGCACATGGAACATGCTCTGCTACTTGAGATAATAGAGAACATGTTCTTCCAACTCAAGATACAATCAATTTATGATCCTGGGAGAGCAAGAAGCAAGGAGCCAGCAAGTCTGGACACATTCCAGAGGCTATGAGGGTTTTGACGCCCTGAGCCCTGGATTCCATTCAAGCCATGAGGGGTTTTATGCCCTGGGCTTAGACTGTGGTGCCACAGGGCAGCCTTCCACCCTTTGGCACAGAGCTTGGTGTTCCAAAGGCCACAAGGGGGTTTAGACCCTGGACCCAGGACATGTTCCAAGACTTTTTTACATTATGACAGACAAGCTAGTCCTGGCTCGGCTCTTCTACCAACACCATGCTGCTGGAGTGAAGGGAAAAATAAAGATATTCTCAGATGAAAGAGAACTAAGAGAATTTGTTGCTAGCAGACTTACCCTTCAAGAATGGCTAAAGAAATCCCTCCAAACAGAAATAAAATGAAAACAGAAAGAACATGAAAACAGCAAGACAGAATTTTCATAAAGGAAAATAATGAAATTGGTAAAAGGAGAAGTATACATGATAGAATATTCTTCACTTTATGTGTTTCTTTAATCATGTTTTATGTTTGAAGTAAAAGTTATAATACTACCTCATGTGGTATTCAATGTATACAGAGGAAATACCCAGGACAATTATACTTTTTTAAGTGGGAAGGTAAAGGAAGCTGTATTAGTCAGTGTTCTCCACAGGGATAGAACTGATAGGATCTATGTATATATGAAAGGCAGTTTATTAGGGAAAATTGGCTCACATGATCAAAAGGCCAAGTCCCATGATAGGCCCTCTGCAAGCTAAGGAAATAAGAAGCCAGCAGTCGCTCAGTTCGAGTCCAAAAGCCTCAAAAGCAGGGAAGCTGACAGTGCAGCCTTCAGTCTGTGCCCAAAGGCCCAAGAGGCTCCTGCAAACCACTGGTGTTTAAGTCCAAGAGTCTAAATTCCAAAGAACCTAGAGTCTGATGTCCAAGGGCAGGAGGAATAGAAGGAAGAATCCAGCATGAGAGAAAGATGAAAGCAAGAAGACTCAGCAAGCCAGCTTATCCTACCTTCTACTTCCTACTTTGTTCTAGCCACACTAGCAGCCGATTGGAAGGTACCCACCCAAATGGAGGGTGGGTCTTCCTCTTCCAGTCCACTGACTGCAATGTCAACCTCCTCTGGCAAAGCCCTCACAGACACACCCAAAAACAATATTATACAAGCTATCTAGGCATCCTTCAACCCAATCAAGTTGACACCTCATTTTAACCATCACAGAACCTAAATGTGATTAATGTTTCTATACTTAATTCAAACTGGTAAAACATCAATAGCTGTAAGCTGTGAAAGTTATATTTGTATATAGTAATACTTAGAGCAAGCAATAAGAAAATTTTGCAAATAGTATCCTCAAATATGTCAAAAATGCATCAAAATGGAACTCTATGTCCACATAACGCACAGGCTGATAAGAGAAAAAAGAAAAAGAGGCATAAAAAATGGTGCAAACAGATAGAAAACAAAAAGTAAAATGGCAGTCTTAAGCCCTAACATATCAATGATTACTTTTTTTTGAGACAGGTTCTCACTCTGTTGCCCAGTCTGGAGTACAGTGGCACAATCATGGCTCACTGCAGCTTTGAACTCCTGGGCTCAAGCAATCCTCCCATATCAGCATCTCAAGTAGCTGGGTCAACAGGCTCATGCCACCCTGCCTGGCTAATTTTTTCATTTTTTGTAGAGACAGGGTCTTGCTATGTCTCTACAAAAGGGTGGTAGTTTGAGACTGGTCTCAAACTCTTGGCCTCCAGCAATCCTCCTGCCTCAGCCTCCTAAAGTGCTGAGATTACAAGCATTAGCCACTATGTCTGGCCTCAATAATTGCTTTAAATATAAGTGGTCTAAATATACAAATTAAAAGGCAGATATTGGCAGCATGAATTTTTAAAACAGCAAAATATGTGTTGTTTACAAGAAACTCTCTGCCAACATGACATATGTAGGTTGAAAGTAAAAGGATGCAAAAAAAAAAGTAAATATTAACCCAAAAAGCACAAGTGGGTATATTAATGTCAAAGAAAAGATTTCAGACAGAAGAAAAGCAGTAGAGAGAAAAAACAGACATTACACAATGATAAAAGTTGCAATCCACCAAAAATGTAGAGCAATCCTAAAGGTATATGCACCAAACCACAGAGCATTAACGTAAATGAAGCAAAAACTGAGAGAACTAAAGGGAGAAATAGACATATACGCAATTTTAGTTGGAGATTTCAACATCCCACTCACAGTAATTGATAGACCTACTAGACAAAAAGTCAGCAAGGATTTAGAAGGATTAAACACACCATCTTCAGCCAGTAAGACCTAACTGAGGTTTATAAAACTCTCCATACAACAAAAGCATAATACACATTCATTTCATGTACACACGGAACATTCATCAAAATGACTCTCTATATCCTAGGTCATAAAACACATTTAGAAGAAGAGAAGTCATACAGAGTGTGTTTTCTGATTATAAGGGAATGAAACAAGAAATCAATAACAGAAACACAAAAGAAAAATCTCCAAACACTTGGAAATTAAACACACTTCTAAATAATCTGTAGGTCAAAGGAAATAATCCATGGTCTCAAATGAAACTTTAAAAATCACAGAACAGAATGAAAATGAAAATACAGCACACCAAAATTTGTGCTGAGAAAAACACTGAGAGAAAAACTCTCAAACACTGAGAGAAAAATTTATAGCACTAGAAGTTTACCTAAGAGGAAAGACCTCAAATCAATCATCCAAATTCCTATCTCAAAAAGCACTAAAAAATAAATATCTACAAAAAGTCACAGTATGCATAAGGAAGGAAAAATTAAGATTAAGTTATAAATCAATGAAATTGAAAATAGAAAAACAGAAAATTAAACAAAAAGCCAATACTTTGAAAAAAATAAAAAATAATAATAAAGCTCAATCAAGACTGACAAACATTAAAAAAAAGCACACACGGAATACCAATATCAAGAACAAAAAAGTGACATCATAAGAAACCCTTAAGCCATTAAAATGATAATAAGACAATACTATTAACAATTTTAAACTCATAAATTCAACAATTTCGAAGAAATGGACCAATTCCTTGAAAGC
Organism: Homo sapiens; assembly: GCF_000001405.40. Lineage (NCBI taxonomy): Eukaryota > Metazoa > Chordata > Mammalia > Primates > Hominidae > Homo > Homo sapiens. The sequence goes on along the minus strand of NC_000010.11, from coordinate 133,600,732 downwards.
CACAAACTACCAAAGCTCAGCCAAAGTGAAACGGATAACCTGAATAGCTAGTAAGAGAATGAAATTTGGTAATTAAAATGCTTCTGAGTCCAGGGTCTCACTGTTGGGGTGAGCATTTATAGATAACGAACAGGAGGAGGTTAGTATGATCCAAGTGCTAATGGATTCAAGTTGGAGAATCAGTATGAACTCATGTTTAGCTTAATATAGGTGAAGGGGGCCTCCCCCTCCACACCTGTGGGTATTTCTCATCAGGTGGAGATGAGAGACAGAAAAATAAGACACAGAGACAAAGTACAGAGAAAGAACAGTGGGCCCAGGGGACCGGCACACTCAGCATGCGAGGACCTGCACCAGAGCTGGTCTCTGAGTTCCCTCAGTATTTATTGATTACTCTTTTCACTATCTCAACAAGGGGAGTGCGGCAGGAGAACAGGGTGATGGCGGGGAGAAGGTCAGCAGAAAAACATGTGAGCAAAGGAATCTGCGTCATAAATAAGTTCAAGGAAAGCTACTGTGCTCGGATGTGCACATGGGCTAGATTTATGTTTCTCTTTATCCAAATATCTCAGTGTAGCAAAGAGTAACAGAGCAGTATCACCGCTGGCATATCTCACCTCCAGCCACAGGGCGGTTTTCTCCTATTTCAGAATAGAATGAATGTTCGGCTTTACACTGAGACATTCCATTCCCAGGGACATGCAGGAAACAGAGGCCTTCCTCTTATCTCAACCGCAAAGAGGCCTTCCTCTTTTACTAATCCTCCTCAGCACAGACCCTTTACGGGTGTTGGGCTGGGGGACAGTAAGGTCTTTCCCTTCACATGAGGCCATATCTCAGGCTCGCTTGTACCTGGGAGGCAGAGATTGCAGTGAGCCAAGATCGCACCATTGCACTCCAGCCTGGGCAACAAGAGCGAAACTCCATCTCAAAAAAAAAAAAAAAAGTGATGGGGATATGTCAAAGGTAACTGAAAGATTTCCAAGTGGCAAAAAATTGAATTAATTTGAGCAACAAAATAATAAAATAGTACTGGATTATAACCAAAAATATGAAATAAATATTTGTGAGCCATGTAATCTAAGTAAATGATTGAATGAACAAATAAATATAAATAAATGGGGAGAAAAGACAAATCTTTTGAATTCCAAATAATTTGTGTTCTCTGCTCTCAGGAGGCAGAGACTGCAGTGAGCCAAGATCGTGCCATTGCACTCCAGCTTAAGCAACAAGAGTGAAATTCCGTCTCAAAAAAAAAAAAAAAGAAAACCGTCTAAGAGAGAGGGTTAGGGTTTGCCACCTGAGATCTCGCCCAGTAGTCTGTAACAGTGTGTCCATGTTGCTTCCAACATTCTCTTCATGATGATATGGTTATTCTCTGAGATGGTAGAGGCTTTCTCTATAGCTCTTGTCTTTTATTCATGAGCCCTCACCAGAATTGCCTTTAATGTCCATGTACCTACCAATAGTCCCTTCATGGAAATCTAGGCTTTTTCCACCAAGTATCTCAAAACTCATCCAGCCTCTGCTCACTGCCCAGTTCCAAAGCTGGTCCCTATCATTAGGTATGTTTCACAGCAGAACTCCAGTGTCAGTACCAAAATCTGCATTAGTCAGGGTTCTCCAGAGAAACAGAACCAATAGGGGTGTGTGTGTGTGTGTGTGTGTGTGTGTGTGTAAACATTTATTATAAGGAATTGGCTCATGCACTTATGGAGACTGACAAGCTGAAGACCCAAGAGAGCTGATGGTGTGGTTTGATCCACAGGCCTGAAAATCAGGTGAGCTAATGGTGGGGTTTCTACATGAAGGTCAGCAGGCCAAAGACCCAGGAGGAGCTGATATTTCTGTTCAAGTCTCAATGCAGGAAAACAACAATGTCCCAGCTCAAATGCAGGCAGGAGGAATTCCCTCTGATTTGGGAGAGGGTCCATTTTTGTTCTATTTAGACACTTGTCTGATTGGACAAGGCCCACCTTCAGTGGGGAGGGCAATCTGCTTCGCTCAGTCTATCAATTTAGATGTTAAGCTCATCCAAAAACACCCTCACAGAAACACTCAGAATAGTGTTTCACCAAGTATCTGGTACCCCATGGGCTGGTGAAATTGACACATGAAATTAACCATCGCAGCAGAACTGTCAGAAAGACGTTTTAAAAATAGTGATAACATCAAATGCTCACAAGGAGGTTGAGAATCACTAAGTCATTCATTCATTGCTGGTGGGAATGCAAAATGGTACAGCCATATTCACTCCGGAAAATAGTTCGGCTGTTCTTTTTAAAGCTAAAACTTGACTCACCCTATGACCCAGCTATTGCACAATTGAGCTTTTATTCCAATGAAATGAAAACTTGTTTTCATACAAAAACTCTACATAGCAGATTTATGCACAGTGCCCAGAAACTGGAAACTCCTTAAATGTCCTTCAATGGGCATAGGGGTAAATAAACTGTGGTACATCCTCATCATGCAATATTACTCAGCAATAAAAGGGAATAAACTGTTAATACATGTGACAATTTGAATGAACCTAAGGAAACTATGTTGAATGGGTGGGAGAGCCAATTTTAAAAGGATGCATACTTCATGAATCCATTTAGATAACATTTTTAAATAACACAATCACAGAGATGGATAACATATTAGTGGTTTCCTTGGATTAGGTATGCAGCGGTGATGGAGCTGTGACTGTAGAGAGGTAGCATGAGGAGAGGTCTGATGATGATGATATAGTTAAACAACTTGATTGTCATGCTGATTATATGAAGCTATACATGTTAAAAATCACAAGTTATACCCACATATAGAATGCATGCATAAATAGCGAAACCTGAATAAGCTCCATGGATTGTATCAATGTTGATTTCCTGGTTTTCCATTGCACTATAGTTATACAAGATGCTAAGATTGGAGAAGGATAGGTAAAATGTGCCTGGGTATTCCCTGTATATTTCATTGCAACTTCCAATGACTCTACAATCTTCCAAAATACACTTTTTTAAAAAAAACAGAGGACCCAACTATATGCTGTCTAAAGACACCCACTTTAAGTATAATGACATACATCGAAATGTAAGAATAAAAAAAGATAAACCATGAGATACTAATAAAAAATGTGGGCTAGCTGTATTAAGTCAAATAAAGCAGAACTTAGAAAATATTAAAAGAGATAAAAAATATTACAAGAGATCAAAGAGGGCATTACATATAATAAAAAAGTCAATTTACCAAGAAGATATCATAATGCTTAAATGCATAGGCACCTATCATTAACAGAGTTTAAAAATACATGAAAAAAAAATCTGGCTGGGCGCAGTGGCTCACGCCTCTAATCCTAGAACTTTGGGAGGCCAAGGTGGGCAGATCGTTTGATGTTAGAAGTTCAATATCAGCCTGGCCAACAGGGTGAAACCCTGTCTCTACTAAAAATATAAAAATTAGCTGGGCATGGTGGTGCATGCCTGTAATCCCAGCTACTCAGGAGGCTGAGGCAGGAGAATCACTTGAACCCAGGAGGTGGAGGTTTCAGTGAGCCAAGATGGGTCCATTGCACTCCAGCCTGGGCCACACAGCAAGACTCTGTCTCAAAAAACAAAACAAAACAAAAAAAATCCAATAACTCAAAGGAGAAATATTCAAATCCACAATTATATTTGGAGAATTTAACAGTCCTGCCTCAGTAACCAATAGAACAAGCATATAGAGAAACAGCTAGAATATGGAAGACCTGACCAACACAATCACTCAATTGGACTTATTTGGTCAAATCATTCATTAAGAACATCAGACTATGCTTTCTTTCAAGTGTATATGAAACATTCACCAGTATAGAACATACTCTAGGTCACAAAACAAATCTTAACGGAAGTTCAAAAACAAATTTTTAGAAATAGAAATTGTATAAAGTGTATTCTCTGATCCTATCAGAATTAAACTTAATAACAGAAAGATGTCCGATGAATCCCTCAAATATTTGAAAATTAAACCACTCACCTCTAAATAATCCATGGGTCAAAAGTGAAACATAAGGGGAAATCAGAAAACCTTTTGAACTAAGTAAAAATGAAAATACAGCATATCAAAATGTGTGGGATACAGATAAAGCAGGATTAGAAAATTCATAGCATAAAATAATTATATTCAAAAACAAGAAAATTCTCAAATCAATCATTTAAGTTCTTCCTTTAAACAACTAGAAAAACAAGAGAAAGTAGAAGGAAGTAGATAATAAACATAAGAGGAGAGATCTGCAAAACTCAAAACAGTAGAATACAGAAAATTGATGAAACTGATAATCAGTTCTTAAGGAAGATCAATAAACTGGATAAACCTTTAGCCAGAATGTTGAACAGAAAAAAAAAAAGAGAGAAAACACAAGTTACCAACATCAGGAATTAAGGAGATGAAATCATTTCAGAGTCTATAGACACTTAAAGATAATAAGGAAATACTAGGAACAACTCTACGCCCATAAATTTGACAACTTGGAAGAAATAGACCAATTTCTTAAAAGACACAAACTACCAAAAGTCACAAAAGAAAAAACATATTTCCTGAATAGTCCTATAGCTATCACAAAATTTGAATTCTTAGCTAAAATCCCTCCAAAAATAAAAACTCCCAGCCGACATTGTTTCACTGGTTAATTCTAATCACATATTTAAGAAATACCAATTTTACACAATCTCGTCCAGAAAATATGAAGAGATACAATAATTCTTACCTCATTTTATGAGCCATCATTACTCTAATACTAAAACCAGACAAAAATATTACAAGAAAAAAATTACAAAAATTATCCCTGATGAACAAAGATGTAAGAATCTTTGACAAAATATTAGCAAATCAAGTCCAGTAGTATCTTAAGAAATAACACAAGAATGATGGCAACATTCTAAAACTGGATTGAGACAATAGATGCATAACTCAATAAATTTACTTTAAAAATCATTGAATTGGAAATGGATGAGTTTCATGGTATGTAACTTATATTGCAGTAAGTCTGTTTTTTAATAAATAAACAAGATGATACAATACTACCAAGTGGGAATTATCCCAGGAATGAAAGGCCATGCAACAATTGAAACTGAATCAATATAATGCACCACACTATCACTCTAAAAAAGAAAAGCCATGTGACCATCTCAAGAGATGTGGGGAAAGCATTTGACAAAGTTCACCAATTGACTTATGATAAAAAACCGTCAGCAACCTAGGAACAGAAGGGAAACTAACTTAATCTGACAAAGAGCAACTACAAAAATCTACAGCCAACATCCCACCTGATGGTGGAATATTGAATGCTTCCCACCTAAAATAAGGAACAAGGCAAGGATAGCCACTCTCATCTCTCGTTTTCAAAATTTTAATGGAAGTCCTAAACAGTACCAAAGAGAGAGAAAAAAATTAAAACTTACAGATTGGAAAGGAAGGAATAAAACATTTTATTCCCAGACCAAATAATTAAATAGGAAATCTCAAGGAATCTACAGAAAAACTCTTGGAATTAATAAGTGAATTCAGCAAGCTCACAGAATACAAGATCAAAACACAAAAAGCCATTTTATTTCTATATACTAGCAATGAACAATTGCTTTAAGTGCCACTTACAATAGCACTTAAAAATGAACTACTAAGGGATAACTCTAACAAGATATGTGCAAGATCTGTATGTGGAAATCTATAAAGCCCTGATAAAATAAATTTTAAAAATCCAAATAAATAAGATACACCAGGTTCATTGATTGGACAACTATGGAAGACACAGATAGTTAAGATGCTTATTGTCCCCAAACTTATCTGCAGGCATAATGTAATCCCAACCAAAATTCTAGTAGGGTTTTTCACAGATACCAATGAGCTGATTCTAAAATTTCTATGGAATGGCAAAGGAACTAGGATATTCTAAATAAATTTGAATAAGAATAGCAAAGTTAAAGAGCTCCCACTGCCTGAATTCAAGATTTACCATAAAACTGCAGCACTGAGACCTATCTATTGGTAAATGAATGAACATGTAAGTGAATGAAACATACAGAGTCCAGAAATAGACCCACACAACTATAGTATATTGATTTTCTTTAAGATGCAAAGGTGGTTCACTGGAAAAATGAGTCTTTTCAACAAATGGTGTTGGAGTTAATGCAAATAAATAAATAAAACTTGATTCATAAATCACATTTTATGCAAAAATTAACACACAAAAAAAATGATTGAACTTTTAGAAGAAAATACTAGAGAAATATCTGTGACCATGGATTAGGCAAACACTTGTTAGGTAAGACACCAAAACATAATCCATAAGAAAAAATTGACAAATTGTAGTATGTAATTTATATTGTAATAAATCTATTTTAAAATAAATAAATAAATGATATGTTATGACCAAGTGGGATTTATCCCAAGAATAAAAGGCTGTGCAACAATTAAAAATGAATCAAAAAAATCAGCCAGGCACAGTGGCTCACACTTGTAATCCCAGCACTTTGGGAGGCTGGGGCGGGCAGATCCCTTGAGACCAGGAGTTCGAGACCAGCCTGGCCAACATGGCAAAATCCCATCTCTACTAAAAATACAAAATTGGCTGGGTGTGGTGGCACATGCCTGTAATCCCAGCTACTCGGAGGCTGAGGCAGGAGAATAACTTGAACCAGGGAGGCATAGTTTGCAGTGGGTGGAGATCGCACCATTGCACTCCAGCCTGGGTGACCAAGTGAGACTCTGTCTCAAAAAAACAAAAAAAAAAAGGAAAGGAAAGAAAATGAATCCAAATTTACTTTATCAAAATCTAAAACTTTTGTTCTACAAAGGAAACTCTCAATGTAAATAAAAAGACAAACCAGCCGGGTGCAGTAGCTCATGCCTGTAATCCCAGCACTTTGGGAGGCCGAGGCAGGCAGATCATGAAGTCAGGAGTTCAAGACCAGCCTGACCAACATGGTGAAACCCCATCTCTACTAAAAATACAAAAAAATTAGCCAGGCACGGTGGCACACGCCTGTAATCCCAGCTATTCAGGAGGCTGAGACAGGAGAATCACCTGAACTCTGGAGGCAGAGGTTGCAGTGAGCCAAGGTCACGCCACTGCACTCCAGCCTGGGCAACAGAGTGAGACTCCATCTCAAAAAAAAAAAAAAAAAAAAAAGCAAACCACAGAGAGAAACATCTGGAAATTACACATCTGACAAAAGACTGCCTAAAGAACCCTCAACACTTAATGAGAAAACAAACCCAAAAGAAAAATGGGCAAAAAATTTAAACAGACACTTCACTGAAGAAGACACACAGACAGCAAATAAACACATGAAAAGATGTCCAACATTGTTAGCCTTTGGGGAAGTGCCAATTAAAACAACTACACATCTATTCAAATGCAAAACAAAAAAAACCCTGACGATATCAAGTGGTAACATGCACACAGAACAACCAGAACACTCATATATTAATGGTGGGAATGAAAAACTTGTCCAGCCACTGTGGAAAACAGCTTGGCAGTGTCTTCGAACATTAAAAGTCCACCACCATATGTCCCAAGAATCCCATACCTCAAGAGAAATGAAAACTTACATTCACAGAGAAACGTGTATGCAAATGTTTATAACAGCTTTATCCATAATCACCAAAAACTGAAAACACTCCAAATGTCCTTCACTGGTGAGTCAGTAAACAAAGGGCATGCATTTAATGGCGATTTTTCCATAATACATAAAAGGAGCCAGTCTCAAGAGGCTATGCGCAGAACAAGTCCATGTATGTGACTTCTGGCAAAGGCAAACTGCCAGGATGGAGAACAGAGCTGAGGCTGCCAGCGTGGCGGTGGGGGGCAGGCGGTGAGGTTGGTCTACATCTTGATTATGGGAATATTACACGACTCTGCAAGTGTCAAAAGTCCTACAACTGGACACCAAAAAGAGTGAATTTTACTGACTCTAAATTTTAAAAATATTTTTTAAATACTCAAAAAAGTTATTAACACAACTTTGTTAATGTTGGTTTTTATCTTCACTTTAGACAAATGGCACGGCTTCATGCTGTTCTCGGCTCTCTTTTCTGATCATGGACCAGTGTTTCTGTGGGTGGGAGCAGCTGGGTCCTTCTCTCGCTCTGCTAAGGTATCATGGGCACGGGTGGGAGTGAGTGGGTCCTTCTCTCCCTCTGCTCAGATGTCATGAGCACACATCCCCTGCCTCTGGCACCTGTACCACCTATAACCAAGCTTTTTCTGGCATCCTCTTTTTATTTGGCTTTCGTTGTGACATTTTTTCATCACTGAACATCTTTAGAGTTTTCCTCAAAGGTGCTGACATTTTTGTGGCTTTCAAAATTCTGAAATTAAGAAAATTATCATCCTCCACATAAGTTTATATTTTCTACTTACTTTTCTAATATTTTCTTTTCATATTTAGACATTTGATTCACGAGAGCCTTTTTTGCAGTAAGGTATAGGGTCGGAGTAGATTCTTCCAAATGTAAACCCACTAACAACAGTGTTTATCAACCTCCAGGCCTCTCCATCAGGCTTACGTTGTCATGGCAGAAATAACTGCTCACATTTCTAGTCTCTGTGCTCTGGGCTAATACTGTGCCAGGAACATGGAGAAGGCCACCAAGAAACTGGCTGGCTCACTCAGCCCAGCGTGGCAGCAGCAACTCCAGCATTTAATGCAGAACTGAGAGGCAAATAACTGCATCCAGGCAGGAAAGGTGCCTTTGCCAATTCTGGGTCCAGCTAGTTCTGGACTGACGTCTTGCACACTCACACACTCACACACACACACAGCAGGCAGGTATGTATCAGGCCTGGAGTCACCACCACTCCAGGGATGGTTTCCCTTGAGCCCTTGAGACCAGAGCCCTCTCAGAGCCACTGTTCCCTTCGCTGAGGTCTGCATCGCTGGGTCAGTAATCACCAGGAGAACCCCTAAACCCACTTTCCCTGGAGCTGTGGAGGTGCTGCAGAAAGATGTTACCAAAACGCCAAGGGTTTGGTCTAGGACCTGTTGCTCGCTGCACAGAAAGCCAGTCAGTGAGACAACGGGGACTGCCAGGAAAGAAGGGTTTAATCAGATGCTGCAGCCGAGGGGATGGGAGATCAGTGTCAAATCCATCTCCTCGACCAACTGAAATGAGGGGCTTATATAGCAGGGAAGAAATGTAATGATGTGTAAGAAAACAGGAATTAACGGAAGGGTGAGGAAGAGGAGTCAGTCAGCAGGCAGCCAGTGGTCAGTTAGACAATCATGAGGGGCGAGGGGCCCAGAGTCTCACTGTCCAAGTGCAGTGATCTGGGGAATTTCAGCTTCTTGATGCTATCCAGGGGCCTGATGGTCGGTTTCTGAGAAAGGAACTCAGATGAGACAAATGTAAGTTTCTCAAGTTTAAGACTAGGAGGGTCAGTTTCTATGTGTATTCAAAAGAAACCATAAACATCAATTCTATGGGACAACGAGGCCAGTTTCAAAGAGACTCCACGCTGGCCCCAACAATGTGCTGTCTTGTGTTGCTGAGAGACACCCAGGACACTCCCAGAAAACGAGTGCTGCCTAAGCCTCCAGGGCCTCTGAGGTAGCCAAGCCACTGCCTTCCCCCGGCTGTCCCTGCACCCTTGTGGGCAGGTGGGCTTTGGGCCACCTCTGTCATTGACGGTCCCGACTCAGCATGCCCCTTCCCCTCGCATCTCGCAGAGGCTGTTTCTCCCGTGGCCGGGAATGTTTTAAGTGAGCACTGACTCCTGCAGTCTCTACAAGGGTGAGATTTCTTTCTGTCGGGGTGAGTGGAGACAAACGGGGTGGCAGGTGGCCAGGAGTCACCCAAGCATCCCCCTTTGCCGTACATGGCACAATGGCTGGGTGGGGGTGTCCTCCTGCAGCCGGGGTATGAGCCCCTTGGCCCCTGTGAGGGGCCAGCAGCGTCCAGCCCCTGTGGAGCAGGGAGTAGCCCTGCAGCAGCTCCAGCCCCGTGGAGCAGAAGATGCAGGAAGGGCCCTTGTCAGTCTAGTCCCATGCAGTGGGGAAGAGGCTCCAAACCCGGAGGAAACCAGTTCCTGGGCCTCTGGACACTTCCATCAAAGCCAGGCCAGACCAGGGCCCACATGGTCCCAGCTCCAGGATGCCACAGACACGCTTGCCCGGTGGCTTCCGTGCACTCTAGAGGTGCAGTTGTCACACAGCAGGGCTGGGTGGGATTGGAATAAACCTACAGTGTCCAAGGACAGCCCTGGTGCCCTCTGGGCAGCCCCCAGTGCAACCCGCCAGGCAGGGGCGGCCACCGGGAGCATGTGGGGTGCTGTCCACCCCAGAGGCAACCACTGAGGCCCTGCCCAGGAGAGGGCCAGGCCTTGGGGCTGGAATCAGGAGGCTCAGGGAGATGCCCTGGGGCTGCTTCTTGCCTGTGAAAGTGGGAGCAGGTCCCCCAGCAGGCTCACAGAGGACATGGGCCCTTTGGGTGACCAGGAGGCAGGGCCCTTGCCTAGTACCTACTGTGAACATTCTGCAGTCTATCTCACCCTCAGGATTTCAGGGTGCTGCATTTTAGAACAGCGTTCCCTTTTCCTGCAGTAGATGAGTAAGCAAATCACAGTGAACAAGGGCCATCTAGAACAATAATACTTACGTATTTCGGAGTTTGAAATATTTAGAGCATGAAAATGTGTGATTTAAAAATATGTTATAAAATAGCTAGAGAAGAACTGTAATGTTCCCAACACAGAGAAAAGATAAACGGTTGAGGGGATGGATACCCCATTGCCCTGATTTGATAATAACACACTGTATACATGGACCAAAATCTCACATGTGGCCTCCAAGTGTATACAACTGTGATATATCAATAAACATAAACACATTAAAAAATTTTTAACCGTGGTAACAGTGGAATGTAAGTCGGGGCCGAGTAATGGAGTGAATGGTGTCCCAGGAGAGCAGAGAGGCGGCCAGTGCAGGTGAAACACAGAGAAGGCGGTTAAGATGGAGCCTCACCCAGCACAGTGGCAACTTCATTAACATTGGACTAGCTAGATGCTCTAATTAGATAGAACTTGGGTAGCTGTTAATTTGTATAGATACTAATATCATGCAAAGTAATTTAAAAGCATTACTAGGGATAAAATAATTATTTTACAATAATTAAAAAGGTTCAATTCTCCAAGAGATGATAATTATATTGTTACAAGCACATAAGGGAATGACATAAAAATGTGTCTGTGTGCTTGTGTGTTTGTATGTGTGTTTGTAGGTGTGTTTATGTTTGTGTGTGTTCGTGTGTATGTGTTTGTGTGTGTTTGTGTGTGTGTTAAAAACTGACAGAAACACAAAAAGGTGGTCATAGTGGGGGATTTTAACACATCTATCAGCAAGTTACACAGCAAGCACAGAAAAAATCAGTAGCTATTCAAAAGATTTGAACAAAGCAATTAAGAAAGAGTAATGTTTGTGGACACTGGATCCAGCACCTGCAGATACACATTCATTTCAAACTCATGCAGACGTTAATAAAAGCACCATAGCAATGTGTCATCAGGCCAGTCTCAAACTGTCAGGCTTTGAAATCATACAGAATATAGCCTCTGACTACAATGCAATTAAATGAGAAATCAACAACAGATAACCAGAAAATTCCCATGTGCTTGGAAATACAGAAACATAAATACCTCAAAAAGCATTTCTTAAATTGAGGTATAATTTATCTTAAACCCAATGCACAGTAAGTATACAATTTGTCAATTGCTTTCCTTTTCATCTTTTCTTTAAGAAAACTTTGCCTTCCTGAGGTTGTGAAGGTATTCTCCCACATTTTCTGCCAGATACTCTTTAGTTTCAGCCTTTCCGTTAAGGTCTAGGATCCATCTCAGAGCATTTTTGTGCATGGTGTGAGGTGGACGTCAGGATTTTTGCTTTTCCCAAGTGGATATCTAACACAGTGTGTCTGAGTCTTTCCTTTCCCCTGCTCTCTAGCTGAAGTTCAGCTCGGTCTTTCCTTTCCCCTGCTAAGATGCCTTTGCTCTCTGGCTGAAGATCAGCTGGGTGTCCTGCATGAGTTTATTGATGGACCTCTGTTTGTTCCATTCGTCTACTTGTCCATCTTTACACAAATACCACATTGTCATTGCTTGTGTAGCTGTATGATAAAAGTTAAAATTAAATATTCTAAGTCTTGACATTTTGTTCTTTTTCAAGATTTTTCTGTGGCCATTCTAGGTTCTTTGTATGTCCACATAAATCTTAGATTCAGCGTGAATAAGTATTGAATTTTGTCACATGGATTTCCTGCATCGACTGTGATGATCTTGAATTCTTTCCTGGGCAACGCCAAGAACCCTCCTGGGCTAAGCCCCAGTTTTGGGGCTTGCCTGTCCTGCATCAATACCACAAAAAATATGAAATGCTTAGAGATACATCCAACAAAACACATGAAAGATCTATCTATACCCCAAAAGCTACAGATACCTGCTGAGACTAATTAGAGACCTAAATAAATGGAGAGATACACTATCTTCATGGACCAGAAGAATTGATACTGTTAATGGGTCAATTCTCATAAGACTGATCTACAGATTAAATTCAATGACAGTCAAAACCCCAGAAGTTTTTTTGTGGAAATTGACAAACTTATTCTAAAATTCATACGGAAATACAAAAGATCTAAAATAGTCAAAACAACTTTGAAAAAGAAGAGCAAATTTGGAGGATTGATACCATAAGATTTAAAGACATATAAAGCCACAGTTATCAAGAAAATGTGGCACTGGTGTTAAAGATAAACAAATAAAATAATGGAACTAAATAGAGAGACCAGAAATCAACTCAGAAAAATATGGACAATATTTGTGAAAGGGACAAAGACAATTCAGTACAGAAAAAAGAACTTTGAGCCATACCTCATACCATAAGCAAAAATGAACTCAAAATACATCACGGACCTAAATAAAACCTCTTAAAATTATACAACTTCTAGAAGAAAATATGGGGGAAAATCTTGGTGATCTTGGATTATGCAAAGATTTCTTGACTATAACTTGAATATAAAATACAAACTATAAAAGAATCAATAGATGGATTGTACTTCATCAAAATGAAAACCTCCTCCTAAAATAGATTAAGAAAACAAAAAGATAAGCCATAGACTGGGAAAAAAATTGCACATTATGTATCTAATAAAGGATTTATATTCAGAAAATACAATGAATGCTTATACTCAAGAATAAGGAAACAAATAACCCAATAAAATAATAGGCAAAATATTTGAGCTTCACCAGAGACAACACATGAATGGCAACTAGGCAATGGTCATTAGTCTTTAGGGAAATGCAAATTAAAACCACTGCACTTCTAGTACAGTGGCTAAAATTAAAACATGGACCACACCAGTTGTTGGAGAGGATGTCGAGAATCTGGAACTCAAAATAGTAAATCCACTTTGGAAAATGGTTTGGAGGTTTCCTAAGTAGGTAAACATGCACCTACCATATGATCTAGCCATTGTACTCCTAGGTATTCACCCAAGGAAATTAAGACATCTGCGTGTAAAAAGACTTGTATGTGAATGTTCACAGCGGCATTACTGACAATAGCCCCAAACTGAAACAACCCAAATGTCCACCAACAGGTGAATGGATTAAACACATTGTGGGGCATCCATACAATGGAATGCAACTCAGGAATGGCAAGGACCGAACAAGCAATACAACAGTAACATGGATGAATCTAAAAATATTGTGTTGTGAAAGCCAGAAGAAAGAAGATGCAGGCGATGATTCTGTGACTATAAATTCCAGACAGCGCAGACTGACCTGTGGTGACAGAGGCACATCAGTGGTCGTGGGAGACGGGGTGTGGGGAGGGGCACAAAGGAGGGTAAAAGTGGGGCAGGAAGTGGAAGCTGTGATGATGAGATGTTCACTGCCTTGATTGTGGTGATGGCTTCACTGGCGTGTGCATATCAGAACTCATCAGATGGTCCACTTCAAATACACCAGTTTATTGTACACTGATTATACCTCAATAAAGCTCTTTTTATTTTTTTTAATTTTATTATTATTACACTTTAAGTTTTAGGGTACATGTGCACAACATGCAGGTTTGTTACATATGTATACATGTGCCATGTTGGTGTGCTGCACCCATTAACTCATCATTTAGCATTAGGTATATCTCCTAATGCTATCCCTCCCCCCTCCCCCCACCCCACAACATTCCCTGGTGTGTGATGTTCCCCTTCCTGTGTCCATGTGTTCTCATTGTTCAATTCCCACCTATAAGTGAGAACATGCAGTGTTTGGTTTTTTGTCCTTGTGATAGTTTGCTGAGAATGATGGTTTCCGGTTTCATCCATGTCCCTAAAAAGGACATGAACTCATCATTTTTTATGGCTGCATAGCATTCCATGGTGTATATGTGCCACATTTTCTTAATCCAGTCTATCGTTGTTGGACATTTAGGTTGGTTCCAAGTCTTTGCTATTGTGAATAGTGCCGCAATAAACATACGTGTGCATGTGTCTTTATAGCAGCATGATTTATAATCCTTTGGGTATATACCCAGTAATGGGATGGCTGGGTCAAATGGTATTTCTAGTTCTAGATCCCTGAGGAATCGCCACACCGACTTCCACAATGGTTGAACTAGTTTACAGTCCCGCCAACAGTGTAAAAGTGTTCCTATTTCTCCACATCCTCTCCAGCACCTGTTGTTTCCTGACTTTTTAATGATCGCCATTCTAACTGGTGTGAGATGATATCTCATTGTGGTTTTGATTTGCATTTCTCTGATGGCCAGTGACGATGAGCATTTTTTCATGTGTTTTTTGGCTGCATAAATGTCTTCTTTTGAGAAGTGTCTGTTCATATCCTTTGCCCACTTTTTGATGGGGTTGTTTTTTTCTTGTAAATTTGTTTGAGTTCATTGTAGATTCTGGATATTAGCCCTTTGTCAGATGAGTAGGTTGCAAAAATTTTCTCCCATTCTATAGGTTGCCTGTTCACTCGGATGGTAGTTTGTTTTGCTCTGCAGAAGCTCTTTAGTTTAATTAGATCCCATTTGTCAATTCTGGCTTTTGCTGCCATTGCTTTTGGTGTTTTAGACATGAAGTCCTTGCCTATGCCTATGCCTATGGCCTGAATGGTATTGCCTAGGTTTTCTTCTAGGGTTTTTATGGTTTTAGGTCTAACATTTAAGTCTTTAATCCATCTTGAATTAATTTTTGTATAAGGTGTAAGGAAGGGATCCAATTTCAGCTTTCCACATATGGCTAGCCAGTTTTCCCAGCACCATTAAATAGGGAATCCTTTCCACATTCCTTGTTATTGTCAGGTTTGTCAAAGATCAGATAGTTGTAGATATGTGGCATTATTTCTGAGTGCACTGTTCTGTTCCATTGGTTTATATTTCTGTTTTGGTACCAGTACCATGCTGTTTTGGTTACTGTAGCCTTGTAGTATAGTTTGAAGTCAGGTAGTGTGATGCCTCCAGCTTTGTTCTTTTGGCTTAGGATTGACTTAGCAATACAGGCTCTTTTTTGGCTCCATATGAACTTTAAAGTAGTTTTTTCCAATTCTGTGAAGAAAGTCATTGGTAGCTTGATGGGGATGGCATTGAATCTATAAATTACCTTGGGCAGTATGGCCATTTTCACGATATTGATTCTTCCTACCCATGAGCATGGAATGTTCTTCCATTTGTTTGTATCCTCTTTCATTTCATTGAGCAGTGGTTTGCAGTTCTCCTTGAAGGGGTCCTTCACATCCCTTGTAAGTTGGATTCCTAGGTATTTTATTCTCTTTGAAGCAATTGTGAATGGGAGTTCACTCATGATTTGGCTCTCTGTTTGTCTGTTATTGGTGTATAAGAATGCTTGTGATTTTTGTGCATTGATTTTGTATCCTGAGACTTTGCCGAAGTTGCTTATCAGCTTGAGGAGATTTTGGGCTGAGACAATGGGGTTTTCTAGATATACAATCATGTCATCTGCAAACAGGGACAATTTGACTTCCTCTTTTCCTAATTGAATACCCTTTATTTCCTTCTCCTGCCTGATTGCTTTGGCCAGAACTTCCAACACTATGTTGAATAGGAGTGGTGAGAGAGGGCATCCCTGTCTTGTGCCCGTTTTCAAAGGGAATGCTTCCAGTTTTTGCCCATTCAGTATGATATTGGCTGTGGGTTTGTCATAGATAGCTCTTATTATTCTGAGATACGTCCCATCAATACCTAATTTATTGAGAGTTTTTAGCATGAAGGGTTGTTGAATTTTGTCAAAGGCCTTTTCTGCATCTATTGAGATAATCATGTGGTTTTTGTCTTTGGTTCTGTTTATATGCTGAATTACATTTATTGATTTGCGTATGTTGAACTAGCCTTGCATCCCAGGGATGGAGCCCACTTGATCATGGTGGATAAGCTTTTTGATGTGCTGCTGGATTCAGTTTGCCAGTATTTTATTGAGGATTTTTGCATCGATGTTCATCAAGGATATTGGTCTAAAATTCTCTTTTTTGGTTGTGTCTCTGCCAGGCTTTGGTTATCAGGATGATGCTGGCCTCATAAAATGAGTTAGGGAGGATTCCCTCTTTTTCTATTGATTGGAATAGTTTCAGAAGCAATGGTACCAGCTCCTCTTTGTACCTCTGATAGAATTCGGCTGTGAATCCATCTGGTCCTGGACTTTTTTTGGCTGGTAAGCTATTGATTATTGCCTCAATTTCAGAGCCTGTTATTGGTCTATTCAGAGTTTCAACTTCCTCCTGGTTTAGTCTTGGGAGGATGTATGTGTCAAGGAATTTATCCATTTCTTCTAGATTTTCTAGTTTATTTGTGTAGAGGTGTTTATAGTATTCTCTGATGGTAGTTTCTATTTCTGTGGGATTGGTGGTAATATCCCCTTTATCAATTTTTATTGCGTCTATTTGATTCTTCTCTCTTTTCTTCTTTATTAGTCTTGCTAGTGGTCTATCAATTTTGTTGATCTCTTCAAAAAACCAGCCCCTGGATTCATTAATTTTTTGAAGGGCTTTTTGTGTCTCTATTTCCTTCAGTTCTGCTCTGATCTTAGTTATTTCTTGCCTTCTGTTACTTTTAAATGTGTTTGCTCTTGCTTTTCTAGTTCTTTTAACTGTGACATTAGGGTGTCAATTTTAGATCTTTCCTGCTTTCTCTTGTGGGCATTTAGTGCTATAAATTTCCCTCTACACACTGCTTTGAATGTGTCCCAGAGATTCTGGTATGTTGTGTCTTTGTTCTCGTTGGTTTCAAAGAACATCTTTATTTCTGCCTTCATTTCATTAGGTACCCAGTAGTCATACAGGAGCAGGTTGTTCAGTTTCCATGTAGTTGAGTGGTTTTGAGTGAGTTTCTTAACCCTGAGTTCTAGTTTGATTGCACTGTGGTCTGAGAGACAGTTTGTTATAATTTCTGCTCTTTTACATTTGCTGAGGAGTGCTTTTCTTCCAACTATGTGGTCAATTTTGGAGTAGGTGTGGTGTGGTGCTGAAAAGAATGTATATTCTGTTGATTTGGGGTGGAGAGTTCTGTAGATATCTATTAGGTCTGCTTGGTGCCGAGCTGAGTTCAATTCCTGGGTATCCTTGTTAACTTTCTGTCTCGTTGATCTGTCTAATGTTGACAGTGGGGTGTTAAAGTCTCCCATTATTATTGTGTGGGAGTCTAAGTCTCTTTGTAGGTCACTAAGGACTTGCTTTATGAATCTGGGTGCTCCTGTATTGGGTGCATATATATTTAGGATAGTTAGCTCTTCTTGTTGAATTTATCCCTTTACCATTATGTAATGGCCTTCTTTGTCTCTTTTGATCTTTGTTCATTTAAAGTCTGTTTTATCAGAGACTAAGAGTGCAACCCCTGCCTTTTTTTGTTTTCCATTTGCTTGGTAGATCTTCCTCCATCCCTTTATTTTGACCCTATGTGTGTCTCTGCATGTGAGATGGGTTTCCTGAGTACAGCACACTGATGCGTCTTGACTCTTTATCCAATCTGCCAGTCTCTGTCTTTTAATTGGAGCATTTAGCCCATTTACATTTAAGGTTAATATTGTTATGTGTGAATTTGATCCTGTCATTATGATGTTAGCTGGTTATTTTGCTCATTAGTCGATGCAGTTTCTTCCTAGCCTTGATGGTCTTTACAGTTGGGCATGTTTTTGCATTGGCTGGTACCGGTTATTCCTTTCCATGTTTAGTGCTTCCTTCAGGAACTCTTTTAGGGCAGGCCTGGTGGTGACAAAATCTCTCAGCATTTGCTTGTCTGTAAAGTATTTTATTTCTCCTTCCCTTATGAAGCTTAGTTTGGCTGGATATGAGATTGTAGGTTGAAAATTCTTTTCTTTAAGAATGTTGAATATTGGTCCCCACTCTCTTCTGGCTTGTAGAGTTTCTGCTGAGAGATCAGCTGTTAGTCTGATGGGCTTCCCTTTGTGGGTAACCCGACCTTTCTCTCTGGCTGACCTTAACATTTTTTCCTTCATTTCAACTTTGGTGAATCTGACAATTATGTGTCTTGGAGTTGCTCTTCTCGAGGAGTATCTTTGTGGCGTTCTCTGTATTTCCTGAATTTGAATGTTGGCCTGCCTTGCTAGATTGGGGAAGTTCTCCTGGATAATATCCTGCAGAGTGTTTTCCAACTTGGTTCCATTCTCCCCATCACTTTCAGGTAGACCAATCACACATGGATTTGGTCTTTTCACATAGTCCCATATTTCTTGGAGGCTTTGTTTGTTTCTTTTTATTCTTTTTTCTCTAAACCTCTCTTCTCGCTTCATTTCTTTCATTTTGTCTTCCATCACTGATACCCTTTCTTCCACTTGATTGCATCAGCTACTGAGGCTTCTGCATCCATCACGTAGCTCTCGTGCCTTGGTTTTCAGCTCCATCTGGTCCTTTAAGGACTTCTCTGCATTGTTTATTCTAGTTATCCATTTGTCTAATTTTTTTCAAAGCTTTTAACTTCTTTGCCATTGGTTCGAATTTCCTCCTGTAGCTCAGAGTAGTTTGATCATCTGAAGCCTTCTCTCAACTCGTCAAAGTCATTCTCTGTCCAGCTTTGTTCCGTTGCTGGTGAGGAGCTGCGTTCCTTTGGAGGAGGAGAGGCGCTCTGATTTTTAGAGTTTCCAGTTTTTCTGCTCTGTTTTTTTCCCATCTTTGTGGTTTTATCTACCTTTGGTCTTTGATGATGGTGACATACAGATGGGTTTTTGGTGTGGATGTCCTTTCTGTTTGTTAGTTTTCCTTCTAACAGACAGGACCCTCAGCTGCAGGTCTGTTGGAGTTTGCTAGAGGTCCACTCCAGACCCTGTCTGCCTGGGTACCCGCAGCGGTGGCTGCAGAACAGCGGATATTGGTGAACCGCAAATGCTGCTGCCTGATCGTTCCTCTGGAAGTTTTGTCTCAGAGGAGTACCCGGCCGTGTGAGGTGTCAGTCTGCCCCTACTGTGGAATGCCTCCCAGTTAGGCTACTCGGGGGTCAGGGACCCACTTGAGGAGGCAGTCTGCCCGTTCTCAGATCTCAAGCTGCGTGCTGGGAGAACCACTACTGTCTTCAAAGCTGTCAGAGAGGGACATTTAAGTCTGCAAAGGTTACTGCTGTCTTTTTGTTTGTCTGTGCCCTGCCCCCAGAGGTGAAGCCTACAGAGGCACGCAGGCCTCCTTGAGCTGTGGTGGGCTCCACCCAGTTTGAGCTTCCCGGCCGCTTTGTTTACCTAATCAAACAACGAACTCGGCAATGGCGGGCACCCACCCCCCGCAGCCTCACTGCCACCTTGCAGTTTGATCTCGGACTGCTGTGCTAGCAATAAGTGAGGCTCCGTGGACTTAGGACCTCCGAGCCAAGTGTGGGATATAATCTCCTGGTGTGCCGTTTTTTAAGCTGGTTGGAAAAGTGCAGTATTAGGGTGGGAATGACCCGATTTTCCAGGTGCCCTCTGTCACCCCTTTCTTTGACTAGGAAAGGGAATTCCCTGACCCCTTGTGCTTCCCGGGTGAGGCGATGCCTCGCCCTGCTTCAGCTCGCGCACGGTGCGCTGCACCCACTGTCCTGCACCTACTATCTGGCACTCCCCAGTGAGATGAACCCGGTACCTCAGTTGGAAATGCAGAAATCACCTGTCTTCTGTGTCGCTTACGCTGGGAGCTGTAGACCAGAGCTGTTCCTATTTGGCCATCTTGGCTCCTCTCCTTTTTTTTTTTTTTTTTGAGATGGAGACTCACCATCACCAACGCTGGAGTGCAGTGGCGAGATCTCAGCTCACTGCAACCTCTGCTTCCTAGGTTCAAGATATTCTCCTGCCTCAGCCTCCCCAGTAGCTGGGATTACAGGCACACACCACGATGCCTGGCTAATTTTTTGTATTTTTAGTAGAGACGGGGTTTTGCCATGTTGTCCAGGCTGGTCTAGAATTCCTGACCTCAGATGATCCACCCACGTCATCCTCCCAAAGTGCTGGGATTACTGGCATGAGCTACCATGCCCAGCCAAAAATATCTTTCAAAAACAAAAGTTAAATAAAGAATTGTTCATACATACAAAAGATGAAGGAATATATCATGAGCAGACCACAAGATGAAGGAATATATCATGAGCATTACAAAAAATATTTAGAGAAACCCTCCAGGTAAAAGGCAAATGATGCCAAGTGGAAATAAGGATCTATAAAAAGAAATAAAGAGCACAATGAATGCCAATAGGAATAAATGCACATCACTTTTCCTTATTATTTAAAAGATAAGTATCTGTATAAACAAAAATAATAACAATTTATCGTGGAATTTATAACACATGAACATAAAATGCATGACCACAGTAGCACAAAGGACAGTAGGAGAGAAACGGAAGTACACTATTGTACAGCTTGTATAATATACGTGAAGAAATAACATATCACTTGAAGGTAGAGGATGACAAGTTAAAGGAATACACTAACCCTAAAACAACCACTAAAGTAACAAAAGAAGGAGTTACAGGTCATAGTCAGCAAAGGAGATAAAATGTAATCAGAAAAAGGGAAGAAAAAGATGACAACGGGAACAAAAATCAGACAGGATAAAAAGTAAACAAATAGTAATGTGGTAGAGATTTACTACATTACAAATATTTATGACAGTACAAATAGTAATGTGGTAGATAATAAGTGTAATCATATTAGTAATCACATTAAATGTAAATGGTTAAATACCACAAATAAAAGACAGAGATTATCAGACTGAATAAAAATGCAAGACCCAACTATAGGCTGCCTACAAGAAGCACAATTTAAAAAGAAAGACAGAAGTAGGTTTAAAGTAAAATAATGGTAAAAGGTATATCATGCACTATTTAAAGAAAGCTGCAGTTAATATCAGACAAAGTAGATTTTAAAACAACAAATATTACCAGGCATAAAGCAAATCATTGCATAACTATTAAGGGGTTAATTCTTTAGAGGGACAAAATCATCCTAAGTAGGTATGCACCTAATAACCACCTAAAAATACATGAAGCAAAAACAATATAACATCAAGGAGAAAGAGACAAATCCACAATTAGAACCACAGATTTCAATAAAGATTGAACATCACTATTAACCAGCTTACCTGATTGACATCTACAAGATGTGCCACCCAATAACACAAAATGCACATTCTTTTGGGAGAACACAGATCAATTACCAAGATAGACCCATATTCTAGGCCATAAAATAAATCTCAAATTTAAAACAAAGTATGTTCTCTAATCTCAAGGGAATTAAAATAGAAGTGAACAACAGTGAAATGTCTCCAGGAAATCTCTGAACATTTGGAAACTAAATAACACATTTCCAGATCATCTGGAAACTATCTAATAATGGAACAAACAAACCCTGGATATGCCTCAAAAACACTGTGCTGAGCAGAAACTGGAGACGAAAGAGAAGACGTTGTGTGTTCCACTTATATTACATTCTAGAATGAACAAAACCTATGAAGGAAAGAATCTCAGCAGTGGTTGCCTCAAGGTTGAGAGTCAGGGATAAACTGGGAAAGGGTATGCAGGATGTCTGTGGGGTGACGGAAGTTGGCATCCTGATGCGTCTGGGTTCCAGGCACACACACACATTTATCAAAACCCATCACCTCAACACTAAGCGCATTACTCTGTAAACTGTGCCTCCACAGAGAAATTTAGAAAGGGCTAAAGAATTTCTACAAATCAATAACTAAAAGATGACCCCGTTGGGAGAAATGTACAAAAGACACACAGAAGCAGAAACACACATTGATACCAAATCTGTGGGACAAGCAGGAAAATACGAGTCACCAACACAATGAGACGCTGCTTCTCACCCATTAAAGTGGCCAAGACTGAGAATTCCACGAGACCACCTGCTGGAGAGGGTGGGAGAGCCATAGTAGCTGTGGAGCAGTACAGCCACACTGGGAAAAGAATCTGGTATTTTCTTAGGAGGTTTTGAGTAAAGTTTGACCTCAGCATTCCCATTCTTACGGGTGGATTACAAGAGAAATATTCACACATGACAACCAGGAACCAGGCACAGGAATGTCATCCAGTGCCATTCGCAAGAACAGAGGACTGGGGATCGTTCCAAGTGTCCGTGAACAAAGAATGTGTTATGACTTGCGGTGTAGTCACACCATGGAATATTACACAGGTGTCCGACTGAGTGGAGTGCAGCTGCTGAGAAGAGGGAGAGTCTTGACATGAAAGAGCAAGACCTAGAGGACAGCGCACAGCCCGGGGCTCTGGGTTATGAAGCTTGAATCCAACAAAGCCCCGTGTTTCGGGTCATCAACGTGCTTTCAAGAAAGCAGCCAGAGAATCCCAACGAATGGTCTCTGAGGGTGGGAGAGGGGAGGAGATACGCTCAGGGGTTAGTAATTGTCTATGTCCTGTGCTGAGGGGAGGTTCATGTGCTCTTTGTATTATTTTATAAATAGATGAATAAATGCCATGCATCGAAAAATAAATGAAATGGGTGTTCCAAAGGCAGCCTACTGGGTAGCATTCAGCAGCCCCCACCCTCAAGGGAAGGGCCTCGAGTCTGCGACCTGTCCCAGGTTGGTGTCCCCGGGGTGAGGGCACCGGGAGGGAAGTTTGCATGGAAAGCTCTATTTGCGGCTGAGCAGAGCGTGGGGAGGCCTCCCAGCTCAGCGGGTCCCTCCATGGGCCTGCAGAGCACTTTACAAATCGCTCTGGCAGTCCCATCGGAGTGAAAATTTGCAATGAGAGACTTCCAGGATGGGGAGCAGATAGGGGGTGGGGAGGGCAAGGTCACAAAGGAACCGAATAAGAAACACCAGCGGAGGCAGGTAGAGGCGGGGCCGGGGGAGACGCACCTGCGAGGGAGGCGGGGCCCGCCGTGACCTTGGTCTCCACGCGAAGACCTGGGGGAGGCTGCGCGGATGCACCCAGGGCCCCAGCCCTGAGCCCCAAGGTGCCTCGCTGGCTGGTCCACGTCGCCCGGGGTGCTGTGGGACTGGGGGGGGGGGTGGACGGGGGCGCTGCAGAGGGTCCTCAGCGCTGAGCCTTCGTCGGCCCAGCCCCTCCCCGCAGCCGCCCACGCTGCACCCAGGGCGGGGCCCATGCATCTCCTGAGGCTGGCCAGTGGCGCCCCCCAGCACTCCGTCCTCGCCCCCGCCATGGGTAGGGGTCTCTGAAGTCGTCTCACCAGGTGGGCCTGGAGCAGCCGCCAGCTCAGACCCCCGAGCACCGGTGAGGAAGGGGTGGTAGAAGGCTGGGTCAAGGGTCACCCAGGAATTCCACTTGTCCACGGGGACCCGGCCGCTGCCCAGGCGCAGACAGACCCAGAGGCAGAGTGCGAGGTAGGGGTCTGGGGCTTACATCCCCCGAGAGGGGCGGGGACCTCCCAGAGGAGCTGCTGCACAGGCCTGCGGAGCTCCTTCTCCCACCACTGTCCCAGCTCACCCTCCAACCCCCATCCTGCCCTCAGACACCCAACTGCAGGCAAGTCCAGGAACCAGAACCCCACGCCACACAGACCCATTGGAGGCTCTGAGTGGACAGCTCCCGCCCTTCCCTCGTCCGCCCCTTTGCTGGCTCAGAAAGTACAAGATAAAGATGTCAGGACCTAAAAGGTGGGGAGGAGCCTCCCTCCCCTCTGCAAAACGCCTGGAAGCTTTGTTCACCCGTACAGGGTGCCCCTGGCCCCTGGGGGCCAGCAGGGTTGAGGTCCAGGAAGGGCCCCAAGGCACACAGCCCCGAGAAGGCACGCCAGGCAGAATGGGTCTTCCCTTGCGCTGTGTGTACATCTGGGGGTGTGCACTTGGGTGCATGTGTGTGCACCAGGGTGTGTGTGCAGCTGGGGAGGGACGTGCACTGAGTGTATATGTGTGCACCTGGCCATGTACCTGTGTGTTGGGGCAGGGAAGATTATGCACCTCAGGGCGTATAGGTGTAAGAGGGGGTATACCTGATCATATGAGTGTGTACAGGTCCCAAGGCCCCTTGGCCAGGCGTTAGCTCTGGGTAAGTGGGCATGTTGGGCTGAGAGGTGGGGATGACAGATAAGTATTGCAGCAGGTCCCAAAGGTGCATGGTGGGACAGTCTGTGAGCCTGAGCCCCTGCCCTAAGATCCCAGGAGGGCTTACAGCGCTCTTACCTAGCTCTCACCAGTGGAGCAGGGCTGTGACCCCATCACACACCACAGCCTAGTCTCCCCACTGTTCTGGAGTGCTGAGAAGTGACTTGCCTGACCAGGAGGGCCACGTACAATTCCAGCAATACTGTGGTGACAGAGTTTGTGTTTCTGAGCTTCCCAGAGCTGCACCATCTTCAAGGGCTGCTATTTGGTCACTCCTCATCATCTATGTGGTGACCATCCTAGAGGACCTGGCTGTCGTGGGGACCATCAGAGCCAGCCACCACCTGCACATATCCACACACCTCTTCCTGGCCCAACTCTCGGTGCTGGAGACTCTGTACACCTCGGTCACCGTCCCAAAGCTGTTGGCCGGACTCCCAGCACGAGCGACGACCATCTATCTCCTTCTCGGGGCACCTCACCTGGCTGCTCCTCTTCCTCTCACTCAGCTCCTCTGAGTGCGTCCTCCCGGCCAACATGGACTGTGACTGGCACCCAGTCATCTGCCACCTGCTGCACTACCCAGCCCATCATGGACTCCATGCAGCTGGCTCTGCCTGCACCTGGCCATCAGCGCCCAGCTCAGCAGCTTCCCAGCCTCCTTTGTGTCCACGGCTCTCAACTCCAGCCTGAGGCTCCGCAGCCCCGATGTCCTCAACCACTTCTGTGATATCCCACCCCCGCTAGGGCTCTCTTGCTCCAGCACCACTACCATAGAAATGCGGACTCAGGCAGCCCAGGTGATCCTTGCGGCTTCCCTGCAGGCAACCACGGTCTCCTACACCCACATCCTGGCCAGATCGCTGAGGATTCCAGAAAGGCCCAGCAGCTAAAGGCCTTCCCCACCTATGCCTCCCACCTGGGGTGGCGGCTCCTCTAACCTCATCAAGCTGGTGTCAGGGGTCTACTTGGTTGGGATCCCTCTGCTCAAACCCATCATCTACTGCCTGGGAACTGCAACATCAGGGAGGCCCTGGCCAAACTCCTCCAGGCCCTTCCCCTTTAGAGCTGCAGGAGGGAGAGCTGCCCAATCCCTCTTCCTCCTTCCCTGTGCTCACAGACACTGGTGACCACCCAAGGCAGCCATAGCCCTCTCCCACCAGGGCAGTCAGCAAGTCCTGCCCTCGCCCATATCACCCAGAGTTGCCAAGAGCACAGAGTGGCCACAGGCAAGCATCTCCTTGAGCAGTGGAGGGGCAGAGATGCCAGACCTGGGCCTCAGCACTGCCAGGACAGCTCCTTGCCACAGCAGCTAGGAGCCTCCAGCCCAGGAGAAGCTGGGCCTGGAGCTCACAAGAAGCCCCCTCTCACGGCCTCTCCCCTGACCCTCTCGGATGAACAGCTGCTATGGAGGCCAGCCACTCTGCCCAGTCCTGCAGGCCCAGAGGGATGGTCTCCTTGCCATGAGGTCCCAGCTCCTCAGAGCAGAGCCTGAGGCCAGGTGAGCAAAGGGCTCTGACACATCCAGGCAGCACCACCAAACACACAGGTGTCCCCTTTCCTCAGAAACAGGAATGTCATTTTGTGTCCTTTTATTGAAAACTCCATGGGTCTAATGAATAGACAATGTGCCCTTACCTGGTTTCTCTGCCTTTTCTCTCTGGTGCTTGAGGGCAGAAACTAAGTTGACCAAGCACGTCTCTTCCTATTGGGCTGCGGCACCTGGTTGTGGGGAGGTATCTCTCACTTGATTTCACGGTTTTTCCATGCCCTAATCCCACCTCCCTCATCACAGCCACCCAGTGTGATGCATTCAGCATGTGTCCTTGGAGAGAGAGGTACTCAACAGATGTGTGGTGTTGTGTGTGAGTTTTAAATTTATGTCAATGAGTTTTCACTCTAAATCTTTCTTACTATTTTTGTTTTGTATATTGTGAGCTTATGTCATGAAGTGCATACAGATTTAGAAATGTTTTATCATCTTGGTAAATTTACCTTTCATCACTAAGAGGCATTACTCTTTGTCCCTAGTAGTGCTTTTACCTCAACCTTTGGGTCATAAAGTCTACTTTGTCTGGCATTAATATAGCTACACTGGCTTCTTTTTAGTATTTGCATGGTAACTTTTTTATCTATGCCAATTATTAATCTGCTGCCTCTTAGCTTCTAACCACCCTTCACAGTCAGCTCTGTGATGCTGGGACAGGGACTTGACAAACTGCATTTCTGCTTTGTCACCCACTGCCTCTTTCTGTTGAGAAGCCAGCTGCCAGTCTTACTTTTACTCTTTTGCAGGTAATTTGAGTTTCCCCTGCTTCTGGAAGTTGTTTGGTTTAAAGCTGTCTTACCTAGGTATGCTTTTTTTTGTATTTATTGCACTTGGAGTTTGTAATGCCTCTAGAATTCATGATTTAATTTCTTTCATCAGTTTTTGGAACTGATTGGTGATTATTTCCTTAAATATTACACCTACCTCATTATCTTCTTCCATTGCTTCTATTACATGGCATGTCAGGCCTTTTTATAGTGTACCCTCTGCCTCCTTTTTTTTTTTCTGGATATTTTGATCTTCCATGTTACTAATTCTCTCTCTAGCCATGTCTAATCTTCTGTGTTTTAAAATGTATTTTTTGATTCTAGACTTTCCTTTTTGTCCTTTTAGTTTCCCAGTCTCTTCCAAAATTCTCAATCTTCTTTTATTCCTGTAGACATGGACAGGTTCCTACATGAGCTTCTTAATGGTATCCTTGTTCTCGTGTTGGTCTCTGTCTAATCCTTGCAAAGACTTGGTTGTTTTATTACTATGGCTTTCTACAACGTCTTAATATGACATGGTGAGTTACTCTTCTTTGATCTTCTTTTTCAAAATTATTTTATTAATAGCTATTTTAGGCATTTATTTTTCCATATAGACTTTAGAAACTTTTGGGTTCTGTGCTATTTTGTTACTATCATAACAAAGTGCCACAGACAGGGTGGCTTAAACAACAAAAATTTGTTTTCTCACAGTTTGGCAGGGTTGGTTTCTTCTGCATCCTCTCTTCTTGGCTTGTAGACACCATCTTCTCCCTATGTCTTCACAGAGCCATCCCACAGTGGGTGTCTGGGTCCTGAGTTCCTCTTGTTAACGACATCAAGCTCACCTCACCTCATTTAACCTTAGTCACCTCTTTAAGGTCCTATTTCCAAATGCACCCACCCCTGCAGTATTAGGGGTTGGGAATTCAATGCATGAATTTGAGGGAGACACTGTTCAGTTCATAACAGTCTTTTAAAAATTATGCAAAGATTTTTATTGTAATTTCATTAAATTTATGGATCAATTTGTGGCAAACGGTCACCTTCACAATATCCTGTGCATCCTCCATTTATGCAGATTTTCTTTTATATTCTTTAATAACTTTTTGATGTTCTCCACAGAGGTCTTTTACATTGCGGACTGTGGTGAATGGCTTTTTTTTTTTTTTTTTTTTTTGGAGAAGGAGTCTTGCTCTGTCACCCAGGCTGGAGTGCAGTGGCGCAATCTCAATCTCAGCTCACTGCAACCTCCACCTCCTGGGTTCAAGTGATTCTCGTGCCTCAGCCTCCCGTGTAGCTGGGATTACAGGCATGTACCACCATGACTAGCTAATTTTTGTAATTTTAGTAGAGACGGGGTTTCACCATTTTGACCAGTCTGGTCTCGAACTCCTGGCCTCAGGTGATCTGCCCGACTCGGCCTCCCAAAGTGCTAGGATTACAGGCATGAGCCATCGTGCCAGACTATGAATGGCTTTTTATCTTATATTTTTTAAAGCTATTTTTTGTTCTGGTAGAGAAATTCTACCATCTTTTAAATCTAAGGTATACATCTGGCTGCAAGTCTAGGGAGTACCTGCTTAATACAGGGATGAGATGTGAGACACCCAGCAGTGCAGAGTGGCAGAGCAGCACCGCCGTGTGCCGGGGACAACCCCACCCTCCACCCGCCTAGCCGCTGACCCAGCATCCTGGGGTCTTCCGATGTCAGGAGCCACCCTCGGCACCAAGTCCCACTCCCAGCAGGAAAAAGGGGGAAAGGACAATAGCACACAGGTTCTACGCAGCCCCTCTCCTTAGCGGGGACGGAGGCTCTCCCAGGAGCCCCCGACACCCTCAGTTGCAGGTTTCACCAGCTATGCCTATGTCCTGTGGCCTCTGCCAGCTGCAGCACTTGTGGTGGAATCAGGTCTCAGGGCTACAGCTGCAGGAGCCACCCCACCTTCCATGGTACAATCAGGTCTCAGGGCTGCAGCTTCAGGAGCCACCGTGCCTTCAACGTGCTGTGTTCTTCTTGGTGGCAGCTCTGCCAATGCTGTGTTAAACAGAAGCGGTGAAAGTAGGCAATCTTCTCATTGGTTCGTATTTTTAAAAATACATTTAAAAGCTCTCCACTACGTATGTCTTCTGAGATTAGCCTTTATCAAAGAAAACATTTCACTTCTATGATGAGTTTTCTCAACATGTTTCACCACAAACGAATGTTGATTGAAATCAAATGCTTTGTCTTTCTCTGTAGAAAACCGTATTTTTTGCCTTTGGTCCACTAATAGGTAAAGCACACTGACATATGTTATGACATAAAACCACCCTGAACCTGACCTGATCATGGTGATTTGCTTTCTGATGTGCCGCTGGACTCATTGTGCTGCTGCTTTATCTAAAACTTTCATGTCTCTACTCAAACATAAAACAGCCTAAATGTTTCTCTTGCGCTTCTCTTATACACCCTAAGATACATCCTATACATCTTAAGATAGAAGGCTTCTGGAATCATAAAATCAGCTGGAGCACCGCCTCCCCCTTCCTTTTCCCATTCTGTGTTCTCGGCCTTGGAACAACTGTTAGATGTTAGAGCCCAAAATGGATCCCCTGGGTCTATCCCCTTTTCTTTCATATTTGCTGCCTTTTTGCCAGAAACATTTCCTTAAATATACAATTCCATCCTTCTGTTGTTTTTTTTTTTTTTTTTTGCAGTAATTTTTTAATCTCAAAAGTGTCTTTTTTGTCTTATTTCATCTTCACAGTTTCCTGTTCTTATTATATAAATATATCTCCCTAATCTGAGTCTATGGATTGGAGTTTTATCCAATCCATTCATTCCAATGATTGGAATGATTGGAGTCATTCACATTTCTCAATCCATTTATTTTCCGTTTCTTTGCCTGGTCTTTCTTTTATGTGATGCAGCTCTCCTTGAATGTCTGATACATTTTCATCCTTTAAAATGAAGCCGATGGGTGACAGGAAGACGTGCTTCCATGAAAGGCAGTGTTTCACTCCGGAACCTCAGCTCCCGCACGCTGGATCCAGATCCACAGCATCCCCAGGACCTCTTCTCCCCTCTGGGTCCTGCCCCCATCTCACTGGCTCCCATCTCAGATTCCCTGTGAGGCTCCACGCTTGGCTTCACATGCAAAGTCTAGGGGTGAGGGGCCCCTCCCAGCCTCTCAGCTGGCAGTCCTGGGCCTGTGCTGGGAAACATGCCCTCCCCGCCCGCAGCCGGAGGAGCCGCATGGCTGTCTTGAGTGGAGGTCACACATCCCCTCCCAGGGCCAGGGGAGGGAACGGTCACAGATGTTCCTCATGAGCCAAAAATAAGCAAGGTCTGGCTGCGGTGCTGTCCACTGCCGGCTCCAGCACCAGGGGTTGCCCAAGAACCCCCTTGACTCCTTGGGGTAAGCAGCTCACTGCTGGCTGTCCTGTGTGTGATGGGGAAGGGGGACTCAACCCGAGTGTGCAGACCTATGATGACCCCCGCTCCCACCTCCACGTCCCATGGCCACGGCCCCTCCCTTCCAAGCTCCTTCTGCCTGATGGGCAGCACCCCCTCCCGTCTGGAGTCTGCCGGGGCCCTTCCTGCTCTCCTTGTTAATTTATTTTCTGTCTTGGAGGGAAGCTGGGTGCACCTGCTCAGGTGGCCCCCTAGGGCCAGAAGACCTGTCAGTCACTTTCAAATACATGTTCTTTCCAGCTCTTCCTTGCCAAAGGTTCTAAAAACACTGTTGTCCGTCTCACCCAAAAAGCTAAGCTTCTGTCCAATCCTTAACGGTAGCTATAAATGAGAAGCATAAGCTTGGTTTCCTTCTAACATCCGGCAAGTTAGAAGATAAAACGTATTTCTTCACTTATTCATCACATATTTGCAGGGCACCCCTACACGGGACAGCAGAGGTCCCAGGCCGGTGCTGCACCCGGAGCCAGGCTCGGAGCTGGCCGCGCGCCCTCAGCTGAAACTCACCGGAGGCGCGGCCGCCCTGGGCTGAGAAGACGCCGTCGGCCCAGGTGGCATCAGAACCCACAGGAGGAAGACAGCCAGCCCAGAAGGAGCCATGGGGGGCCTCTGGGGATCGCAAGGGTCGACCCCATCCTCCCTGAAACAAGGCCGGAGGTTGAGGAGGTCTCCGCCCGGCCCCGCAGCTGACAACCGGTGGAGAAACCGCACCTGCCACGGGAGGGGCCGCGGGGTGGGCTCGAGCCACCATGGGGCTGGTACAAGCACCCTCTCCGCTCAGGACCTCGGCCCTCATCCCAGGGCACCAGGGCTCACAGGGGGATGGGCCCGGGTGGGGACGAGGGTGTGGAGGGGCAGGAAGCACGGCGGGTGGAGCGGAGCCGGGTGCGGGGGTCGCGGGGGACCGCGGGGACGGGGCCTTGTGATGCAGGAGACGGAGGGGGCTGGTGACGGAGGACGGGAGGCCGCAAGGATGGGGGACGCGACATCCTTTTCCCCTCCCACCGGCTCACCAGGGATGCGCCTCCGCGACTGCCCGCCCCAATCCCAGGGCGGAGGCCTCGCGCAAAACCCAGGCGCCGCGGCTCCGCGCTCCGGCTGAGGGTCCGCGCCGCCGCCCGCCCGCTCCTTCCCGCTCGGCCGCGGCCTCAGGGACGGATACTCCAGCGCGCGGTTCCAACCGAGGCCCGTGGCGGGTAAGGCCGGGAGGCTGGGGCGGGTACGGGGCCGGGAGCGAGGGGCGGCGCGGGGAGGGGATGCAGCTGTCGCCCGCACAGCCGTGTCTGGACGCGGCCCCGCAACTCGACCCCGTCCCGCCCCCAGCCAGCTGCTGAACTAGGCGGCCGGGGACGGCATTGAGCGCTGGGCGCGCGCGGGAGGGACTGTCCCTGGGGCACGGGTCTGCTGGGGCGGAGTCCGCACGGTGTCAGCAGCCGCTTGTCCTCCGCAGCATCCGCAAGGCCCGCACCCAGGCTTTGGCCCCAAAGGTGGGGACCAGGCCCAGGCACGGCCCGTCCCCGTTCCAGACCCTGATCTGAGCCAGCTCTTGGTCCCGGCTACCGCGTCCTCCAAACACAACGCCCCTCCCCCCATGCCGCCTCCCCCCGCCCCCCACATCCCAGCAACGCGTGCAGAGCTCCCTCCCCCAGGCTTGCTCCCCCGCCCGGGCCTGGACGCCCCCAGAGGCCTGAACGCTCCTGCCCCGCTTCTACACCCCCAATCCAGGTGCACAACCTTCAGGTGCAGAACCCTCCTGCCCCTCCTGCCCCACCTGCCACTTCCCAGCGCCTCCCCCAGGCCTAAGTCCCTGATGCTAGAGGTTAAACCGCGCCCCCCCAGGCCTCAGTGGGCCTCCAAGATGCTGGGGGCACCCTGATCCCACAAAAGATGGGGGTCCCTCTGCTCTCCAGCCTTGAGCCCTCCGCCTCTGGGCACCCGATCTCCATGGAAACTAAGGGCCCTTTCCCTCTCTTCCCGCAGGTTTAGCCCCATGAAGATGAACTGGGCACCCGCGAATGGCTGGGCTCTGCTACAGGAGGCAGCCTTCCTCTGCGTGCGGCCGCGGAGGGCTCCGCGGGGGCTCGAGAGGGGCCTCGAGGGTGTGTGTGAGGCCGGCGCTGTGCTATGGTGCCCCGGGCTCCTCCCTGCGCGTGGCTGCGGCCGGGGCGGCGGGCTCAGGCTGGAGAAGGGCCGCGGGACCCGGGGAACGCGGCCTGGAGGACGAGGAGGACTGGGTTCCCGGAGGCAACAGGACCGGCTCGGCATCTACAGCTACTGTACGTGGACTTCGGGCGCTGGACCCACGGGCGGCCTGTGCCTCTGTGTCGGGCTGGGTGGCGCCCTCAGTGCCCTGGGGCTGCTGCGGCCCTAGGCCTGGCTGGGCTCGGTGACCACATCTGGCCCCCGGGCCGCACCGTCCCCCAGGATCCTCCGGCCTGGGCTCCCCCTTCCTCCCTTGCCCACAGTCTTGGAGCCCCAGTGGGTGCAGGAGCTGCTGGCTGCCCCTGTGGACCCGCCATCCACCGTCCTGCCCATGCTGCCTCGCCATCCACCTGCCTGCCCACGCCGCCTCAGCCTCCCACCTCCCACCTAGAGGAGACCATGGGCCCTGCCCCACCTGCTCCAGGATGTTAGGGTCCCCTCAGCCAAAAAGGCAGTGGCCTGTGGCTCCTGTACCAACAGCCCAGCCACACTCCAGAGCCGCCCAAAGGGAGGTGCCAAGGCCAGGAACCCAAGCCACCCCAGCTCCCCATGCCTGCCCAGGGGCCGTGGTAACCCATGGACAGGGAGGTGACCTCAGGCTGGTTCTGCCACTGAGGCCCTGAGGAATCAGGCCCTCCCCAAAAGAAGTAATGAAATGGACCAAAGGACTTAAGAATTTGGGGGGAAGTAAGGGGAAAACGTTAGGTGCTAACCACCTGCCCAGAAGAGTGGATCTCACAGCCCAGGAACATTCCCAAGCAGGAAAACCATCCGTCCAGGAACCCTAACCCTAAAACTAAGCACAACCCCTACCCCTAACCCCTGACCCTAACGCTGACCCTTAACCATAACCCTTAACCCTAACCACTAACGCAAAACACTAACCCTTAACCCTAACCCCTAACACCTAACCCCCACCTCAAGCACTAAACCCTAAGCCTAAACCTTAACCCTAACTGCTAACACTAACCCATAACCCTAAGCCCTAGCCCCAACCCTAAACTTGACCCTGAACCCAAGCCTCCAACCCAACCCCGACACAAACCCCTAACCCTAACCCCTAATTCTAGCCCTAATCCCTAAATCCAACACCAACCCTTGACCGGACCCCTGACCCCTAACCCTAACCTCAACTCATAACCTCAACCCCTACTCCTACACCTAACCCCTACCCTAATGCTAGCCATAAACCTAACACCCAAACCCAAACTCGAACCTATGCCTACCCCTAAAACCCTAGCCCGAACCGTAACCACAAATCCTAACACACAACGCTACCCCTAAACCTACCACTACCCCACCCCAAACCCTGACACCGAACCCTGAAGCTAACCCTAACAACACTAAGCCTAACCTGCAACCCTTAACCCAACTGTAACTCCTAATGCTAACCCTAACCCTAACCCTAACAACACTAAGCCTAACCCCTAACCCTTAACCCAACTGTAACTCCTAATGCTAACCCTAACCCTTAACTCTAACCCCTTACCCTAAACTGTAACCCCTAACCCTAATCCCAACCCCAACACGTAACCCTAACCCCTATCCCCTACCCTAAAACCCTAACCCTTACAAACCTTAGCCAAATCCCAAACCCTAACCCCCACCCCTGACCCTAATCCCCTAGCCCCCAAACCCTAACCCCAATACCCTAACCCCAACACTAAAACCCTGACCCTAACCGTAAAACCCTACCCCTACCCCGACCCTAGCCCAACCCTAACCCTACCCCAATCCTTCCCCTACCCCTAACACTAACCCCAAACCCTAATTCTAACCCCACTCCTAACCCCAAAACTAACTTCTAACCCCTAAACCCTAACCCCAACCCCAACTCTAACCTTAATCCCTAGCTCTAATCTGTAGCCCTAACCCTAAACCCTAAGGTAACCTTTTATAGGTTAGGATTCGAGGCTTCGTATTTAGGACAGGCAGGTGTTCTGATGTCTCCCACTCACCTGCACGGTAAAGTTCTTCCCCTGGCTCTTCACAACCAGTCGCGATGCATCGCGGCCTCCCCTGGCCGGTGAAGGGCTGGGTTCTCCCGAAAGCCTCTGCTCCTCCTCCCTCCTCCCAGGGCCCTCCGGGCCTCCACGGTGGCCCCAGCGCGGCAGGGACCGTGCAGAAGGGACCGTGGGCTTGTGGCCGGCCTCGGCCACTGTGGGCATGGAGCTCACGGGAACGCGGCCTAGGGGCAGGCTACGCTCCTCTGCGCGCGCAGGAACAGCGGGCCCAGCGGGGGCTGCCGCAGATTTCACTCGCTGGGGCCCGTGCACTCCCGCGGCGGTGTGGTCCCGCAGAGCCGCAACCTCATGAGGCTGCCAGGGCCACAGCGCCTTGTGGAGTCGTCATCCGTCAGACACGCACACTTCACAGGAAGCTTCGGCGCTACACATGCGTACTGCTCGTTGGTGGGGAGGGCCTCCAGAACCAGGGCCGGTCCCCTCGGAAGCCAGCGCACATGCGCGGGGGCACCCGGCAGCGGGCCAATCGCAAGCCTGGACGGCCGCACGTGGCCCTGGCGGGCTTCCCGCCGCGTTTGTAGCCCTCGCGCCTTTACGCATGCGCACTAGTGCCACGCAGGCCTGCCGGAGAATTACCTCACATCTCCAGGCGCGCGCAGGAGTGCATTGCGCAGGCGCGCTGCCTGGAGTCCTGCCCCCAGCGGCGGTTGCTCCAATCACCACTGGAGGCTCCCTCCCGAGGCACCCTCGCTGGCGAGCTGAGAGGAAATGGCGGGGAGGTCCCTGACATCGAAGGCCGAGCCCACCGCAGGAGCCGTGGACAGGGCTGAGAAGGCCGGAGGTAGTGGTGGGAGGCAGGGAACTGTGCGTGAGGGTCTGACCTCGCCGAGGCGGGGCAGGGTTGGGGCGCGGGTGGCGGCTGCTTCTTCCTGTCAGTCCTGATGCTGCTGATTGAGACTTAGCGGGTTTCTTCAGAAAAATTTCGGCCAAGATGAGGGAGTGCTTGCCCGCACACCCCCCACTTTGTCTTAAAGCATTGAACTGTTATCATAGTTGCTCCAATTTTGGTTTAGGTAATTAGTCAAAAGACATCCCTTCCCGTTGTCCCACAGACTTTACATACACACCTCTTAAAACAAAAAGGATATTTTCCTGACGCTCCCAATCCCAAGGGAATTCCTAATTCCACCTTCCTCTCCCTAGAACCAGCAAGTGTCCAGATTTCCCAGTCGCACTAAACTGGTTCTTGACAGTGGGGCCCCCCACCCAGCATCCCGACGCCCCGGGGAGCCGGGGGAGGCCGACTCCACGCAGATCCCCCGTTTGTTTCTCCCTGACCCCGACCTGCCATAGTGGCTCCTACCTCACCCTGGGAAGGGAGGGGACAGGCAGCTGGTCAGAGTTGTACAGAAGTCCAGAAATTGCAGCCCAACAAAGAGAAAGGACACTGTCCTGGCCGTTTCCACTTCAGGACACTGTGTGCCTCTGGGTGTTCTGTGAGGATTTTCAAACTTACAGAAAAGTGGAGAGAATTGTACGGTGACGTCCCTCCTGCTGTCACTCAGCTTGTCATTCTGTCCTGAGATCATCTGTCCCCCTTGAGTTAAAACTCTGCAATTAACAAACGTCGGTGGCTGCCTCCAGCCCTACCTGCGTGAATGCCATGGCAGGTGCTCTGTCATGTTCTTACAAAATGAAGGTTTGAATACTGAAACAAGCTTAGCACAGAAAGCATCCCTACAGTGAGATGTGGCACAGTGAAAGCCCCAGCGAAGGACAAAGCAAGTAAACAGGACAGACGCAAACGTATCCCTTTCATTAAGCACCTGCTGGCCCGCCGGTGTGCTAGCCTTTCAGTATCATGGCTCCATGTTCCTCACATAACCTAGTATATTTAGGTAAGTTTTAACCAATGTCGCTTGTGCCTTAGTTCAAACTGCTACAACAGAAATGCCTTATTTCTCACAGTTTTCGAGGCTAGAAGTTCAAGATCAAGGTGCAATTCAGCGTCTGGTGGGGGCCTGCTTCCTGGCTATAGACTTCTGTCTTCTCATTGTGTCCTCATGTTGGGGAAGTTGCTGCAGACCTCTCTGGTCTTATAAGGGCACTAATCCCATTGCTGAGGGCCCTACTCTCATGACCTAATCACCTCCCAAAGGCCCCACCTCCTAATGCAGTCACACTAGGGGGTTAGGATTTCAACATACGAACTATGGATGGGGGCACAAACATTCTATAGTGACCAGCTACAGAAGAAATTTAAAGGACAAGATTCCAGTTTTAGTCTATCTGTTTTAAAAAGGAAGCAGGGATGTTATCTAGGGTCAGTGACACTAGATACATTTTAGTAAAAAGTCTATTAGTCTTCACCTAACTGGCTGCAGTTATTACTAGAAAGGGGAATGACTGGGGAAAGGGAATGTTGGTGTTTCAATTTTTTCTTCATACTTTTTCACACATGCCAATTACTTGAATAATTTAAAACTTAATGCAAAAATTTATGAGCAGTAATTTGTGTAAGATTTCAGGTGGGACCAAAATGAGGGGACTCCATAAACTCAAAAATAAGCATTTCACAAAATTTTATGCTTGATTTTTTTTTTTTTTTGAGACGAGATTGTGCTTTGTTGCCCAGGCTGGAGTGCAGTGGTACAATCACTGCTCACTGCAGCCTTGACCTCCTGGCCTCAAGAGATTCTCCCACCTCAGCCTCTTGAGTAGCTGGAATCACAGGTACATGTCACCATGCCCAGATAATTTTTTTAAATTTTTTATTTGTAGAGAGAGGGTCTTGCTGCATTGCTCAGGCTGCTCTTGAACTCCTATGCTTGAGCAGTCCTCCTGCCTCAGTCTCCCAAAAGTGCTGGGATTATGGATGTGAACCACTGAGCCTGGCCTTATGCATGTA
This sequence comes from Homo sapiens, assembly GCF_000001405.40. NCBI lineage: Eukaryota > Metazoa > Chordata > Mammalia > Primates > Hominidae > Homo > Homo sapiens. The sequence continues at coordinate 133,563,389 of NC_000010.11, read as the reverse complement.
TGCATGATTTTTAATGGCTGTAAATGATTTCATCCTGTGTATGTGCTATAATTTATTTAACAAATCCCCTAAGGCATATTTAGGCTTCTTCGAGTTTTTCACTATTATAAACAATACAGTGATGAACACCTTGCCCATTAGCCATATCCAGAATTACTTAGGACATAGTCTTAGAAAATAAGATGCACCCAAACTTTTGATATTTACTATCAGAAAGTTTGTAAGGAGACACCTTAATTTTGCATATCTGGTTGACAAAGATAAACACGTTTGGAAACATAGGTGATTGGTAAAAATGAAAAACTGGGCATCTTGTATACATCAGTGTAAGGTAATTTGGTATTGTCAATCAAAACTGTTACAAACTTTGGTCAGGTGCCTCTGAGCCTTCTCAACCGTGCCTCGGCCTTGGCCTTGGCCTGTGATATGGTTTGGATCTGTGTCCTCACCCAAATATGTTGAATTGTAATCCCCAATGTTGGAGTTGGGGCCTGGTGGGAGGTGGTTGGATCACAGGAGACCAATTTTATTTAGATAGTGACTACCTATCTTTTAACTGGATCTCTGAGCTCTGGGAAGAGGCCACACTGAATCCTGGGTCTGCAAAAAGGGAGAATTATTATGAGGCTCGACCACATGGATGCTTTTACAGTGTACTTAAAAAACATTAAAAAAATATTTCTAAGTGTCTAAAATATACTCTTCCTTAAAAATGCAGGAGTAGCTTCTGTTGCAATAATTAATAAACAAAAAAATCAGGTAACACAATACAAAAGCAAACAGTTTAGGAGCTGACATGAACTTGTGTGTTTACACTCTTGGGGATACACAAGGAAAAACAATTTTCTCCACAAAAGGGAGTCTGGTGCCTTCTCCATTTTCTTTAAGGAACCTCAGGCTATTATAAACTATTTTAGGTCCCTCATGCAGCAGAGCGTTCAAGGGAAAGGAGAGACAGCAGAACTATATGAAGAAAATAGCATTCAGTCAACTGAAAAGAAAAAAAACTTTTGCCCAAAAAACACAAGGTCCTAGGAGAGAGAAAAAAGAAAAATCATGAAGCCCTTTTAAATACACACACACACACACACACACACACACACACACACACACACACACACACACACATTGGATGTTAGCTTTTAATTAAGATGACTTTTAACCATTTGAGTTTCTTTTTAAAAAATTTTTAAGATCTCATCAACATATTTCAGCTAGGACAAATATCTGCTATTTCAGAAGTACCAAGTATCAAACCAGAAAGGTCTTGATTTAGGAACCAAACCCAGGCTGTCATGGAAAAAAGAAGACAGAACCTTAGCTATGGAACTGCAGTTGGGGTGACAATCCTTTCTCTTTCAGTTTGGCCTGGCTAGCAAAAAGGTGGCCTTGTTATGTAAATAAATCCCCTTAAGTAGTCAAAATCAAAAATCTTCCCCCCCTTTTTTCCTTTTGCTGGCTGTTTTTTCTTCCCCCACCACCCCTTTTCTGGTGGGAATTTAGCCACTTCAGAGGCCTTGTTCCACATAATTTGGAACTTTCCTTTGGATTTGATCAAGTCAGAATTGGCCAAACCCAATAGGAAAAGGACCAAAACAACAAAAACAGAAAGAAACAACAACAAAAAAAAATACCAGTTAAGCAAAACAAACAAATGATCACACAACTTGTATGGTTACTGGACACTCTAATGATAAGGAAAAATTAAGACCAGCTGGTTGTTAATTTTACCTTTAGCCAAGACAAACCCCAATTCAGTTACTTACCTAGGGATGGGTCTTAGGCTGAAGACTGCTCTCTATCATCTTAGAAGCAGGAAAAAAACCCTCAAACTTGTCTTCCCTGTTGGGAGCGAGTTCAAACTCCAGAAAGGAACTTTCATGGAAGCAGGAAAACTTGCCTTCCTTGTTGGAAGCAAGAAAAACTCCAAAAAAAGAGTAGAGTTGTTTAGAAAAATAAACTTTGGATCTGGAGCGAATTTTGGGAAATGAGGGATTCCCTGGATGGGGGACTTCCAGAACTCAGCAACTTGTCATATTAGTTTGAACCATAAAGATAGCTCAAGCTGCTAGCAAGCACTGATAGGATATTTGTCAAAGGTCAGGGGCACCTCTACTCAGAATCCCTTTGTGGTTGCCAAAATGTGAAACCCAAAAATCTGAGACAGGTCTCAGTCAATTTAGGAAGTTTATTTTACCAAAGTTAGGGATGCATGCCTGTGACACGGCCTCAGGAGGTCCTGATGACCTGTGCCCAGGGTGGCAGGGTGGTCAGAGCACAGGTTGGTTTTATGCTTTTTAGGGAGACATGAGACACAAATCAACATATGTAAGATGAACATTGGTTCGATCTGGAAAGGTGGGACAACTCAAAGCAATGATGAGACAACTTGAAGCAGGGGGGTTTGCTTCAAGGTCATAAGTAGATAAAAGACAAATGGTTGTATTCTTTTGAGTTTCCGATTAGCCTTTCCAAAGGAGGCAATCAGATATGCATTTATCTGAGTAAGAAGAAGGATGACTGAATTATTTTCAGATATTTATTTTACAAAATCAGATATGCATTTATCTCAGTGAGCAGAGGGATGACTTTGAATTGATTTATTTTCAAAGATTTATTTATAAAAAGATTTATTTTCCTTTCACAATGTTAATGCCATAAATAGTAATTTCTTAGATCTACTAATTTTAGTGTTAAAAATAGGTTCCAATAGTGATTATAAAAAATTAACATGAAATATTTTATGGGGAAATTTCAGGGTTAGTATTGGTTGTATGTAGGAAAGCTTGTTTGTATTTATATATGTTTTTAACCTAACATCTTAATGCATTTTGTTACTAATCCTTATGGTTTTGTAGAAAACTCTCTAAGAACTTCCTAGATTATGTCATCTGCCAGTTACAGTGATTTTTGACTCCTTGCTCCAGTTTTTTATACCCTCATTTTTTTTCTTGAATTATATCAGGAGCTTTGATCTTACTTTGAACAGCCTCAGCAGTGAGAGTGCACCCCTGCCCTCACCCAGAGTTTTACAAAGAGGATATCTGGTATAATTTTACCTTATAGGGAAAAGCTGACCATGGAGGAGCCCGATTCATCTAGTGTACTGTCCACCTCAGGACAAGAAGAAGGGGCACCACTCTGGCTGGAGACCTGCCCTCAGCCTGCCTCAGTCTCAGCCCAGGGGTGGCCTCTCGCCCTGCTTGATTCTGAAATGTTTGGTTTTGTCTCCACAGGGCAGGACACGTCCTCACAGAAAATTGAAGACTTGATGGAAATGGTGCAAAAGCTGCAGAAAGGTCGTGTGTCTCCTTTGTGTGAGGCACAGCCTGAGGTTTGGGGCCAGGCAGATGTGGGTTTAATTTCAGGCCCCACAATGTACGAATTTGGGAAATAATCCTCTTCACCTTCTCTTTCTTTTAAAACTTAATTACTTAAACTAAAAATAGGGCCCCATGTTTCAAAATTAAAGAAGCAAAAGGGTATAGAAGGCAAAATGTTTTCCCAAAACCCTGTCCCAAACCTCTCGCTGGTCACCCATCTGGCTCCACTGCAGTCCATTAGATCCAGAAGTTGCCGCCTTCACTTCCCTTCCTTCCCCCTCACCCGCTACTCCCTCTTTGCTCGCTAGGCTCCTGCCAGCCATGTTCCCACCTCATGATGGGTCTTTGCACTGACTACCTCCCAACCCCACCCAAATTGCTGCAGGGCCTGCCCCCCACCACTTGATTTGGGGCCCTCAGGTCCCTTCCCATATCTCAGGAGCACTTCCCACTCCTTTGCTCTTTAGCCTCCCTTGGCCTACTTCATTTCTCTTGAACACGGTTACCGCAGCCCCATTCGGTATCTTATTGTGTCTGTTCCCAGTCTTGCCCACCCAGAACGTGAGCCCCGTGAGGGCCCCACAGAGCACCTGCTTGCAGGAGGTACTCAATAGATCTGTGTTGCGTGAAAGCAGCAGAGACACAAGGCTGGCAACCGCCCCAACTCTGCCTGCCCTGTCAACTCAACCTCCTTTCCTCCGTGCAGTGGGAAGCCTAGAGCCCCGAGTTGAGGTCCTGATTAACCGGATTAATGAGGTCCAGCAAGGTGAGTTCAGGGGCCTTGGCTGCCAGCTAGGACCAGCTGCATGGTTTGCGGGGCTCAGTGCCAAGTGAGAATGCAGGGTCCCTTGTTCCAAAGTTACTGGTTATTCACAACAGCAACAGCAGAGCCTTAAATTAAGTACAGGGCATTTCAGCATGCGACTGCCATAGTTACATGCCCATGATCCTGGCCCTGCTATCAGCAGAGCCTGGCAAGGAGAGCTGGAAGCCTCGTTTCCTACTCTATAAAATCTAGGCCACTATAGATTTACCTGAAGGCAAATGAGAAATGTCACTGTTGGGAAGAGAATAGAGGCTGCACTCACACAATGTTTTTCTGCTCTTTGGTGAAGCAAAAAAGAAAGCCAATAAAGACCTAGGAGAGGCCCGGACCATCTGTGAGGCCCTGCAGAAGGAACTGGACTCGCGTAAGAGAGCCGGGGGTCACCCAGAGGTCCCCACAGTGTCTTAAGCCTCCCCTAACCCTGTATTCCAGATAATCAGCATCCTTGCCATGGCCAAGGGTCCTGTACCCTCTCTAGCCTCATGTCCTGCCAATCTCCCCCTCTCCTCTCTGCTTGTGGGAGTGTTCAGGAAACACCCTCCAACCTCATTCCCACCTCAGGGCTTTTGCCAGACGCTGTCTGTGCTTCCTCAGATAATACAGGTTCCTCTTTCCTCACATCATCAGCTCTAAGTTAGAATGTCCCCAGACAGGATGACTGGCATTCCCCAATCATCCCATTTAAAGATGGCACCCTGCCTCCATCTGGTCACATGCCCCATCCTATTTGATGTGTTTCTTTATAGCCCTTATCCCACTTCGTGGGTGTTGGTATTTTTTCTCTCCTCCCCATGTAAAAGCACGAGCATCCTCCAGGGCCCTCACAGCCACCCTCTGTAAATGTGAAGGCCCTTTGGTGCTTACAAGGAATGTGGGCACCAGAGGGTAGGGAGGGGCTCACCTCAAGGGTTCACATTTGGGTTGGGGCCAAGGCTGTGCCCAGCTTCCCATGTGACCGTGAGCAAGCCCCATCCCTGAGGGTGCAGTGCATAGTCCCTGATGCCAAAATGTGTCACTGTTTTCTAGTGCATGGAGAGAAAGTACACCTGAAGGAGATCTTGAGCAAAAAACAAGGTATTTGCCGCTCCCCTGTCTCCAGGCTTGTGCCTTTGCCAACCCACAGAAGCCCACTCTCCCTATGGCAGCTGAAGCCTTTTGAAACCTGTCCCAGCTTGCCTCTCTCCTGTGGCTTCCACCAGACATGTAGTAAATGTTAAAGCTCAATCAGGTGTCCACAGACCTGACATGATCTGGCTGTGTTCCCCCTGCCAAAACCCAATACCTTGACAGGTTCTCATAGGGCCCTGTTGCTCTCCCTACAGAGACCCTGAGGATCCTCCGGCTGCATTGCCAGGAAAAGGAAAGTGAGGCACACAGGTAAGAGCTTCCAGCTGAGCCTAACTCTGCACTACCTCTTTATTCTGGTAGAGCAGAAAGAGGCAGGAAGATGAATCTGAGACCCACAGCTCTCATTGTTTCCCTCTAAACAATGGAGAGTCCAAAGAATGTCTTTCCCCTTCGGCTCCAACAGCTGGCAGTAGTGTTAAGGGAAACTCTCTCAATGGCAAGACATTCATTTGCTAAATTGTCAATTAAATTTCTTCAGCTGGTTTTTATTTTTTGCCTTTTACTCTTTGTCATACTCCTTGGATGTCTATTCACTCATCTGTCTGTTCATTTAGGCATTGAGCCAACCATTTGTCCATTCTCTCTCCATTCATCCATTATCTTTTCATCCACCCATCGATTTGTCCATCCATTTCTCCACCTCCTGATTTAGCTCATTTGTTACCAGAGGCCCCAGGCCCTGGCACACTGAGATTTCAGCTCTTTGGGAAAACGAGATGATACTAAGATGTGTGTGCATTTGCTCACTTAACCATGTCCACATTAATCTCTCTTAACCTGACAACAATACTTCCAGGGGGCAAATGGTCATGTCACTCCCTACTTACCACATGTTACAGAGAAGGACCTTAATGTAGAGGGAAAAAATAGCCTCAATAGAGGGAGGCAGAAGCCCCAGCCCAGTGCCCTCCTGGGGCTTAAGAGAACATGGCTGAGGGCTGCCTCGCCTCTCCCAGGAAGCACACCATGTTGCAGGAGTGCAAGGAGAGAATTTCTGCCCTGAACTTGCAGATTGAAGAAGAGAAGAACAAACAGAGACAGCTGAGGTAAACCTTAGCATCTGAGGCAGGGGGTTTGGATGGCCAGTAGTTGGGATATAATGTCAAAGATGGGGGTTAGAAAAGCTGGCTACACTGAGCCATGGAGATTCAAGGTGGTGAAGATGTTCCCAGTGGAGCAGAGACCATGGGCAAAGCACCCCAAAATCTGCCTGAAGAACCACAGACTTGGACAGGCTGTGAAGGTGGTGATTTCAGCCCATATCCCCTCATGCCTGTGGTTGGTTCCCAGGTTGGCATTCGAGGAACAGCTGGAAGATCTGATGGGCCAGCACAAGGACCTCTGGGACTTCCACGTGAGTCCCTCAAAGCCACTCCTCCCCCTTCCACATCTTCCCTAGCAGCACCAGGCCCAAACGGTCACTTCTTCCTCTCACCTGCCACAACCAGTCGCCAAGCAAGCCCTGGTGGTGCTAAGATCGACATTGCCTGAATCCAGTCCCTTGTCACCTCCTTGTGACCCTGCTGCTCAGTGGTCAGGGGGATCTCTGATGAGACCAAGGTCAAGTCTTCCATCACTGTCCGTGGATGTGTCTGGGACCATCACGGGCACAAAGGAGACAACGAGGATAAGCAGCCCGTGTTTGTCCCCCAGGAGGATCCTAGGCACTGAACAAGAAAATAGACAGTGAGTGTCAGGAAGGAAGGGCTCAGTGAGGAGGTCACACCAGGACAGAGGGGAGTGGGGAGGAGCTGCAGAGCTAAACCGGTACCTGATCCTCCAGAAAACAGCCAAGACTCACAGTGCTTGCAGGTTTATCTGTTGTAAATAACAATCCATGAGCATCCCCACTGCAGTACCGCAGAGATGTGGGATGACAGAAGTGCACAGGGAGGGAATGGCCAGTGCCATGGCCCTGAGGCTGTACTGTAGCTGGTGTGCACAGAGGGGCAGAGTTGTTGGAAGTGAGGCATAGTGAGTAAGTATGAAACAAGATCCAGATAGCCTTCTTTGAGGCATGGGGGAAAGCCAAGAGGAGTGGACAGGCCTCTTTTCTGCCCCTCAGATGCCAGAGCGGCTGGCAAAGGAGATTTGTGCCCTGGACAGCAGCAAGGAGCAGCTGCTCAAGGAAGGTGAGACCAGGGAAGGTGGATGGCCCATATCTGACCTCACGTGCCTTCATGTGCTCACCTGCCCCTTTGTGCTGCAGAGAAGCTGGTCAAGGCGACACTGGAAGACGTGAAGCATCAGCTGTGCTCCCTGTGTGGGGCTGAGGGCCCCTCCACCCTTGATGAGGGACTCTTTCTCCGCAGCCAGGAGGCTGCAGCCACAGTGTAAGATGTGGAGGGGAAGAGGGTGGGAGGAGGGAGTGGCCGGTGCTGACCACCCCCTACTGGGCCCCCCAGGCAGCTGTTTCAGGAAGAGCACAGGAAGGCTGAGGAGCTCCTAGCAGCTGCTGCCCAGCGCCACCAGCAGCTGCAGCAGAAGTGCCAACAACAGCAGCAGAAGCGGCAGAGGTGCGTGTGGAGGCCCTGTCCCCGCAACCCCCACCAGGAAGATGACTGATGTTGTATCTCCTCTCTCCACCTTCTGTCTCTCTGACTCTTGAAAACCTCTTGTCCCTCCTCCACCCTTTCCTCCTCTTCCTTCCCCCATCCTACCTCTTCCTGTCCAGGCTGAAGGAAGAGCTGGAAAAGCATGGAATGCAAGTCCCTGCCCAAGCCCAGAGCACACAAGAGGAAGAGGCTGGCCCAGGAGATGTGGTAAGCCCCAGAAGTGGGCGTCAGGGAACAGAAACAGCTACTGAAGGGACAGCGGAAGGGGCGGGAGGACAAGGGAGGGGGTCCTGGGACTCCTCAGAGGATGGTCTATGGGGAGGGCCTTTCCCATACTGGGTCCACCCAAGGTGGTGATGGGGCAGGAGGGGACCATGTGGCCATGGGGATGGGTGTAAATTCCCACCCTGGACACTAACCTCCTGCAGGCCAGTCCCAAGCCCCTAAAAGGAGAAAGACCTGGAGCTGCACACCAAGCAGGGCCTGATGTCCTCATAGGCCAGGAGGACACACTCCACCCCGACCTTAGCCCAAGGGGCTTTCAGGAAATAAAGGAGCTATTTTGATACAGCTAAGTCTACTGGTGAGGAGTAGGGGTCAGGCCCAAGATCCCCAGTCTCCTGTGACTGATTGAAGCCTTGGCTTGACTCTGCCTCTTGGTCTGGGCCAGAGGTACATCACAGGTTTTCAATAAATGCTTCCTTAACCTCCTGGTCTCTGGATTGCTCATCTCTGGTACCTGCCAGCTTCTTCTGGGTCCGCAGGCAGAGGGATGCAGGCCCGAGACGCTCTCACAGTGGGCCCAGGAGGTCTGGAACCCACCTGCATACACACATACACATACCTTGTGATTATTTCTTCAATTCCTTCATTACAGGTCTGGACTACACAGACTCCCTGAAATTAAAAAAAAAATTAAAAATGAGGATCAGTGAGCTGGGGTTCAAAATCAGTCGGTTCCATATGGTAGTCCCCACTGGTTAGCTGTGTAGTTTGTGCTCTCAAGAACACAAAATGTATAACTCAGGCACTTTTGGACAGGAAGAGGATAGAAATCCTCAGCTTGCAGGGAGTCAATCAACTAGGATGTAAGTCATGTGCATCTGATACATGTTTCAAATTCACTGAAATGCGTTGACCCAATCAAGACCAATGGTGGGAGTCAAAGTCTGCATCTCCTGAGTCAGAATGCATTGAAGTAATGACAAAGCGATCCCTTTTCTTGACAGGCTCCCAGACCAGGTAGACCAGTGACATGGTGGAGTTGAAGAGAGAGGCTCACTGCAGAGCACTGTTTCCATGGAAAAATGGAACATGGCAAAGTGCAGAAATTCTTCAGTCAGTCCAGGACAGACGAGTTCTCTAAGATGCAGTTAATCATACCTGTCTTAAACAAACTGGCAATATACTATCAAACATGACTTTTAAATCAAGTGGAAGTTAGAAAATATATTGAACTGAGTGGCAATGAAGACACCACATTTTAAAACTGTAATTCAGTTAAGCCCACAATTAGAAGGAACTTTAGCTTTTATTGGTTCACCACAATTTTTTAAGAAATCAACCAATGATTGTTCAGTTAATGAATAAAAGGCCTTTGACACAGTTCACCTATTCATGTGAAAAAAAAAGACTAATAAATAGTCAGCTTCCCTTAGATTTATTGGTGAGATGTTTGAAGAATTTCATGTTGGGAATAACTCAAGGATGTCTGCAATATTCAAATACTGTTCATTATACTGGAAGTTCTATACAGTGAAATAGTTAAGACAGATTTATGATTATATGCTTTGTGAATCAATCTACAGATAAATTTCAGAATGTCTAAATGAGTATAAAAGTTTGCTAAATACAGGTCAATATTTTAAAATCACCTTTATGTCTCAATGCTAGGGCACAGGACCCACAAAACACATCACTTAGGAATCTACGGTTGGTTGATAGAAAAGGATACAATAAACCAGTAACAAAATGATATGCATCAGATAAGGATAAGCATCTCAGCCAAAGGCTGCCTCAGTGAAGGGTCAGGAGAGGCTGGCACAAGCTCTATTTTTTTCTCTCTGCAGGATTCTGCCAGGATGTTCTTCCTCAGATAAGAAACCAGCTGTGTGTGTAGAATACCTCAGAACGGGAGAACTGTTCTGGTTCTCTACACTCTATTTGGAGCGTAGTGTAGGAGTATAGTGTAAGCTGGGCTTCTTATATACCCTGCTGATCATGTAGACATATTCTCACGGTTAACCAGCTCCCAACAGAAGATCCCCTCCTATGTTTTCACCAAGACCAGGTGGGAACTATTTAAACATCAGTTTTACTACTACCAATAGCAATGGTGATGAGATGGGACCAACCACACCCAAACTCAGCTTGGATTCACTTATTAATCTGTATTTTTGACACCTCAGTTAGGGGTCACTGCCATGCAGGTACATCTCATTCCAGCAAAAGAGCTCAGCCCATTGCATACCTGCTAGAACTAATAGCCAGCTACAAAAAGCAAAACTAAACTTTAAAATAAATGCAGTATTATAAAAATACCATGTACCAAGGAATTAATATAGTGACAGATGTATATTATTTCCCCAAAACAACTTTAGAGAAAATTTAAAAGATCTGAATAAATGGAGAGAAAGGTCATGTCCATTAATGGAAACTCATTACTGTAAAGATGTCCTTCCTGCCTAAGGACGTATAAGTCCATTATAATTTCAATAAAATTTTGCAGAAATCTGTATTCCAGACATACTCTTCCTTATGAAAGAGTAGTCCAAATTCTACTCGGTAGTCGGGATCAATCACCCCAGCGAGTAACTCCCTCTTTGCTGGTTGATTCAGAGGCATGACTAGCCCGAAGTGGCCAGTGGCAGCCTTGCAGTTCAGTGGAATCACTAGGGTGTCTGAGTGGAAGAATTTCTTCCTTTCGAACTAAGACCTAAGAGCACAATCATGGGAACAGGATGCAAAACTTTTACTCATGGGTCGCTAGAAGTAATAATGTGGACACCACTCATTTCTACCCCTTGATTTTTGGACCTGTGAATTATGGCTACAGAAGAAACTACTAAATATTGGACACTGATTCAGAGCATATGCAGCCTTCTAGAGAATCTTGTTCCATCCCTGCAAGGTATTGCCACCTAGCTAGGACTTTGGGTCTTCAAAAGGCCACTCCATTAGTCTGTCAAACCAGCTGCTTCAGGGTGGTGGGGAACATGGTAAGACAGGTTAATTCCATGATCGTGGACCCACTGAGGTGCTTCCTTTGCTGTGAAGAGTTCCTTGATCAGCAGCAATGCTGTGTTGTAATACCATGGTTGTGGAAAAGGCATTCTGTAAGTCCACCAGTAGTAGTAATGGCAGAAGCATTGTCTGCAAGCAAATGTGTATACAGATATATGCTTATCATTCATTATTCCTTCTGGAGGGGAGTCACTACTGATAATAACCAAGGCACCGTAGTAACAATTTCACTTGTCAGGATACACAACGCTGGACTCTTGAAAGAGGCAGTCAATAAAACCTTAATTTCCCTGATAGGCCCAAGATAGCTGATTTAACAAAGAGGCATAGTGGTCTCCTAAAACAACCCCTTTTCAAATTTCAATTCGGTAATGGATCCCTAAATAGGTCTCTGTCTTCCCACAAACCTTACTCTCTTAATTGAAGGGTTTTTTGTAGACTCACACCTTATACCAACTTGAAAAACCTTCCCATCACCCTTTCGTATATTTGAAGTGGGATATGTTTCATCTCTATGTATATAAAGACTGTTTATAAATGAGGACCTTTAATAATGTCTCCTATCTTTATAAAATTTTGTTCCTGTCCCCATCCCATAAGGGCTAGAGGCCAGATCCATTAACGGTAGAATGTCCCATGGACCAGGTAGCTGACCATCTGCAATAGGACCCACATAAGCTTAACTTTCACCATCCCTAAGTCCTTCCTGAATATTTCTCTTTTTTAAATTTTTTTTTACTAAAGATATGTGGCATTTTCAATTAAGGTCCAATATTAAGGATTTTTTTTTTAAAGTTCCAGGGTATGTGTGCAGGGTGTGCAGGTTTGTGACATAGGTAAACGTGTGCCATGGTGGTTTGCTGCACCTATCAAACCATCACCTAAGTATTAAGCCCAGCATGCATTAGCTATTTTTCCTGATGCTCTCACTCCCACCATGTCACCCCCCCATAGGCCCCAGAGTGTGTTGTTCCCTTCCATGTGTCTATGTGTTCTCATTGTTCAGCTCCCATTTCTGAGTGAGAATATACCGTTTTCTGTTCCTGCATTAGTTTGCTGAGGATAATGGCTTCCAGCTCCATCCATGTCCCTGCAAAGGACATGATCTCATTTCTTTTTATGGCTGCATGGTATTCCATGGTGTATATGTACCACATTTTCTTTATCCAGACTATCACTGATGGTCATCTGGGTTGATTCCATGTCTTTGCTATTGTGAATAGTCTTGCAATGAACATACACATGCATGTATCTTCATAATAGAATGATTTATATTCCTTTGGGTATATACCCAGTAATGGGATTGCTGGGTCAAATGGTATTTCTGGTTCTAGGTCTTTGAGGAATTTCCACAGTTGTTGGACTAATTTACATTCCTACCAACAGTATAAAAGTGTTCCTATCTCTCTGCAGCCTCACCAGCATCTGCTGTTTCTTGACTTTTTAATAATCGCCATTCTGACTGGCATGAGATGTTATCTCATTGTGGTTTTGATTTGCATTTCTCTAATGATCAGTCATGTTGATCTTTTTTTCATACGTTTGTTGGCCACATAAATGTCTTCTTTCAAAAAGTATATGTTCATGTCCTTTACCCACTTCTTAATGGGTGTTTTTTCTTGTAAATTTGTTTAAGTTCCTTGTAGACTCTGGATATTAAACCTTTGTCAGATGGATAGGTTGCAAAAATTTTCTCCCATTCTGTAGGTTGTCTGTTTATGCTGATGATAGTTTCTTTTGCTGTGCAGAAGCTCTTTAATTAGATCCCATTTGTCTATTTTTGCTTTTGTTGTAACTGCTATTGACATTTTTGTCATGAAACCTTTGCCTGTGCCTATGTCCTGAATGGTATTGCCTAGGATTTTTTCTAGGGTTTTTATAGTTTTCAGTTTTACATCTAAGTCTTTAATCCATCTTGAGTTAGATTTTGTATAAGGTGTAAGGAAGGGGTCCACTTTCAATTTTTGGCATATGGCTAGCCAGTTGTCCCAGCACAATTTTATTTATTTATTTATTTGAGACAGAGTCTTGCTCTGTCACCAGGCTGGAGTGCAGTGGTGTGATCACAGCTCACTGCAACCTCCACCTCCCAATTTCAAGCGATTCCCCTGCCTCAGCCTTCTGAGTAGCTGGGACTGCAGGTACGCGCCACTACATCTGACGAACTTTTTGTATTTTAGTAGAGACGGGGTTCCACCATGTTGGCCAGGAAGGTCTCGATCTCCTGACCTCGTGATACACCCACCTTGGCCTCCCAAAGTGCTGGGATTACAGGTGTGAGCCACTGTGCCCAGCCACCAGCACCATTTGTTAAATAGGGAATCCTTTCCCCATTACTTTTTTTTTTTTTGGCCAGGTTTCTTGAAGATCAGATGGTTGTAGGTGTGTGGACTTATTTCTGAGTTCTCTATTCTGTTCCACTGATCTATGTGTCTGTTTTTGTACCAGTAGCATGCTGTTCAGGTTACTGTAGCCTTGTAGTATGGTTTGAAGTCAGGTAACTTGATGCTGCCAGCTTTGTTCTTTTTGCTTAGGATTGTCTTGGCTATATGGGCTCTTTTTTGGTTCCGTATGAAAATTAAAGTAGTTTTTTCTAATTCTGTGGAGAATGTCAATGGTAGTTTGATGGGAATAGCATTACATCTATAAATTACTTTAAGCAGTATGGCCATTTTCATGATATTGATTCTTCCTATCCATGAGCATGGAATGTTTTTCCATTTTTTTTGTGTCCTCTCTGATTTCCTTGAGCTGATTTGTAGTTCTCCTTGAAGAGGTCCTTCACTTTCCTTGTTAGCTATATTCCTAGGTATTTCATTCTCTTTGTAGCAATTGTGAATGGGAGTTCATTCATGATTTGGCTCTCTGCTTGTATGTTGTTGGTGTACAGGAATGGTTGTGATTTTTGCACATTGATTTTTGTATCCTGAGACTTTGCTGAAGTTGCTTATCAGCTTAAGAAGCTTTTGGGCTGAGATCATGGGGTTTTTGAGATACAGGATTATGTCACCTGCAAACAAAGACAATTTTACTTTCTCTCTTGCTATTTAAATACACTTTATTTTTTTCTCTTGTCTGATTGCCCTGGCCATAAATTCCAATACTACATTGAATAGCGGTGGTGAGAGAGGGCATCCTTGTCTTATGCTGGTTTTTAAGGGAAATTCTTCCAGCTTTTGCCCACTCAGTATGATATTGGCTGTGGGTTTGTCATAAATGGCTCTTATTATTTTGAGGTATGTCCCTTTTATACCTAGGTTTTTGAGAGTTTTTAACATGAAGGGATGTTGAATGTTATGGAAGGACTTTTCTGCATCTATCGAGATAATCATGTGGTTATTGTCTTTAGTTCTGTTTTTGTGATGAATTATGTTTATTGATTTGCATATATTGAACCAGCCCTGCATCCCTGGGATGAAGCCAACTGGATTGTGGTGGATAAGCTTTTTCATGCACTGCTGGATTCAGTTTGCCGTTATTTTATTGAAGAGTTTTGCATCAATGTTCATCAGGAATATTGGCCTGAAGTTTTCATTTTTTGTTGTATCTCTGCCAGGTTTTGGTATCAGGATGATGCTGGCCTCATGGAATGAGTTAGGGAGGAGCCCCTCCTTTTCAATTGTTTGGAATAGTTTCAGAAGAAATGGTACCAGCTCCTCTTTGTACTTCTGGTAGAATTCAGCTATAAATCTCTCTGGTCCTGGGCTTTTTTTTTTTTTTTTTTTTTTGGTCTGCTATTACTGCCTCAATTTCAGAGCTCATTACTGATCTATAAAGGGATTCAGCCTCTTCCTGTCTCACTCTTGGAAGGGTGTATGTGTCCAGGAATTTATCCATTTTCTTTTGGTTCTCTAGTTCTTTTAGTTGTGATGTTAGGATGTCAATTTGAGATCTTTCTGGCTTTTCGATGTGGTCATTTTAGTGCTATAAATTTTCCTCTTAATACTGCTTTAGCTGCATCCCAGAGATTCTGGTACATTGTCTCTTTGTGCTCATAAGTTTCAAAGAACTTCTTGGTTTCTGCCTTAATTTCATTATTTACCCAGGAGTCATTGCGAGGCAGGTTGTTCAATTTCCATGTAGTTGTGTGGTTTTGAGTGAGTTTCTTAATCTTGACTTCTAGTTTACGCTGTGGTCTGACAGACTGTTTGTTATGATTTCAGCTCTTTTGCATTTGCTGAAGAGTGTTTTCCTTCCAATTGTGTGATCAATTTTAAAATAAGTGACACATGGTGTGGAGAAAAATGTATATTCTGTTGTTTGGAGGTGGAGAGTTCCGTAGATATCTATCAGGTCCACTTGATCTAGAGCTGAGTTCAATCCTGAATATCTTTGTTAATTTTCTGTCTCAATTATCTGTCTAATATTGACAGTGGGGTGTTAAAGTCTCTCACTATTATTGTGTGGGAGTCTGAGTCTCTTTGTAGGTTTCTAAGAACTTGTTTTATGAACCTAGGTGCTCCTATATTGGGTACATATATATTTAGGATAGTTAGCTCTTCCTGTTGAATTGATTCCTTTACCATTATGTAATGCCCCTCCTTGTCTTTTTTGAATTTGTTGATTTAAAGTCTGTTTTGTCAGAAATGATGATGGCAACCCCTGCTTTCTTTCACTTTCCATTTGCTTGGCAAATTTTCCTCTATCCCTTTATTTTAAGCCTATGTATGTCTTTGCATATGAGATGGGTCTCTTGAATACAGCACACCAATAGGTCTTGACGCTTTATCCAGCTTAGCATTCTGGGTCTTTTAATTGGGGCATTTAGCCCATTTACGTTTAAGGTTAATATTGATATGTGTGAATTTGTTCCTGTCATGATGCTGGCTGGTTATTTTGCAGACTTGTTAATGTAGTTGCTTCATAGTGTCATTAGTCTGTGTACTTAAGTGTGTTTTTGTAGTGACTGGTAACAGTTTTTCCTTTCCATATTCAGTGCTTCCTTCAGGAGTTCTTGCAAGGCAGGCCTGGTGGTGATGAATTCCCTCAGCATTTGGTTGTCTAAAAAGGATTTTATTTCTCCTTCACTTATAAAACTTAGTTTGACCAGATATGAAATTCTGGGTTGGAAATTCTTTTCTTTAAGAATGTTGAATATTGGCCCCCAATCTCTTCTAACTTGTAGGGTTTCCACTGAGAGAACTTTGCATTGGATTAGAACATACTCCTTTAGCTCAGCAAAGTTTGTTATTACCTATCTTCTGAAGCCTAATTCTGTCAATTTATCTATCTCAGCCTCATCCCAGTTCTGTGCCCTTGCTGGAGAGGTGCTGTGATCATTTGGAGGAGAAGAGACACTCTGGCTTTTTGAATTTTTAACCTTTTTGCATTGATTTCTTTCTCATTTTCTTGGGTTTACCTACCTTCAATATTTGATGTTATTGACCTTTGGATTGGGTTTTTGTGGGGTCCTTTTTGTTGATGTTGTTGTTGTTGCTTTCTGTTTGTTTCTCTTTCAACAGTCAGGCCCCTCTTCCACAGGGTTGCTGCAGTTTGCTGGGGGTCCACTCCAGACCCTATTTGCTGGGGTCCCTCCTGCACCTGGAGCTATCACCAGTGGAGGCTGCAGAACAGCAAAGATGCTGCCTGCTCCTTCCTCTGAAAGCTCCATCCCAGAGGGGCAAAAACCTGATGCTGGCTAGAACTCTCCTGTATGAGGTGTCTGGCAAACCTTGTTGTGAGATCTCACCCAGTCAGGCAGCACGGGATCAGGGACTGGCTTAACGAAGCACTCTGGCTGCCCCTTGACAGAGTGGGTGCACTGCACTGGTTGGAATCCCCCTCATCCGGACTGCCTGGACTCTTCAGAGCCAGCAGGCAGGAAAGACTAAGTCTGCTGAACTGGAGACCATGGCTGCCATTTCCCACAGGGGCTCCATCCCAGGGAGATCAGAGTTCTGTCTGCAAATATCTGGCTGGAGTTGCTGAAATTCCTGCAGAGAGGCCTCATACAGTGAGGAGAGATGGACCTGGGTCCCATCTAAAGAAGCAGTGTGGCCACAGTCTGCCACAGCCTCTGTGCTGCACTGTGGGGAATTCCTCCTGGTCCAAACCATCCAGTCTCCCTGGCACAGGCAGGGTAAAACGGCCACATGGAGCCACAGTGATGGCAGCCACTCCTCCCCCTGGAAACTCAGTCATCTTAGGCAGTCTCCAGTGTGCTGCTGCTGGCTGCAACCCAAGCAGCCACCAAGAGCCTTCACAGTTCTGTGCTTGGGATCCACCCTGGTGACATGGGCTCATGAGGGGATCTCCTGATCTGTGGGTTGCACAGATCCATGGAAAAAACGTGGTTTCCCTGATGCAGTAGCACAATCACTCACCACCTCCCTTGGCTGTGGGTGGGAGTTTCCCTTACCCTGTGCAGCCTCTGGGTGGGCCGTCACTCTGCCCTGCTTTTCCTCAGTCTCCATGGATCACGCCAATTGCCAAGTCAGTCCCAGTGAGAACCTGGATACCTCAGCTGAAGATGCAGGATTCACTCACCGTTTTTGTTCTTCTAGGTGGGAGCCACAGGCTAGAGCTGCTTCTAATTGGCCATCTTGGCCCCTCCCCCACTTTCTGAATATTTCAGTAATAAGAAGATAAATAATCCAGGATCTCCCTCTGATTCCCTTCAAGAAGTTTCAAATTAGTACTACAGGGCCATTCCCACAATCAGTATGGACTATCAAAAAGGGAGGTAGAAAACTCCACTTAGTAAATTAAAATTTGGAGATAATAAAATCAACATCATATACAATAATGAAAAAACCAGACAACCCCTTCTTGGCAGTAGTACATTCTGGAGGAAATTCAATAATAAACAACAAAAGCCAGTCAAACACAGCTGCACACTGTTCTGTGTACTATTGATCTCCTTACTATATTGGTCTGGGTGCTTTCATTGGTTTGCAAGCCAGAGGCTAAAACCTTCCAGTTAAGCCATTGTTTAAACCATAACCATGAATGCTAAGGACCACAAGCCATCAATTTTGGCTACTATAAGCCTTACAACCTAGAGATTTTCCTGGCTTGCGTGTGACCAAACAAACCAACAACTGAGCCACAGGGCCTGCCCACAGGCCAATGTTTTAATTGACAGACAACTTCACAGCCTATTAACAACACACGCCCAAATCAGGCCATATGATTTAAAACCTATTTGCAATAGAACATCACCCATATGGGGGCAAAACCTTGGAATGTGGAAAACTGTTTGCTTGCCCACCCTTAATTGGGGCTCTCACTTTGCCAGTTGGGTTACCGCACCTTGGTTCATTATGATGGTACTGCAGATGTCATTGTTGCCTTTGCAAGCTGTGCACCCACACAGCTCCTTGACTTAAAAGATATTTGCCAGTCAGACTCCCAGGCCCAATATTCCCTTCTGTTGTAGTTTGGTTTGTTTGACCTCTTCAAATCTCCTGTTGAAATTTCATTGCCAGTGTTGGAGATGGAACTTAATGGGAGGTGTTTGCACCATAGGGATAGATCCCTTATGAATAGATTAATGTCCTCCCTTGGGGTGGGTGAGTTCTCACTCATTAGTTCTCATGAGAACTGCTTGTTAAAAGAAAACAAAACCTGGCACCTCCCTCCCCTTCTGTTGCTTCCTCTCTTGCCATGTGATCTCTGCACACAGCACCTCCCCCTTTATCTTCCACTATATGTGGAAGCAGCCTGAAGCCCTCATGAGAAGGAGATGCTAGTGCCATGCATCTTGTACAGCCTAAAGAATCACGAGCCAAATAAACTTCTTTTTCTCTTTATAAATTACCCAGCCTCAGGTGTTCCTTTATAGCAACACTAAACAGACTAAGTAAGAAACCTTCAAATTACACAACTGTGTCATGATCCTGGCTTGGCTCTCTGCCACAACCTACACCCCACACTCCCAGACCTAAGAGGAAACCTGGTAGAGGTTACTGCTACCCATCCCTTTTTTAACATTTAATGAAGATTATTGCTTTCACAAGGAGGAAATTGTCCTTGAGGAGAGGACAGCCCGCTTCCCAGTGCCTCTCCTATTTCCCTACTGCAGCTTTCCACCATGAATTCCTGTCCTGAGTATTTGACCGTGGCCACCACAACCACCCCCTTTGTGTTAAGGACTGAATATTTATGTCCCTCCTTAAATGCATATGTTGACATCCTAACCCCCAGTGTGGTAATATTTGGAGGTATGGTCTTTGGAAGGTGATTAGGCTTAGATTGAGTCACAAGGGTGGGACCCTTATCAGTTGCCTTATAAGAGCAGGAAAATCTCCCCTCTCCCGCCTCTCCCCACCTTACCCACATGCATGAACCAAGGAAGTGCAATCTAAGGACATGATAGGAATGCAACCATCTGCAGACGAGGAAGAGAGCCCTCACCAGGAACCAAATCAGCCAGCTCCTGATCTTGGACTTTTCAGATTCCGGAACTATGAGAAGTATATTTCTGTTGTTAAAGCCATCCAGCCTATGATAGTTTGTTATAGCATCTCAAGTAGACTAAGACAAATTGTGTTACCAGGAATGTGGTACTGCTGTGATAATATCTAAACATGTGGAAATGGCTTTGGAACTGGGTAATAGGTAAGTAGAGATTGAAAGTTTTAAGGTTCCTGCTAGAAATATGAATGCTAAAGGCCCATTTAGATAACCTGGAAGTCAAACCTGATGAAAAGGGTACTTTAACCAGACACAGGAAGAGTGTGTCCAGTGTTATGAGTGTATACCATATTATAGAGGAATGTAAACAAGAAAACAAGTACCTTGCTCAGGGAATACATGGCTCTTAATAACAGCATGGTAAGTTTCCCGATTACATTGAACAATTCAGACATACCAAGAAAAGCCAAGAGTACAGAATCAAGTGATACTGGAGGAAAACATTGCCTTTTCTAGACCTTGAAAATAAACGTTTCAGTGTCAGGCCATAACAGCAGAATTATAACCAGAGAAAAAGTTACAGGAGTTGACAAAAAAGATGGAAGGAGACAGTTATCATCATAGTCGAGGGAAAAAACATACCTTTTCAAAGGGATAAAGAACAGAAGGCAATATGTATGGCCTGCAAATTGGAATTCAGTGAGGTATCACAAAAGTTGAATTCCTGGGATATAAATCTGAGATGTTTCAAAAAGACACAGATTGCAGAACTAAAAATGAAAACCTTTTGCAGTTTCATTAAGAGCAAATGAATACTTTAAGAAAACCAGTAGTAGGCCGGGCGCGGTGGCTCATGCCTGTAATCCCAACACTTTGGGAGACTGAGGTGGGCGGATCACGAGGTCAAGAGATCGAGACCATCCTGGCCAACATGGTGAAACCCTGTCTCTACTAAAAATACAAAAATTAGCTGGGTGTGGTGGCGTTTGCCTGTAGTCCCAGCTGCTCGGGAGGCTGAGGCAAGAGAATCGCTTGAATCTGGGAAGCGGAGGTTGCAGTGAGCAGAGATCTAGCCACTGCACTCCAGCTTGGTGAAAGAACAAGACTCCGTCTCAAAAAAAGAGAAAGAAAGAAAGAAAAAGAAAGAAAGAAACAAAAGAAAAAAAGAGAGAGAAAGGGAAAGAAAAGGAAAGAAAGAAAGAAAGAGAAAGAAAGAAAGAAAGAAAGAAAAGAAAGAAAGAAAGAAAGAAAGAAAGAAAGAAAGAAAGAAAGAAAGAAAAGAAAGAAAGAAAGAAAGAAAGAAAGAAAGGGAGAGAAAGAAAACCAGTAGTAATTATAGGCTATCCCTTTGGTTCTGTAGCTTCTTCCCAACGTCAAACTAGTTGATCATAAATATCAACCAATCTTTAGTGGTGATTTGTGAAATTTGAGGTACACGCATCTCCTGAGCAGTATACACTGAACTCAATTTACAGTCTTTTATCCCTCACCCCCTTCCCACCCTTTCCCGTGAGTTCCCAAAGTCCATTGTGTGTCCCCAAAGTCTATTCTTATGCCTTTGCATTCTCATAGCTTAGCTCCTACTCATGAGTAAGAACATACGATGTTTGATTTTCCATTCCTGAGTTACTTCACTTAGAAGAATAGTCTCCAATACCATCCAGGTTGCTGTGAATGCCATTAACTCATTATTTTTTATGGCTGAGTAGTAGTCTATCGTATGTATATACTATAGTTTCTTTATCCACTCGTTGAATCGTGGGCATTTGGGTTGGTTCCACATTTTTGCAATTGTGAATGTGCTGCTATAAACATGCATGAGCAAGTTTTTTTTTTTAATCACCTCTAAAGAACTTACTTATGTAGCCAAATACCTACCACCTGTTCCCCAAGAACCTATGGAGATGAAAAAATTTTAAAAATAAAAAGTAAAATACAATAGTGTGGGGAAAAGAAAGAGAGATCAGACTGTTACTGTGTCTATGTAGAAAGAAGTAGACATAAGAGACTCCATTTTGTTCTGTACTAAGAAAAATTCTTCTGCCTTGAGATGCTGTTAATCTGTAACCCTACCCCCAAGCCTGTGCTCCCTGAAACATGTGCTGTGTCACCTCAGGGTTAAATGGATTAAGGGCTGTGCAGGATGTGCTTTGTTAAACAAATGCTTGAAGGCAGCATGCTTGTCATCACCACTCCCTAATCTCAAGTACCCAGAGACACAATACACTGCAGAAGTCCGCAGGGACCTCTGCCTAGGAAAGCCAGGTATTGTCCAAGATTTCTCCCCATGTGATAGTCTGAAATATGGCCTCATGGGAAGGGAAAGACCTGACCATCCCCCAGCCCGACACCCATAAATGGTCTGTGCTGAGGAGGATTATTAAGAGATGAAGGAAGGCCTCTTTGCAGTTGAGATAAGAGGAAGGCATCTGTCTCCTGCTCGTCCCTGGGCAATGGAATGTCTCGGTGTAAAGCCCGATTGTATATTCCATCTACTGAGACAGGGGACAACCGCCTTAGGGCTGAAGGTGGGACATGCTGGCAGCAATACTGCTCTTTAAGGCATTGAGATGTTTATGTATATGCACATCAAAAGCACAGCACTTTTTTCTTTACCTTGTTTATGATGCAGAGACATTTGTTCACATGTTTTCCTGCTAACCTTTTCTCCACTATTACCCTATTGTCCTGCCGCATCCCCCTCTCTGAGAAATGCCTGATAATGATCAATAAATACTAAGGGAACTCACAGACTGGTGCCGGCGTGGGTCCTCCTTATGCTGAGGGCTGGTTCCCTGGGCCCACTTTTCTTTCTCTATACTTTGTCTCTGTGTCTCTTTCTTTTCTTAAGTCTCTCGTTCCACCCAACGAGAAACGCCCGCAAGTGTGGAGAGGCAGGCCACCCGTTCAAATAGCAGCAGCAACATTATTTGATAATCTTCCTAGCTCTGATTATAATAATCAGTTCTCTCCAAATGTTTTCACAATCAAGAAACAAACACAGAATGATAATATTTATACATTGAAAAAAAATCAACCAATCTGCCAAGGGAAGGATACCAAACGTTTTGATAAAGTCAGCTTCCTGAATTGCTCACCCAAATGTGTATGGGATGAGGTTCTAATATTACTTTTGATTCTTCCCATATAACTAGATGACATAGTCAGCAATTGCTTCAGTTAGTGAGAGTGGCTATACTCTGCACAGTAGAACTTAGAGGATGTTTGGTTTGAGTAGTGAAAGTTCCTAACAAAAGAGGAAGTTTGAACATCTTTACATTAATGCAAAACAAAAACAAATCTTAGTCAATGAAAAAGAGTCAAATGAAGTCTCCGTGAACCGTTTTGGGAAAGCTGTCAACTTTGCGATGCCATCTGTTTCTAAAAAAGATTTCCCTTGGATATTCTCAATTTTAAGTCACCTATGGGTTGACAAGTCCAAGAATCCAAGGGAGCTCTCTTTAGTTCAGAGACATGAACCCAAGACTCAAGACCCTGAAGCTTTGCTGCAGTGTTGAGTAGTAAGAAGACCCTGGTATGGTTTTTTTCAGTGAGACTCAAGGGCAGTTTTTCTCTAGTGTCATCTCCAAAAGACCCAATCTTTAGGTTCTAGGTGATGGAAGATCTGAACATTCTCAATTGGTGGTTCACAGAAAGCCTACTTCAACTGGTGGAAATGTACATTTGTAAAATGCATCAAGGCCTTGCATTGTCGAGTCACATCAGAGCTAACAAGTACAGGGAATACACAACATCGTACTATCAAAGGAATAGATATTCCAGTAATTATTTCATAAGGGGTTAGTTTGTGTTTTCCCACAGGGGTTAATCTAATTACCATTAAGGCTAGTGGTAAAAACTTTTGACCAAGATAAAACACTTGACTCTGTTGGTTTAACTAATTTTAGCTTCAAGATACCATTAGTCCATTCAACCTTTCCAGAATAGTGAGGATGATAGTGCAATTGGGTTTGCAAAATCTTATTTATTAACTTGTCCCATAAAGTGAGTTGTCCAACAACTTTCTCCAAACCTGAATCTGTGGCTGTACTCATTGTTTATTTGGAATATTTTGGGTCAACAGTGTCCTTCTTGGGCACCATTCTCCTCAGCAGTGCACACTCTGCACAGCAAATGTGCACACACAGGTCGATACGCATCCTGACGTTAGGAAAGGATTACTGTTAGGGTTTTGGGACTCAGACTGGCTTCCCTGCTCCTCAGCTTGCAGACGGCCTATTGTGGGACTTCACCTTATGATCATGTGAGTCAATTCTCCTAATAAACTCCCTTTCGTATATACATCTATCCTATTGTTTCTGTCCCTTTAGAGAAACCTGACTAATACAAATTCCCCACCTCAATATGATTCTGACACTGAAGTTGTGTGATCCTAGATGGAAGAGCTTTTCAATAACATGAAAATTATGTTATAACTTAATATTAAAGTAAACATATATATTTAAAACCTCTCTCTGGCTGGGCGCGGTGGCTCATGCCTGTAATCCCAGCACTTTGGGAGGCCGAGGTAGGTGGATCACCTGAGGTCAGGGGTTCAAGACCAGCCTGACCAACATGGTGAAACCCTGTCTCTACTAAAAATACAAAAAATTAGCTGGCATGGTGGTGGGTGCCTGTAATCCCAGCTATTCGGGAGGCTGAGGCAGGAGAATCACTTGAACCCAGGACACAGAGGTTGCAGTGAGCCAAGATCATGCCACTGCACTCCATCCTGGTCAACAAGAGCAAAACTCTCAAAAAAAAAACAAAAATAAAAAAAAAAAAAACCTCTCTGTGAGAATCACTTAAACAATTAAGATATTCCATGACTTAACATATAGTTAAAATAATCATGTGATGATTTATTTATATTCTGGGAAAATATTTATTTTCAAATACTCATATGCAAAGAAAGGAATCAGTTTGAGAAATCCTGACCTCAAACAATTTGAAAACTTGTTTGAAAGCGGGGGGTTCAGGGTGTCCTCCACACACTCATGAGCGGGGAATGACACAGAGTTTGTAACGTGGTGGGATACAGCCAAACCCAATATGTATAGGGCTGAGGTCGATATCCTTTGGGTCAACGAGAGGCTTCAAATTAAAATGCTGCAAAATGGCACACAACAAAAGAAACAACTCCATGCGAGCCAGGCCTTCTCCAGCACACACTCGTTTTCCTAGAAGTAACAATGGTATTGATGAGACACTGAGGGAGTTTCAGAGACACGACACTGTTAACAGTGAGACTAGGGGAAGCGGGGAGGAGGAGGCTGTGGGCAAACGGCCATCACAAGGCAGGACTCACCCTTCTCTGCCTATTAAAAGAAGCACAAAATGTACTTGAGTGGAAGGATACCAGCAACACTGACTAATTCGGGGACCAGTCTTCATACAATCTCAATTATCCAGAGCTCAACTGCAAAAACCGGTGTTAAGTTGGGAAGACCGTGTCTGCCCAGTAAAGAAGGCACCCCCAGTGCTCATCAGTGATGCCTACAGGAGGGAAATAGTGCCCTGTTAGAAGCTGGGGCTCCAGCACTGGGTGTGAAAAGTATGGAGTTGGTTGTATGATCTTCCCACAACAATCCCTAAGATGAGGCCCTGGGAAGGAGGACAAGTGCCTCAAAGAAAATCACTGAGTCACATCCCAGGAAGGCTTTGATGCTTCCTGTGATGATTCTAGGTAACCAAAGGTTAGGTTTTGTTTAGTAGCTCTGGTTTAAAATTAGGGAGAATTGGGTAATATGGCTTTGAGAGCTTTTCACTAAGTCTTGTTAAAATAGAAACAAAATTTAGCAATGAATGATGTAAAATGTCTAGTCTTTGGGAAAAAAAAAATCCACCTACAACAACACTTCATTCCCAGGATTGCTGCTAAAAGATGTTATGTAACTTCTCTGAACAGGGAAGAGCACATTTGGGTCATGTTGTCAATAGAAACAGGGCACACAGTGAGGTTTGGGGTGTCAGTGGGTGCCTGGGACGAGGGCAGAGCACATGTGGAGGGGAGATGAGGAGTGTGGGCTGCTCCTCAAGGGAAGGTACTGCCTCTGATCTTTCTCACCTGTGGAAAATGGCTTGAAATAGTCACTGTACTTGAACTTTCCATTTTCATTCAGGAAGTGTTCTGGCTTAAACTTTTCTGGATCAGGAAATTCTTGGTTGTCATACAAAACAGAGTCCAGAGTTGGCACTACGACTGTGCCCTAGGAGAAACAAAGACTGTCTCAGTGAGTCATGTTAACAAAATGTGGGCTTTCATCTGGAAACCCCCAGTGAAGAATGTAGTTTTGAATATTATGCTATATAGGATAGTATATTTCCAGTTGAAGGAGTTGCTTAGTGAAGGATTAGATAGAAAGCAGTCAGGGGTCAGGTCTAAATGAAGATGAAAGCCCTAATCTTCTCACAGGATTAACCCCAGGGCTGGTTGTGATAGTTTGTTCCTGGCATTAGAATTCACTACAGTCCCAGGCACTATCTGCTGAGGCTCTTTTCCAGATTTCCTCCACCTCTCTGGTCACCAGGCCAATGTGAGCACTCCTGGAGATGCAGTATCCCACAGGGTGGGAGTGGGGCCAGCCCTTCCCCTCAGTGACCCCTGCCAAAGGGAAGGGTCTTGGGGCCCCCATCCTGCTCCCTGGCAGGAAGGCGATTAGCTGATAGGATGGTGTTCATGCTGTGTGCTGCAGGCTCATTGCTTAACCTTGGGGATGAGGTATCCTCTGAAAATGGTGTCTCGGGTTGCTTCATGGGGCAGGTTGGAGGGCACGAGGGTGATGAACCGCTGAATCTCATGCACCACAGCATCCATGTAGGGCATCTCTTGCCTATCCTTGATGGCAGGGATTCGGCTTGGCCCAATCACCCTGTCAATTTCTTCATGGAGCTTCTCTGCCAAGATATGAATGGGACAAATTTCAGGGATTGGTTCCTGGCCAGTTGGGCATCCACCCATCATCCACCCATCTATTCAATCACGCTTTTATCCATCTGCCCACCTACACATCCATCCACCCCTCCATCTATACACCCCTCCATCCATCCATCCATCCTCCATCCATCCACCCATGCATCCATCCACCCACCCACCCAGCCAGCCAGCCATCCACCCTCCCATCCACCCACCCACCCATCCATCCAACCACCCATCCATCCACCCTCCCATCCACCCACCCACCCATCCATCCAACCACCCATCCATCCACCCACCCACCCATCCATCCAACCATCCACCCATCCACCCATTTATCCACCCTCCCATCCATCCATCCACCCATTTATCCACCCTCCTATCCATCCATCCACCCAACCACCCATCCACCCATCCATCCACCCACCCACCCACCCACCCATCCATCCAGCCATCCCTCCATCCACCTACCCACGCATCCATCCAAGCATCCACCCATCCACCCATCTATACATCCAACCATCCACCCATCCACCCACCCTTCCATCCATCCACACATCCATTGACCCATCCATCCATCCACCCACCCATCCATCCAACCATCCATCCATCCATCCATCCATCCATCCGTCCGTCCATCCACCCACCCATCCAGCCATCCATCCACTCCCCTACCCACGCAGAAGATGTTTATGGAGCATCCTAAGCAGTGCTTAAGGTTCCCCAGGTCCTTTGAATTACTGGAAAATGCTCCAAAAACTTAGTGAGAGCTAAGCTCTATGAGGTTATTTACTGGATGTTTTGGCATCCATTATCTCAGTTGATGATGGCTTATTCAGTTCTCTTCATGTCAAGAGCAGAGAATAATGAAAGTGTTTTGGAAATTTCTTCTGGGAGGGTAACCTTTGCATTGATAATTACCCCAGGCTTGTTTATTGCATGCTTCTGAGTATGAAGGGGGTTTACAGAACAGAATCAGACATGCAGGGTCTACTTCTTGAATCTGAAAGCCTCTGTCTTTCTGACAGAGGTAACAGCTGCCTTGAGCAAGTCGCCTAGCCTCCCCGTGTTTGGAGTTCCCATGGAACATCATCATATGTTGAGTGAAAAAACCAAGCTGCAAAATGTTATGTACAGTACCCAGGTAAAATATTAAACACATACAGCAATAATATGAATACTGTGCTGATAATTAACAACTGTTAAAAGTGCAAAGCCACACAGCAATTCTGAAGCCATTTCTGGTGAGAGAGGTGGGGAGATGTGAGGAGGTAGACTTTGGCTGGCTCTGTAACACATTTTCTTTTTAAGAGCTCTGATGGAAGTATCGCAAAATGTTAATAAACGTTCAATTTGGCAATGGATATATACATGTCAATCATATTTATTTTCCTTTTGTCTATATTGGAACCTCCTCATAAATAATAATTTAAAACATTTTTTGATTCCATGGTTCCCCTAGTGCAGAGTAGTCGAAAGTTCTCTTATAATCACTGCAGATCCATACAATGATTCCTTCCCTAAACTTTTGGCTCCTTCACCCTTCACATTTCCATGTGATTGAAAAAGCAAAGGCCAGGGATGGGGCACGGTGGCCACACCTGTAACCCCAGCACTTTGGGAGGCCAAGGCAGGAGGATGACTTGAGCCCAGGAGTTCAAGACCAGCCTACAAAACATAGTAACAACTTGTCTCTACAATTTTTTTTTTAGACTGATTCTTGCTCTGTTGTCAGGCTAGAGTGCAGTGGGGTGCAATCTCGGATCACTGCACCCTGTGCCTCTGAGGTTGAAGCGATTCTCCTGCCTCAGCCTCCTGAGTAGCTGTGACTATAGGCGCGTGCCACCACACCCGGCTACTTTTTTGTATTTTAGGAGAGACAGGGTTTCATCATGTTGGCCAGGAAGGTCTCGAACTCCTGACCTCGTGATCGCCTGCCTCAGCCTCCCAAAGTGCCAGGATTACAGGTATGAGCCACTGTGCCCAGCCAAAATAATTTTTTTAAATTTTTAATCAGCTGGGTGTGGTGGTGTGCACCTGTGGCCCAGTTACTTGGGAGGCTGAGGTGGGAGGATCGCTTGAGCCCAATAGGTAGAAGCTACAATGAGCCATGATTGCATCACCGCACTCCAGCCTGGGCAACAGAGTGAGACCCTGTCCCCTCAAAAAAAAAAATAAATAAATAAAAAGAAGAAGAAGAAGGAAAGAACAAGAAAAGCCCAGGGTCTGACCCTGGATCCATCACATGTCGACTTTCTTGGGGGAAATAACTTCATAGCCTATAATACCTGCTTTCAGGAACTGACGAGCCTTAAGACCACAAGTGACCATTAGCAGCAGCTTCAGGAGGAGGGCGGCACACACCACTCAGGCTGTGAACTGCCTCGGGCAGAGGCTGCCCAGCCCTGTTTCCAGCCCAGCGAGAGGCAGGGGCTCTGGGCCCCCCGGCACTCTCCAGCCAGGCTGCAGCTCCCTTTCCTCCCCTTTACTTGGACCCAACCCTGACTGGCCTGTTTGCATGCGGGTGCCCTCACATCACCTCTACTTGGCCCAGATGGGTGTTTCTCAGGGCATGACCCTCTGCCCACCTAGACCCAGACCTTTCACACCTCCTCCAGGCACAGAGTCCCAGCTGCCCCAGGTGCCGCTGGGAGGAGCCCTGTGGAAGGAACAAGGGTCCAGGGCAGCTGTAGCTGCTTCTTCCTGGACTTCCCTCCTCACGTCCGCATTTGAGGAAGACGCCCCAGCAAGGACCCTCCCCTCCAGCTCCAACCTCCCCACCTGCTCTGCCTAGAAGACCAGGTCTTACTTGGGGGGAACTGGGACATTATCTTCTCTGTCATAAAGAGGTTATTTATGGAGCAGAATGCAGACCCTGCCACCTCTCTCCACTCTGGTGTTGGGATGTTCTTTTCTGCAACCAGGGGTGTCTTAGTGGGGTATGGACCAACCAGTGTGCAAGAGTACCAGGTGTTCAGCACAGACCATAACACCTCCCCTCACAGCAGTGCATCTAGCCATCTCACCACATCACCATGAGGGTTAACAAGCAGCTTCAGACAGAAAGCTGCAGCCTAAAATGTGCAAGGCTGGCCATCCAGGGAGATGCAGCCGCACGCACGGTGTCCCTTCAGTCACTTGCCTACCTTCGATCTCAGGGTATTTCATGAGAATCAGGAGCCCATATCTCAGAGTTGTGCTGGTGGTCTCTGTCCCCGCAAAGAACAGGTCGGCCACAGTCACGGTGATACCGTCCATTGTGTACAAGCGCTCTGCACTGTGCTTTTCCTGTGATACCGGAGACAGACCGGAGGAGAAGGGGCTGCTTGTCTCCTTTCAGCACAGAACCAGCCACCTCCCAGCTCCACAGGGACACAGGAGACAGTGTCCAAGAGGCTCTCCCAGTGGAACTGTGACTTGGAGCTGTGACAGACAGAGTCATCTCCACCTCACAGCCAGGGAAACTGAGGCTCCCAGAAATCTGCTGAGGGCAGGCCAGGGCTCTGTCTCCCTCCACAGCATGAGGGCCATCCTGGGAGAGGTGAGATCCCCCTGACCTTGGTCATAGCTCAGGCAGGAGCTAAACGGCTCCTGCTAACCCCTCCTGCTACAGGGCTAGTGTCTGCTGCCACGAGGGGCCAAACTGGTGGAGAAGATGCTCAGACAGTCCTGGGAAATCAGTGTGGGCTCCACATTTGTTCTTGAGCCACAAGCCATAGGAAAGGACAAGACAAGGATACAAGAAGTTTCACCAAGGTGGGAAGGGGGCAGGGGATCAGGATCCTGAGCACCTGCAGGTGGATGAAGCTGGGGAGGCCTGGAAGTCCTGCAGCTGCGCACAGTTGGGGAGTGCATGCCCACAAGGAAGGCTGAGGGCTTCTCCTCAGACAAAATGCAATTCTCAAAGTCTGCAGACTAGAAAGGGTTGAGCAGCAGGGCCTGGAGAGAGCTAAGCGTCCCGCCCATGTGACCCCAAAGCCCCAGGCCAGCTTGGCAGCCAGGCAGGCTGACTTGCGTCCAGTGGTCATGCTGAAGCCAAGAGTGTGTGTATGAAACTCAGAGCATGCTGCGGTGGGAGGTCTGGACACCAGCAAGTGCAGCTCACTCTGTAAATCTGAAATTGTGCATTCTCTGCCCACCCCGGAGAGCCCACATCATGGGAGGGCCGAGCCTACCTTCTCCATTTCCACGAGCAGGCAGTCGGTGAGGTCCCGGGGACAGTTGGGGTCCAGAGATTGATGGTGCTCCTTCACCCTTTCAGACACATACTCTTTTACTTCAGCCACATTTTTTATGACTTTTCTGTGGCTTCCAGGCAAGTAGTGTAGAAAGCTGGGAAAATTATTGTAAAGCTAGAGAGGGAAAAAAATATTTTACTACTTTTTTCTGGATGCAACATAATTGTGTGTGTTGGACCAACAACTTTCTCCAAACCTGAATTTGTGGCTGTAATCATTGTTTATTTGGAATATTTTGGGTCAACAGTGTCCTTCTTGGGCACCATTCTCCTCAGCAGTGCAAACTCTGCATGGCAAATGTGCACACACAGGTCGATACACATCCTGACGTTAGGAAAGGGGGTGCGTGGGGCCCCAGAGATGTCTCTGGGAGGAATATTTGGGCTGTCTAATCAAACACCCCTCGAAGCTATGTTGTTTGGCTTTTGCAGTCCTGTCTATCACATATAACCCAAATTTTCCTTCTTTTTCTAACGTAAACTCTACAGTTGATGACTGATGAAAGAGGAAAGTGGCTTCACCTGGAGCCAGGGAGTGCTGAGTAGGTGGAAGTTCTCATTAAACAAATACATCAGCCTTAGAAACTTCTCATCATTGTAGTCAAAATGCTTGCGGAAGAGGATGTCGGCTATGACGTTGCAGGGCGCGCAGCCGATGAGGAAGGTGGGGTCGAAAGGCTGGCCTACAAAACAGGCAGTCAGGGCAACCAGAAGATGGGGGTGAGGAGACTCCTCCACCTGCTCAGTCACCCACTGAGGTTCACCAAGGCCTGTGAGAAGGTGCCCTGAAAACTGCCAGTTTACGAAAGATAGTGAATGTCTGAACCTGTTTGAGTTTCCTTTGCTTTTCAACAGTATTTAGGATACAAGTCACGTGTTTAATGGCCACCCTTGCTCCCTGAACTGTGTAGCTGGAACCTAGAGTTGTAAAATGCAGTATCTGGGGACTCACGAGACCCTCTCCTTGTCCGTAGGTCCCTGTGGTTCAGATGCAGTCTAGGAGTCCCAGCCAGGGCTCCCCACACCGCTGGTCTGCAAGAGGACTGGGCCCTGCTAGGCAGCAGATACGCACCTTGGGTCTTCCTGAGTGCTTCCAGCAGGAAGTGGGCCTCCCTCTGGATCCGGCTCTCATTGCCCTGTTTCCCCATCCCATAGTTCCGGAGGGTGGTCAGGGAAAACCGCCGGATGTCCTTCCAGGTAGGTCCATTATTAAAAATGATTCCTAAGGCAGAGGGGCCAGCAGAAGGTTATTCTAAATACCCATTTTGGGGAGAAATGGGCTACAGAGGGCCTTGGAGAGCAGGGCAGGATTTACAGGTGTATAAAGAAGTGACAGAGGGGGCAGAGGGACAGAGAGACAGAGGGGTGTCCCAGCCTGGGAGCTGCCAGCACCGGCCACTGGTCAGGTTTTGGGGAGGAGCCTTTCTGGGGTCCTCACAGTCTGCACTGTGGTTTCTTCATCACATGTAGCCTCTCCTGGGTGCTCTACTTCATGCTGTCAATTTACCTTCTTTCTTTTTCCTTTCTGCTGAGTCTTCCCCATGCTACATAAAACCACATATGGCCACTCCAAGAACACCTCCCACCTCTTTCCTATCTATCGACAACATTCTTGAAAAGCCATTCATTCTGTTCTCACAGATTTTTAACCCTCACACCACACACACCTCAACTTGCAGCTTTCCGACTCCACAGCAAGTTTCTTCACTAAAATCTTGCAGGTCACACAAGTGACTGTGCAAAGCATCAGAGCTGGGAAAACCAAGAACTGTCCCTACTGCACCCTTCTGAGCTGTCAAGGCCTGGCCCTGCCCTGTCTCTCCTCCCAAGAGTTGCTTGATGGATCCTCCCGAGAGTATGAACACATTTGGAATCAACAAATTTAAAGCTAAACTTTTTATTCTTTAAAAATGTTCGCATATTCCCACGCTTATCTCAACTAACTGTAAACCTTTTTATTTTCTCCCAGATAGGAACCTTGAAATGATCCCTGTTCCCCTGCACACTCCCAGCCACACCCCCTTTACACCGCAGGGGCCCCTAGCCCCTCTCTCCCTCGCTCTCCGTCTTCCTCTTATCCATCATCACTTCCTCAATAAATACATTTTGGGTACTTCCTGCATATAAGACATCCTGCCAGCTCTGGGCATTCTGCGGTAAACAAGGGTCATGTCCTATGCAGCTTCATTAGCTGATTGACCACTGACCACTCCTGGGAGGCGCCTGCAGGGTGCTCAGAAAGTGCCTGGTGAAGCTGTGCTCGTGTGTTCCAGAAGCAAGGCTGTCCGGCCTGAGAGGGGCGGGAGGGCACATGAGATGAGGTGGGTGGGGCAGGGGTGCAGCTGGACTGAGGGTTTCATTTCATCCTGAAAGGTGGGGAGGAAGGACTGAGGAGACAGGTGGGACAGAGGGGCAGACGTGGTCATGTTGAGTGGAGGACATCCCGAGATGACCCATTTAGACAGAGTTCAACAGGTTAAAAATCTAGGTTGGGAACCAAACTTTCTCCGTTTTATGAACTTTTTCTGAAAGGATGTCTGCAGTTCCCTTGACACATTATCACACAGCCTGTGCTCAGTATTGTGCTAATAAGGAATATTTCCATCATTGTCCCTTAAGGGCCAGGTGCAGCCCATGCCCAGGGCTCTGCTAATTTTCCGCCAGTCTGCGCCCTGCGGGTCATATGAAAATGAAACTTTAGACCCTCCAGGCAGAGGCAGCAAAGTCCCCTTGAGCCCCATCTGTGTTGATGTGAATTCCGCTCCCCTCCCTGCTGCCTCCGACTGTGCCTTGGACCCGTGGGTGGCAGATAAGGGCTCCCCGGAACCAGAACTGAGCTCCTCAACCACAGAACCCCAGAGCCTCCTCCAGTAATGCTTCTCCTGCGTTAACGACAAGGACTGAGATGGTTAATTTTGTTTTTGGCAACCCCAGAGAAGTAAAACCCACAATGCAGAAGAAGGAAAACCAAATGCCACTAATTGTGATACAACCACCCCGTTGCCCGCTTCCGGAGACAAGGTTCTGGACGCGGTCCTGGCGCGGGAACCTGAGCTGGAGCCGGCGACCCCCGCCCGCCACCAGCCCGCGCCCCGCAGAGCGCACGCTCAAGAGCGCGAACACCCAGCGTCTGCTCTGTGCTGACGGCGTTCTTTATCAGCTCATTTAATTTTTAGATTTGTTGGCCCATTCGACGTTCACAATGTTCAGAAATGTACGCTGGACAAATAAATAGGGCAAGAGCACGAGCTCACCGATTTAAAAATTCCACACAGCATTGCAAAGGTTTTCTGGAGCCTCGTCATCAAAGTTGACCCAGGAAGAAGTAGAGGCTTCCATGTGGGACACTGTTATTTCTAATCTACTTTGAAACCGCAGGGCAGGCAGGGAGGGAGGAAGGAGAAAGAAGCAGCAGGCCAGGTCTGCAGGCAGGAAGAGGAGAGCCGGCCGGCAGCCGCCGCCTCGCTGAGGTCTGAAGCCAGGAGGCTGGGAGAATGCGCAGATAAAGACGAGCCAGACCTCCAGACCGCAACCCTCCTCTCCCTAGAGAGGGAACAGGCCGCTTTCTGCTTATGCTGAACTCGGGGCTCTGGAGACAGGAAGCGTGGAGGAGACAGCAGAGGTGAGGCTGGGAGATAGGATTTCAGTGGGTCTCTTCCCCCTTCCCGGTCTCAGGACATCCACCCCAGCGGGACATCAGAGACTCCCTCTCTGGAGGTCACCAGCTGCAGCTGAGCAAAGCCCTGAAGCGAGCAGTGTCCGCAGCTTCCGACGCCTCAGCGTGGGTGAGGGGACCTCGGTGGACGAAGCCACCTGTACCCCGGCGGTTGAACAGGAGGGGAAAGCGCTCCCGGGAGGAGCCTGCGGGCCCAGAGGCGGAACGGTGGGGGTGGGGGCGGCGACTCCTGCTCAGAAGCAGCCCCGCCCATCCCCATAAACTCTCCCGCACAGTCGCCGAGAGGCCGGATTCCTGGGCGACTCAGTGCGCCTCGCTCCGCAGGCAACGCGCGGGGGCCATCGCCCTAATCCTGATCTCATCCTTCGGATGCTGTTACTATAATATTACTGTTAGTTTATTATTTGGCCATCGCCGACGTGGCTAGCGCCCGTAACTGTCCCGGGGCGTGTTATGCACCCCCCGCTCCGTGCCAGGGACGCGGACTCACCCCTGTCCCTGTGCGCATGGAACGCGGGGAGGTCGCCTCTGCCCGAGAACTCGTCCTTGTAGTCCAGCAGCGCTTCCTTCACCGCCTTGTAGCCGTGCATCACCACCATGCGCTGCGAGCCCACGTACAGCGTGAACACCGGCCCGAAGCGCTGGGCCAACTGCGGAGACCCGTGGCTAGAAGTCAGGCCCGCCGCGCGGCGAGGAGGTGCGGGGCTCTAAGCCACACCCCTGCCGGGCGGGTATTGCTGTTGCTCTAGAGAACCCAGAGGGACGTGGGGAAAAGCTGTCTTTGTCCAGCCCGAGGTGGGGGAGACCCTCCCCTCAAGAGGCTGCTGCGTCTGCAGGGCGCTCGGGGGGTTCCAGCTGCTCTGCTCCCCACCCGCCTGGACTCCGCGGACAACTCCGCGGCAACTCCGCGGACTCCGGCTCCTCACGTCCCTTCCCTCAGGCGCGCCCACCAACCACCCCGTTGCCCGCTTCCGGAATCAAGGTTCTGGACCCGGTTCTGGCGCGGGAGCCCGAGCTGGAGCAGGCGACCCCCGCCCGCCGTCAGCCTGCGCCCCACAGAGCGCACGCGCAAGAGCGCAAACACCCAGCGCCTGCTCCGTGCTGACGGCGTTATCAGTTCATTTAACGTTTAGGTTTGTTGGCCCATTCAGTGTTCACAACAGTCGTAGGCGGCAGGTATTGGTGCCACACGGGCTGGCCCAACACTTCACGTTTCAACTCGTGCTTTGGCAAACACAGGCGGACGCCCAGCGAGTGCGCATCTGGCCGCCAGCCCGGTTATCCTGGCGTCGCAGCAGCCCGGCCTCGCCGGCCTCCCCATCATCAGCCCCAGGACAAGGCACCGGCGGGGGCCTCCGGGGCCTGGCACGCAGGCTCCGGGCTCCAGCTGCACCACAGGCGACACATTTTGAGTGTCGCTCCAGGATGCTATCAATTCAGGTAATTCACAACAGGCTGGTATTGAACAACCACAATTTGTCTGCAAATGAGTTGAATACACACATACCAGATCCAATTGCTGAGTTATTCTCCCTAAAATCAACACTATTTCTCTTACCCGGGTGAAGGACTTGGGAATATTCTTCAATTCCAACTGGAAGAGGTTCCCGATGATGGGAAGCGGGAAAGGGCCTGGGGGCAGATTCCAGCTGCTGTGCACCTGCCTCCACATGGACACCAGCAGGAGGAAGGCCGCCCACACCAGCAGGGCCACGGTGACTCCGAGGGCAGACATGGTGCCGCTGGGGCCCTGCTGCCAGCCCGGGAGACAATCCTGTGGAAACGGAAGGTTTTTATAATGTGTTCTGAGAAGGAGGGTGACCCACCAACCAATGCCCTCTTGCTACTCGTCTATCCCAAATTACTGGTTTATTATTAGCTGCTGTTGGCCATCGTTTCAAAGGCTGATTCCCGCAATGGTGGCCCCCAGGGGTTCCAGCCAGTGACCTGGTGAGGATGGAGTTGGACTGTGTCAACACCCTGGTTGCTAGCACCTGTCACTGTGCCAGCAAACACATCCAGGAACATGTTGCCAACCCATAGTTAAGAACGTGGGGTGAGGTACCGTCCTGCCCTTTGGCACTGGTTAGACAACGGGGAACTCCAGCCACATCCCCATGCATTTGTTTGGAGTAGGGTTTATGTAATACAACTCCAACCCCATGCCGACCACCTCTAGACACGGTACCGGCCCTCCTGGTGCAACAGCCTCTTGATGTCTGATGAGGAGGTTTGTCTGAGCAGCCCCCAGTAGTACCTGAATCACCACCTGCCACATGAATGGGGCCAGAAGGAAAATTCAACATCGGAATTCGATTCCACTTTCTCAAGTTAACTGGAAAATTCCATGGAAGAAAAATAAAAGGAAAGAGTGAGTCAACCAATTCTGAGAAAGTTAATCTCTGTTTTCATTTTTTTTAAAGGTATATATTCTGGCTGTAGAAAATTAAGAAAAATTGTTCTTTGGAATTATTCCAAATTTAAATTCTTAAAAAATTACATTAGAGTTTTATTGGATTTGTTTTACATTAGGGTAAATTTAGAAGACGATTTTAAAGATATCTTGTCTTTGTTGATCCCGGGACACAATAGAGCTCCACATTGACTAGCTTCTTCTTTCATGTATTAATTATTTTCTTCATACAGACCCTCTTCCACCTTCTATGAAGGTAGTCCATAGGTATTTTGTGGAGCTTTTTTGTGTGTGTGGTTAGAATGAAGAGAATGTTTTTCATTCTGTCTTCTAACTGGCAATATATAGAAGTTCTTAATTCATAGGTTGCAATTTTGTACTTTTATATTAACAATGAATCTTTATGTATAATAGAAAATATGATGAGAAATGAAGAAAATAAAAGTCATTTACAATCCAGCCAAATCACTTGTGGATTTTGAGTTATGCCATTCTATACTTGTATTTATACAAAAATGAGACTACATACTATATATTGCATTCTAACCCAGTTTTTCTCTTGACAATTTATTAGCCACATAAGCAAGTCATTGGTTGTGCTGCACCTAACACTGCACCTCTCCTGAACCAAGAAGGGGCGTTGGCCTCTGGCAGAGGCTTCAGGGGCCTTTGCTTCCCTCTGGTTTTTGGCACCCCTCGAGGTGAGAACTGACAATGTAGACTCGACTGGCTCACGGGTGGGTTAGCCTGCCGCCTCCTCCTCTCTTTCCTTTCCAGTGGCCAGTGTGAGGTGGCAGGGACAATTCCCTGGGCAGAAACAGCTGTCCAGACCCCTGAACCCTGTTGTCCTGTGTGGGCCCAGCCAGGCCTGGCCGGGACAGACACCCATTGGGGTCCACAAGTTTCCTCGATTACTGGTTCCTTCTTCTAGTGCTTGAGAGCAGCAGAGTCAGCTCCCCACAGACTGAAATTGAAGCCTTGGCTTTGGTGGGGTGAGAACAGGAAGCATCAGGGTGGAGAGGCAGAGCAGGCCTCTGGCTCCCCTGGGCTGAGGACACCTTGTCTGTGCAGCTCACCTGAGTGTGCACATCCCAGGCGGGACCCGCGTGCCCTGGAGAGTCTGTGCCTCACAGGGATGCAGCTGTGGTCTGAGTCCTCTGGCCATAATACTGTTAGATGCCCAACCAACATCAAATTTTATATACGGGAACACCTCGTTTGAAAATAATGACATTTCTGTGTGCTTCTTTTCAGAAGCCGGGGCTTTTATTTGTTTTGCATCTGTCCCATTGGCAGGACACTCTAGGACAAGGTGAAATAATCAGGATGACAGAGTGCCTGTGCCTCTGCCCGTGACAAGGTGAAATAATCAGGACGACAGAGTGCCTGTGCCTGTGACAAGGTGAAATAATCAGGACGACAGGGTGCCTGTGCCTGTGACAAGGTGAAATAATCAGGACGACAGGGTGCCTGTGCCTCTGTCCGTGACAAGGTGAAATAATCAGGACGACAGGGTGCCTGTGCCTCTGCCCGTGACAAGGTGAAATAATCAGGACGACAGGGTGCCTGTGCCTCTGCCTGTGCCCGTGGCAGGGTGTTCTTCAGGCTTCCATCACGTCTGCTGTTGGCTGGGTGTGGCAAAGAGGTGACTGTATTGGGACAATTTTCTTCTTTCTCTAGATAACTAACAGTGTTTATCAGGGATGAGAGTTGGGTTAATGAAATCTTTTTTTGATTGAGACAATCCTGTGATTTTTCTCCATAGACCTGCTAGTATGATGCTAGAAGAAAACACTGTCTCACAATGTACCATAAAATTACCATAAATTTTTATATTGTATCATAAAAGTACCTCATAGTTCCACATCACAACCAACTCGTTCATGGAGTGATACTCTTTTAACACCCTAAGGATTCAACTTGTTAATAGTATTTTTAGTAATTTTGCATCTATACCCACAAATAAAATCGGGCTATAATTTTTGTGTTATATTAGGTTCTTGCATAAAAATTGCACTATTCTAGAAATCATTGCAAAACCCCTGTCTTCTCTGTGACTGGGGATACTTTATACTGTAGGGGAATTTTCTGTGCTTCAAAATTTTAATAGAACTCACTAGTAAAGCAATATAGAGAAGATTTACTGGAATTAAATAATTGTTTATAAAGATTAGAAAGATAATTTTAATTGGGGAAGTAAAATATCTCCTTTTAACGAATGCAAACAACACAAAAGTGGGTGAAGTGGAAACTGCGAGTCCCAAATTCACCCTACAAAGGCAGCTTCCATATTTTAAACCCCATTGAGAAGGAAAGATTCTGCTAATTCTCTTTTTATTATTTGCAGTTTTAATTTTGTACCTACTAAAATACTTTTTGGCACTTACTTTAATTCTGTGTATAATGTGCATTTGAGTTACTAGTGTTCTTTGACTTTGACCCAAGAGACTTCCTTTAGTATTTCTTATGACAGGCTTGTGAATTCTCTCGGTGTTGTTTATCCAAGAATGTCTTAATTTCTCTTTCTTTTTGACATTTGATCTTAGCCAAAAGGCTGACATATTTTAAATTTTAATTAATAAATTAATGGGGGAGGGTACCAGAAAACCTGCTAGACAAATTCTAAAGAGCTGTAATACTTCTCTCTTTTTGGAAGAATGTTTTCTGGATATAGAATTCTTGGTTAGCAGTGTTTTTCTTCAGTGCCCTGACTGTGTCATCTCACTGCCTGCTGGTCCCATGGCTTCTGGTCAACAAGTGCTGTTATTTTATCAAGGGCTGATTTACCTGACGACTCATTTGGTTTCGGCGGAACAGGTTCCTGCTATTTTATCCAGGGCTGATTTACCTGATGACTCATTTCGGTTTCGGGTGAACAGGCGCTGCTATTTTATCAAGGTCTGATTTACCTGACAACTCATTTTGGTTTTGGGTGAACAGGTTCCTGCTGTTTTATCAAGGGCTGATTTACCTGACGACTCATTTCAGTTTTGGGTGAACAGGTTCCTGCTATTTTATCGAGGGCTGATTTACCTGACGACTCATCTCACTCTTGCTGCTTCCAGGACTCCCAGTTTCCCTTTGATTGTTTGACTACAGTGTGTGCAGGTATGGCTCTCCTTTCATTTATTCTATTTTGAGAATAAATGAATAAATGACAATAAATGAATATTCATTTATTAAGCTTTTGGATATGTAGATGGATCTTTTTCATCAAATTTGGGGAATTTACACCCATTATTTCTTCAAATAGTATTTTTGTCCCCTTATTTTCTCTCTTTCTGTGATTCCCATTGTACCTGTTAGATACCCTTGATGATGTCCCAAAGGTCTCTGAGGCTCCATTCATTTTTCAACACTTTAGCTGGTGTTCACATTGCAGTTCTGGAGGAACAGATTTTCAGAGCTTCTTATCCTGCCATTCTAGAAGTGCTTCTCTTGTCTATCCTATTTATCAGGAAAATGAGAGCTTTCCAAGAAACTTCCAGAAAATCTGAGATTTTTTAAATTCTTGGTTAGAATGTCACCACTCCTCTGTGCAAGAGGGGCTGGAAAGTGGAAAGACCTTTTAAGTGAATGTGTCAAAATATTAAGGGAATTAGGAATGGGATTGATTACTAATCAATAGTGTGTACCATACTATGGTTGTAAGTATTCTGTGTATTCTTCCAAACTTCAAAAACAATTTATATAAACATACACACACATACTACATTTTGTATTTCACAATTTGTCTATTTTGAGTTGATGAACAATTCAAATGGTTTCCCCAACTATTTATGTTACAAAAGGTGCCACAATGGTGCCCTGTAGATGTATCTTTGTTCAGACATGCACCTATCTCTGTAAGTCAGTTTTGTGGGAGTGGGACGGTTAGGTCACTGGATATGTGGATTTACAATGTTAATAGGTATATAAAACTGCTTCCTCAAAAGGTTGAAACACTTAAAACCCCCCACAGTAGGATGGGAGAGCCAATTTCTACACATCTGCTCCAACACTAGATACTGCCAGTCACCGATAACTGAAAATTCATATGTCATTACTTTAATTTGCATTTCTCTGGTCAATAAAGAAGTAGAGCATCTTTTCATCTACTGATTATTTATTTGAATTTCTTTTTTAATGAAACAATTCCTTCCCTTTTCATATTGGGATTTTACATATTTCCTCTCAGATTTTAAGGACTCTTTGTCTATCAAATAAATAGTAGTTGTTTTCATGTTTGATGGTTTGGAAGTTCCTCCCAGTCTCTTGTTTGATTTCCCATGTAGAAAATTAGATTTTTATACAGTTAAACTTTTCAGACTTTTCCTTTATGGCCTTTGGAATTTAGACAATGTTTTCTAAAAGACCTTCCCCATCAATTATTTTTAATTTAAAAGTCACCATTATGGCCGAGCACGGTGGCTCACGCCTGTAATCCCAGCACTTTGGGATGCCAAGGCGGGCGGATCATGAGGTCAGGAGATCGAGACTATCCTGGCTAACACGGTGAAACCCCCTCTCTACTAAAAGTACAAAAAAGTGGCGGGCGCCTGTAGTCCCAGCTACTCGGGAGGCTGAGGCAGGAGAATGGCGTGAACCCGGGAGGCAGAGCTTGCAGTGAGCCAAGATCTCACCACTGCAGTACAGCCTGGGTGACAGAGCGAGACTCCCGTCTCAAAAAAAAA
Organism: Homo sapiens; assembly: GCF_000001405.40. NCBI lineage: Eukaryota > Metazoa > Chordata > Mammalia > Primates > Hominidae > Homo > Homo sapiens. The sequence goes on along the minus strand of NC_000010.11, from coordinate 133,522,044 downwards.
AAAAAGTCGCCTTTAGAAAAGATCTATGTGGTCTTGTCATTTCTAGGTAAGGTGCCTTGATTTCTCTGACTAGAATCGTGTTTTATTACATTATCTTTTATTTTAAAAATCTACTCAGATATGTTAATATGTATTAAAATTGGCAATTAATCTTCTAATTGTATCTTTTACTGTTATATAAACATCTTTTTGACTCCCCTGATAACTGTTGCTACATGTGTTTGCTTTTCGTAGTATTTCCCTGGTCTATCTCTGCTCATCATAATATTTAAAGTATCTTTATGTTATTTTTGTTCTTGATAGGTGTCCTGTAAACATTCTATAGCTTTGACATAAACGGAAAGTTTTTCCTTTTTATAGAATTAAACGGTCATATTTATCACGATTACTAAATTTGGCTGTTACGATGTGAATGTATGTGTGTGTGTATGCGTGTGTATGTGTGTGCATGTGTGTGTGTGCATGTGTGTATGTATGTATATGTATGTGTGTATGTGTGTTTCCTTTCCCTATGTTCGGATTGATCATTTTTTGTTTGTTCTTTTTGCTTGATGATTTGGACTCCTGTTGTTATTCTACCGGTGGTTACCCTTGAATCTGAAAACACATATAGACCTATAGTTTTTTTATTCACTTGAATAATTTGTCAATATCTTCTGATCTAAACAAGAAGGGACCTTAGCATACTGTTCTTCTCTACTTCTCTTGCAATATACACTCTACCCCAAATCTCAGGAATTTTAGTTTTAGAATATTAGTTTTAAATTTGTTCAAATATACTTCTGTTTTATAAATTAATTTTTATCTAAGGCATTCACATTTTCAGCCACCTATCGAGTGATTATTTGCCCTCAAATATATGCTGTACCAGTCCCTTCGCCTGTTTCTTCTATATCATATCTTGTCTTCCATGGATTCCTGCTCCTAGACACACAACATCTTCCACATAAAATCAGGACCCAATTTTATGTGGAGAGGGTGGGCTGCACGAGGAGGTACACTTGGAATGCCCACCTCCCTGGGCTACTTGACCTCCCTCCATAGCCAACTTCTCTTCAGTGGCAGATCACGTGGCAAAAACATGTTGTCAGACTGACAGCAAACTTGCCTCTCCTCCCTTCACACTCACAAGTAGAAAGCATAAAACATCTCAGAAGTGCTCTAGGAGGATAATCAGTAGCCATAAACCCTTGGACCACAGAGCTACGAGGCAGAAGAATATTACTCTTCTGGGCACCCAAAAGGCTCTGGATAAGAAGGGAGGAGAGTACGGATGGGGCTGAAAACATGCTCAGAATGGCTGATTTGAGGGCTTTCCCCTGGAAACTTCCTCTTGTTTTGTATTGTCAAAAGGTTGAGAACCTTAAAACAGACATTTGTGTGGGCAACTATCTGATGTTCGATGCCATACTTCACTGGAAATAACGACCTTGACAAAAGCCAAACATCTGTTCCAAGTAAAACAAAAGCAGAGAACACACAACCTCGCCGCGTCCAAAGGGCAAGCCACGCTGGTGCAGGAACGAAGCCTCCCGCCTCAGAGGGCGCGGGGCTCTGTGCTGTGTCCTGTCTCCTGTCAGCCGGCTCTGCCCGCACGCTGAGCTGCGGTTATGGCTCCGGGAGCAAACAACCCGGAAGTGGCAGCGCGGCTGGGCGGAGGGCGCCCTCCTGGTTCCGCTGGGGCTGCGGCTCCCTGAGGCCCCGAGGGGACCCCGCTCACCCGGGCCCCGCCCACCAGAGGGCGCCAGAGAGAAGCCACCGGGGAGGCGCCTGCGCTGTTTCCCTGAGCCTCCTGGTACCCCGTTTGAGACACAGGAAAAAACGCGTGAAAGGCTTCTGTAAATTATCAAGTGTGGTGACGTATGAACCCCAGGCAGCCCACTCCCAACCCCAAACAACATCTCATTCAAGCTGCGTCTACCAGAAGCTCGCACATCCAACTGCCTCCCTCCAGAGGTAGCCGCTGTCCCGAATTTTGCTTTGAATGTTCCCTGTGATTTTCTTTTTTATACTGTGTAATTGGATTTTTAAAGGGATTTCATAACATTTATATTCCCGGAGGCTTGAATTTTTTTGCTCATCGTTTTTCGTTACCACGTAGTGAGGTGTTGCTGCAGTTCCTCGACTTTGTGACTCCACAGATACGAATATGTGGCACTTTGTTTAACCACTGTCCTGTCCGATTATTCCCAAGGTTTTGCTACTGCAGACTAGGAACATTTTTGAACATGATTCCTGGAGCACTGTGTAAGAATATCTCTAGGCCAAGTGTATACCTGGGCAACCTAATATACATGGAACCAGATTGTTTTCCAAGTATTTGAACCATTTACCTGCGTCCAGTGGTGTCTAAGTGTTCCTGTTATTCCCAACAGTATGTACTAATAAATTTCTTAATATTTTCCGATTTAGTCAATATAAAATGATATTTAACTGTGGTCCCATTTTGCATTTCCCTGATTATAAAGTAGAGAAACTTTCTCTCCCTATCTCTGTCTTGTCAAAATTATACATACTTTTCTCTGAAATGCCTACTCAAGTATTTTATGTATTTTGCTCTCCTCTTCCCTTGGGGTTTTGGTCTCTCATTGTTTGCAGGAATGCTTTATTCTGATCCGTCCTCAGTTCTATGTGTTGCAATAATTTTTTCCATTCTTTAGGTTACTTTTCTATACTATTTATGGCATTCTTTTTATCAACAGATGTTCTCAAGTTATCAGTCTTGCATTTTTGGATTAGCACTTTCTGAGCTTAAAAAAATCCCTTCTTCCAGCCTGGGTGTTGGAGTGAGACCATGTCTCAAAAAGAAAAATCCTTTCCTAGCCAGAAAGATGATAAAGATAACTGCTTATTTATAAGGTTTTACTGTTCCCATTTATGCCCTAAATCTATGTAGAATTTATTTTTGTACATAGTAAGGACTAAGGAAGTTTGTTTTCCCATATAGATATGAATTGTCCCAGGATCCTGTCTCTGATCCCCAAATCATCTTCCAAAACAAGACAAAGTTCTTACACAGGGAATGCATCAGAGGCCTGTCTCTCCCTGGTCCAATGCCATAGCATTTTAATTATTATAGCTTTATAGTAGTATTGATATCAAATAGTGCAAGTCCTGTGGTGATTCACTCAGGATGGTGGCAGAAATATTAAAGGGACATATTAGGGAAAGTTATAGGGAATAGTCACAAACCTTTTTGGAAGGCTGAAAGGTTACATAGCTTGTAATAATTGAACAGGCTGAAGGCAGCGGGTTCTTACCTTAGAGCATTAGGTCATAGGGTAAATACTAGGGACAATAGAGGCTTCCCCAGTTAAGTCTGTTTACCCTACCTCCATTAACTAACCTTTGAGCCAGATGGCCCTCTTGGTGCGGAGGAGGTTGACCAGGGAAATTGCCCCCTAATGGTATTTAAACCGTGGTACCTGAGCTTTAATCATTCATAGAACTACCGTCTTAACCATGTTAATTATCCACAAGTGTGTTGACTCAGAGCTTCTGTTGTTAAGCGTATACTAAATAAATGCCTGAAGTGCAAGCTGCTCAGAGCCAGCCACAGTGACAAACCTCTCTTGGTGTGTAGGCTGTCGGACACCGAGCTGGACTGGCAAAGCAGAATATCTCTGTGTCAGTGTACGTTGTATTCATCCATCGTTTGGGTCAGGGTCTGCAGGCACACCCCTGCAGCTAATGCCCTCTTGTGAGGAGCAATACCTCGAGTCCCACCACCGTTTTTTATTTCAAGAGTGCCTTGCATACAAATTTTAAGACTCAGTTAGTTAAATTTCCTCAAAAAGTCTTTTGAGATTTTGATTAGAATCACATAAACTCTGTGAATTAAATATCTTTAAAATACTGATTTTTCCTATCCATGATGTGGAATCTGTTTCCATTTATTTAGGCCATTTTAAAATGTTTTCAATAAATTTTATAATTTTCCGCATGTAAATTGTACACATTTTTGTTAACCTTACTCTTAGTTAACGTTGAGTTTTCTAAGCAGAGTTCTTGATAAATTATGTTTTCCAACTATTTATTGCTAGTGTATAGCAATACAAATGATTTTTGCTTATTGATCCTAGAGGCAGCCCCCTTCCTAAACTCTCTTATTTCCAATAATTTCTGTGCAGATTCTTTTGTGGTTTCTCAGTAGACCATCCTGTCGTCTGTGACCAATGAGAGTTTTGCTTTATATCTTTCAATCCTTATTCCTGTAATTTCTTTTTCTTGTCTTATTGCACAAACAGATCCTCAGTACACTGTTGCCTTGATTTTTATTTTAATGGGAAACATCTCAGAAGTTCTCTAAGAGGACGCTCAGTAGCCATTGCCCCTTTATGAATGATGTTTATTGTAAGGTTTTGATAGGTATACTTTTTGAGTTTAAGGAAATTACCTTTTATTTCTAGTCTACTAAGAATTTTTAAGTTAATAATAGATGTTGAATTGTATTAAATGCTTCTTTTGAAATGTTCAGATGATTTTCCCCTTTAATTTGTGAAAGTGGTGAATAAATGTATGGAATAAACACAGTTTGGTCCTGACAGTTTGTCTTTTTAATGTATTGACGGATTTGCACCCAGAGGAAGGGCTGGCTGGCAGCTGCATTTGGTTTACTCACAGGTTGTTTTGGATTTTTGCATCTATGTTCAGTATGAGGCTGGCCCATAGTTTTCTCTTCTGTCTTTCTCTGTGTTGAATATCAAAATTATCCAGGCTCCAAAGAATGATTTGATGACCATTCATTCATATTTGATCCTTTTGAAGAGTTTATGTAAGATTGAAATGATCTAACAGCTTTAGAAGAACTCACTTTTGAAACCATATGGTATTTTTACTTGTGAAAACATTTAGAATTAATAATTCAATGTATTTAAGAGTAGCATAACTGGTCAGGCTCTACACTTCTTGAATTGATTACGAAAACTACATTTTTTCTAGGAATTGTGATTTCTTGTAAGCTGTCAAATTTATTCACATAAATTTGTTTTAGTATTGTCTTATGTTTACAGTCATGGTTGTATTTATCATTATGTTCCTTTGACATCCCAAACATTGTTTATTTGTGCTTTTTTGTGCTTAAGTAGTCTCAGAAGCAGTTTCTCTACTTTATTAATCTTTTTCAAATAGCAAGCCTTGGTTGTGTTCCTCTCTATTTCCTCATTATTTTGTATTTCATGATTTCTGCCCTTCTTTGGGTCCAGTATGCTGCTTAGTTTCAGTTGGACATTTGGCTTATTAATTTTCAGTCCGTCTTTCTTAGTACAAGGACTTATGATTATATATTTACCTGTAAGATCTTCTGTTACTGCTTCCCCAAGTGCTGATATTTAACGGTTCCATTATTCACTGAGCTCTGTGTGCTTTCTTAATCTCCATCCCTTGATTCATGATTCATGTGCAAATGGGGTATTTTTCAAAATATATAGAAATTATTTTTTAATTAGAGAAAATTTCAAATGTGAAAAAACAGTGAGAGAAAGATAAAGCACCCCCACATAGCTAACACTCAAATTCAACAATGGTCAAAATGCAGTTAATTTTGTTGCATCTTTAGAGTTAAGACCTTACTCTCTCTAATCTCTCTCAAACTACTTACAATGCCAATACCACAGCTAAAAATAAAATAATTTTATGAAGATTGTTAGTTTATACTTTTACTGATGTCTAATTTAATTCCATTGTTGTCAGAGAATGTGGTGTGTATATAAGTTTTGTACAGTTTACTGAACTTACTGTATGGCCTAGCACAGTGCTCCCTAGAGTGTGGTATGCAGACCATCGGTGACGAGGCTGTACAGAAATTGAGAGCAGGCAACTGTTCAAACTGTGTTCAAATACGGCAAACACAGAGCTGTAAACAATCCAGCTGTTTCTAGACCTCATTTTCATTTTCTCTACATTTCTTTTCTGTTCATAAATCTTCCACCACGTGGCTCCACTGCAGTCTCTCTGAGCCTATTCTGGCCTAATTAAACTCTGTTAAATTTAATTTGTCTAATAAAGCTTTTCCTTTAAATATAGGATTGGAAGAAATATTGGCCACAAAGGAAAATTCACATTGGCAGAAGTCATAATGAGTTAAAAATAATGGATATGAACCCCCCACAAAAAAACTAAGGAACCAAATCTTCATTGGATAATTTAAATGGAGAAACTAATCTAGAATAAAACCATTAATGTAAAATTAAAGTGCAAAAAAGTCAGACAGTTCAACTACTCTGTGTAAAAACGTGATACGATATTAAATAACTTAAGAGAATTTAAAGAAAAGTCATGAATGTTGGCATAATTCAGTGTTAAAGTTGCATACGTATGTCCAAATGTCACCTGAATTAAAACATCCTTACAATCAAAGTTCAGGATAGAAACTCTCGGGCTCAAAGGTCTCCTGCCTTCCCTACTTTTATCTTGTTAATTTTTTTTTAAAAAAAGAAAAACCAGGTGTTGTGTGTGTGTGTGTTTGAGACACAGTCTCCCTCTATTGCCCAGGCTGGAGTGCAGAGGTGAGATCTTGGCTCACTGCAGCCTCAATCTCCTAGGCTCAAGCAATCCTCCCACCTCAGCCTCCCAAGTAGCTGGGACTACAGGTGCGTGCCACCAAGCCTGGTTAATTTTTTTTTTTTTTAGAGACAGGGTCTCACTATGTAGCCCAGGCTGGTCTGGAACTCCTGGCCTCAAGCGATATTCCCACCTTGGTCTCCCAAAGCACTGGGAAAGTTTAATTTTTAATGAAGTATGACGTATATGTCAAGGTTTATTTGTTTTGCATGTGGACACTCGATTTTCCCAGCACTGTTTGTTGAAAAGACTACCCTTTGTCCATCAAGTTGCTACTGCACCTATGTAAAAACAGGTATATTTGTCTGGGTCTATTTCTGGGCTGTCTATCCTGACCCATTAACTTGTCTTTGTCTTTCACCAAAATCATACTCTTTTTTACTGTACCTCAAGCTGAAGGACTCTTGCTACCCAGTTTACATCTTTAAATTGGGCAGCGGGAATAAATTAGGTAACGAGAGTCCTACAACTTTGTTCTTTTTCATAGTTGTTTTGACCATTCTAGTTCCTTTGCCTTTCTGCATAGATTTTAGAATTATTTGATCAATATCTGATTGCTAAGATATTGATTAGAATAGCATTGAATTTATAGATAAAACTGGGGACAATTGATGCACTAACAAGAATCTTTTCCAACCCATGAACATGACATATCCTGCATATATTTTATTAAATTAATATCTAAGTGCTTCATATGTTGCTATTGTAAATGTTTTTTAAACATTTAATTTTATTTAAAAATTCTAGTTTCCTATTTAGTTATTCATTGCTGGTACATAGGAATACAATTGCCTTTTGTACATTGACTTTATATTCTAGTCTTGCTAAACCCATTTATTAGTTTCCAGTAGCTTTTGGGGGTAAATATGTAGGGATTTCCATATAGATAATTATATAACCTATGAATGAAAACAGATTTATTTCTTCTTCTCCAATCTGCCTGCCTTTTATTTCTTTTTCTTGACTTACTGCACAGTATTGAATAGGAGTGGAGATATGGTTTGGCTGTGTCCCCACCCAACTCTCTCCTTGAATTGTAATAATCCCCACATGTCAAGGGCAGGGCCAGGTGGAGATCACTGAATCATGGGGCAGTTTCCCCCAGACTGTTCTCACAGTAGTGAATAAATCTCACGAGATCTGATGGTTTTACAGATGGGAGTTCCCCTGCACAAGCTCTCTTACCTACCACCATGTGAGATGTGACTTTGCTCCTCCATCGCCTTCCACCATGACCATGAGGCTTCCGCAGCCATGTGAAACTGTGAGTCCATTAAACCTCTTTCCTTTATAAATTAGCCAGTGTCAGGTATGTCTTTATTAGCAGCGTGAGAGCACACTAATACAAGTGGTGCGAGAGGAACTGTTGACATTTTTTCCAGTCTTGGGGGAAAGCATTTACCCACTTATCTTCAAGTATGATGTTAGCCGTAAGTTTTTGTAGTTGCCCTTTGTTAAGGTAGGGACATTCTTTTCTATTCCTAGAATGCTGTGAATTTTTAGTGGGAATGGAGGATGAATTTTATTGTTTTTACAGTATTTTTTGAAAAGACAATATAATTTTTCTTATTCAGCCTGTTAATACAGAAAATTACATTAATTTTCCCATTTATTATTTTTTAAAATGTATTGAGGTGAAATTCATTTAACAGAAAATGGATCGTTTTAAAATGAACAACTCAGTGGCATTTCGTACATACACAATATTGTGCAACCGCCACCTCTGCTTCCAAAACATCCTCATCATTCCAGAATAAAACCTCATACCCATCAAGCAGCTTCTCTCCATTTCTCCCTGCTCCTAGTCCCTGGCAATCACCAGTCTGTGTTCTGTCTTTAGGAATTGACCTATTCTGGCTATTTCATGTAAATGGAGTCATACAGTTTCTATTGCTCTATCTTCAAGTTAGTCTTTCCTGAGCTGTGCCAGTTTCCTGGTGAGCCTTTTGAAGGCATTTTTCTTCTCTAGTGCTGTGGTTTAAAATTTCTATTGTTCCCATGACGTTCATGTTTATAGTTTCCAGCTCTCTGCTAAAATGACCTACCTGATCTTGCGTATGGTCTGTCTTTTTCATTAGGACCATTAGCATATTACTGAGTTGTTTTAAATTCCCTTTCTGATAGTTCCACCACCTGTGTCATATCCGAGTCTAGCAGTAATGATTATTTTATGTCTTCTGTTTTTCCTTGCTTTTTTGCATACTGGACATCTTGTGTAAGACAGTAGATACTAAGGTCAAAAGTGTTTTATGCTTTGAGAAGAGCACACATTTTATTTTGCTAGTTCTTTATGTGTGGGGGCTTGTGCTCATCTTAATGGGGGTTAGGCTGAGTCGCAAGTTTGTTGTTTCTGTGTGAACATGTACCAGCAGCTCCTGATTCCCCTAGACATACTTCGAGTTTGTCTGCATGCATCGCTTTCGCTCTCTCTTTGCTCCTGGGAGAGAGGCTCTCTCTTGCAGCTCCACCAGCTCTATTCCACTGATATTTTTATATGATGCTTGTCAGTGAGATTATGGAGTGTGGAGGAGGACAGCATTCCCTGAGGTTCTAATTTAGCCTCAGTCTTCGGCAGACCCTGTCTTTCCAGCCCTTCCAAGCTCCAGGAATGCTGTGGGATCGCCTGTAATTTTCAGAGGCAGAAGTTCCTCCTTGATTGTGTCCCTCCACAGAGCACTAGATAAGGAGAGAATCAGTAACTTCCACTTATGCAACATCTTTTAAAGTAATTTTCTAGCATCTATTTCTGAGATTTTAAGGACAATCATGGCATGGAGACATCCTATAATACTCCAGTGGCATCTTGAAATTGCCAAGACTGTGAGAAGCATTTCAGAAACCTGGGGAATTATTTTCTGGATTTAAATCATGTGGAAGTTGTGGTGCTTTTAATATATTTATCTCATTTGGATGTTTCATATGCAGAAGATATGTCAGTTGTATTCATAGCCTAGGAAATAGAGTCCTGTCTAACACTCCATAGTTTGTATTTTTTAAACTTAAAACTCTATTTACAAGGACAATCTTCTGTGTCGTATATTTTGTAGGTTAATATATGCCCAGAAACAACTCCCACAAAGCCCAGACTCCTCAAGTGCATGCCAGGGAATAACCTTTGTATGAAATCGAATGATAATATGTTGCAAGAGTTAGATCAATTTGCAAAAGAGTCCGTTAAATGATGATGACAGCACAATGTGAAAAGCTGGCAATAAGGCACTTCCAATAATAGATATGAGGACATCACCAGTGTACATCAGTTTCAAAAGTTCTTACTTTTTTCAGTAATCTGATTTCAATTTCTAATTAATGAAGATTGGGGAAGTTACCTTTTAACTATTTCTAACTTTGTTGACTTAAGATCAAAGAATGTGGACTGTAAAGTGTTTACTTTTTATAATTTGATAAGGTTTACTTTGTTCCCAAGTACAAAATTGATTTTTGTAATTGGGACATGAACACACAAACAAAACGTTATCTTCTGTTTAAAAAGTAAGTTTAATGATTACATTATTCAGTTTTTTCCATATTTGCTTCTTGTACTAAATTTGTCCAATTCTGAAACTGTGTTTTGAAGGTTGCCACTGTCATAGAACTATGGTCTAGTTCTTTTTTTATTTCTAGTAGATCTCAGTTCAAATATTTAGTTCCATGTTTTTGGTAAATAGAGATTTGTGGCTGTTACATCTTCTTCATAAATTATGCCTTTTATAATTGTCTACTACCTCTCTGTGTCCTGTTTAGTGCATTTATCTATAAATACTGCAGCTGTTGTAATCTCAATACTATCAAATACATAAGGAAAAGTATGCTAAGTGTATAGCCTGATGGGTTATCACAACATGAGTGTGGCCATGCCGAAGGGCTTTCAGAGTAGAAACATCACCCGCCCTCGGAAAAACATCACTGGCTGTCACCAACTCCTCCCCTAGTCCTAGGGGAGTTTATCCTACCTTTTAATACCACAGAATAGTCCTGGCCACTTTTAGACTTTATGTAACATTCGCTGAATCACACAGTATGCATTCTTTGTGTCTTAATTCTTTTACTTAGCTTCATGTTTGTGTGATTCACTCATGTTTGTGAACTTAACTTCATGTTTGTGTTATTTGTAGAAGTAGTTCATTCTTTTTCACTGCTATATATTATTCCACTCTGTGAGTATAGCATGATGCATCAATTATACCCCAAACAATACTGTTTTTTCTACTTTTTCACTATGCAAATAATGCTGTCATGAAATTTCAGTGCCTGCCTTTTAATGCACCTGCGTTGCTTACCTCTGTTGTTTATATATCTAAAAGTGAAATTGCTGTAACGTAAGGTAAGCACAAGTCATAAGTCAAGCTTCTATGCATGTGTGAGTCTGCACTTTGTGTGGCTCCATTGGTTTATTTGTCCCTCCTTGCACCAATCCCACACTGTCTTATTTAGAACATTTTAAAAATTACTCTTGATATCTGATAGTGTAACTCTTCCAACTTTGTTCCTCTCCTAGGGGATATTCTTGGCCCTTTGCATTTCTACCTACATTTTAAAGTCATCTTGTCCATTTCTACCAAAAACTACTGAAATGTCTGGAATCGCACTCAATCTATAGATCAATTTGTGGAGAACGGATATGTTGCAACAATGACTGCTCTAATTCATAAACATGGTATCAGTTATTTCTGTGCAAGGAAACTCCCAGAACTCTCTCCTAATCCAGACTAGGCTGGGATGAGTGGCCTGTTGCAGGTGGGGTGGGTGGAGTGGTCCTGCCTTCCTGAAGGTCTTGTGTGGCTCTGCTTCACATCTCTCATGCTTTTTGGAACAGTTGAGGAGCTGACACATGTGTCCTCATGACCGTGGCAGGAGCACCTTCTCAGACACCTCCTTGCATTGGTTGCTCACTGTTTTAATCATGCACTGTTGGGTCTGACATGAATTTGGAGAAATATGTGACCTACCAAAGGCCTCGAAAGGCATATCTGGGGTCTCTGCATTCTCTTCATTTGTTGCAGACAAGTTGTTCAAAGCTAAGATTCAGGATGTGATGGTGCTCATGGCAATTTCCCTGCTGCACTAATTTTGGAATTTTCTTTTTTGTTCCATTGTTATTCTTGGCTAGTTTCAAAAGAGGAGAGTATAATAAAAATGACACGCATCTACTATCATTAAACAGAAGTCTCCATACTACTTTCCGTTCTTTTATTTTTCAAAATCATCATATGTAAAATAGACTTCTTTTCCTTTGGTGTACAGATCTATGAAATATAATGCTATTATATGTATTATATATATTATATTTATAATATAGAGTATATTTATTATATTTATTGTAGTATATATTATATTTTATGTAACTCCCACCATAAACGGGTACAAAACAATTCCCTCAATGCAATTATTTATCAGTTCTAGTAGTTTTGATGTAGTCTTTATGGTTTTCTGTACGTAATATCATGTCATCTGCAAACAGGAACCGTATTATTTCCTCCTTTCCAATCTGGATGCCTTTTATTTCTTGCTCTTGCCTAATTACTCTAGCTAAGACTGACAGTAGTACTACGTTGAATGGAAGTGGTGAGAGTGGGCATCCTTGTCTTGTTCTTGATCTTAGATGGTTTGACGCTTGTCTATAGTGATATGCTTTGACTATTTTCTTCTTATCTTTTGTGTATCTACTACAGATTTTTGCTTTGTGGTTACTTGAGGCTTGCAGAAAACATCTTATGTTTATAACCAGCTATTTTTAAGCTGATAAAAGCTTAATTTTGATTGCATAAATAAACTCTACATTTCTACTCCCCCACCTCATATTTTATGCTTTTGATGTCACAATTTATATCATTTCATCATTTGTATCTCTCAACAGATTATTGTAGCTATGGTTGTTTTTAATTGCTTTATCTTTTAACCTTTGTACTAGAGATAGAATTGTTTTACAGAAGACCATTGCCTGATTACTAGTTTGAATCTGACAATGTACTTACTTTTACCAGTAAGTTTTTTATTTTTGTATTTTTATCCTATCAATTAGTATCCTTTTAATCCAGCTTGAAGAATTCCTAGAATTTCTTGTAAGGCACATCTAATGGTGATATCCTTCCTCGACTTTTGTTTGTTTGAGAAAGTCTTATTCTTGCCTTCATTTTTGAAAGATAGTATTACTAGGTATGGTATTCTTGGGCAGTAATTTTTTTTTCTTTTAGGATTTTGAATATATCATCCAGCTCCTTCCTGGCCTATAAAGTTTCTGGAAAAAGAAAATCCATGGATATCTTACACGGTGGGCATCCCTTTTGTGTAACTATTTGCTGTCCCTTGTTGCTTTCAAAATTCTCTCTTTGTCTAAATTTTTAACAATTTGATTATAATATGTCTCAAATGTGTGTCTCTGGATTTTTCCTATTTGGTGTCATCTGAGTTTCCTGAATCTTGATTTCAATTTATTTCCCTAAGCTTGGGAGGTTTTTCCCCATCATTTCTTTGAATATGTTTTGTGTCCCTTTCTCCCTCTCTTCCTCCTGGTCTACCAATTCTGAATATATTGTTCTGCTTGTTGAAGTCCTGTAAGCTATCTTTTTCATTCTTTTTACTTCTAGGATTGGATTATTTCCAATGACATGTCTTTAATCTCACTGGTTCTCTCTTTCACTTAATCTGGTCTGCTGTTGAACACCTCTACTGAATTTTTCAGTTCAGTTATTATATTCTTCAGTTTTATAATTTCTATTGGCCGCTTTTGAAATACTTTCTATCTCTTTTTTGAAATTATTTGTTTATGCATTTTTCTCCTGACCTTAGTGAACATCTTTATGACCATTATTTTGAATTCCTCATTGGGTAGATCATACATCTCCACTTCACTAGGGTTGGTTTCTGCAGATTTATCTTGATCTTTTATTTGGAACCCATTTCCCTGTTTTTCTATTTCCTTTGTTTCTCTGTATTAGTGTCCGTGCATTACATAAGACAGCAGCCTCTCCCAGTTCTGTCAGACTGTGAGACTCCCAGTTCTGTCAGTGTAGGAGAAGGCCCTCACCAATTGGTCCAGAGATTCTGAGGTGCCTCTTAAATCCTGGTTTGTCCAAACCACTGTCTCTGATTTTAGTGCCCCCCGACTGCCCACCGTAGAATTTTACAATGTGCCAAGTCCTGTCAGTGCCTTGAGATAGGTAAGATAGAAACTAGATGCAGTTGGAAAGATTGGAGTGTTAAATATATGTTCCAGTTTCTTCTTTGCTCAGGGTGAAGCTAAGAGCAAGAGTTTATCTCCCACTCTCTATGCACTATGTCAGAAGAAGGATCTGTGACAAGTGTCTGCATTTTCATGCAGAATGCACCCTCTGATAGTCACTAGAAGTTGGATTGTTGAATGTACACTTCTTTATTTTCTGTCGTCCACGGAGACTCAGAAATGCAGAGACCCACCAATTCCCAAAGTTAGGTGGTTAAGGAGGCACTCCTCCGGGTGGGAGCTGTAGAAGTTGTGGCACTTGGTGCACAAACTACTTCTAAAAGGAATCTACAGAGCTGGTTTTATCACTGGGGTGAGGTGGAGGGAAAGGCTTGGGAAGTGCCTGAACTCTCATTCAGAATCCTGGAGGTCTATCGTTTGTCGGCCCTGTTGGCTCCCAGATGCAGGCTAGATAGGAGCCTGATCCTTAAGCAGTAACTGGAAAATTGTGCAGACTAACCCCTTCCAGGGAGAAACTGGAAGGCGTGTATTTAACCTCTTGTCTGCATTGGTCCTTGCGGGTGTAACTCCTATAAGTGCTTGCATGCCCATTTTTTTTCTTTCTTTTTTTTTTTTTTTTTTTTTTTGAGACGGAGTCTCACTCTGCCGCCTAGGCTGGAGTGCAGTGGTGCAATCTCGGCTCACTGCAACCTCCGCCTCCTGGGTTCAAATGATTCTCTTGCCTCAGCCTCCCGAGTAGCTGGGATTACAGGCATCCGCCACCACACCCGGCTAATTTTTGTATATTTAGTAGAGACAGGGTTTCACCATGTTGGCAAAGCTGTTCTCGAATTCCTGACCTCAGGTGATCCACCTACCTTGGCCTCCCAAAGTGTTGGGATTGCAGGCGTGAGCCACCGCGCCCAACCTTGCCTGCCCATTTAAAACTACCTCTTTGTACCGTAATCTAGGGAGACTAGCAAATGCCAAGACGCTTTCATTCCCAGAGTTAGACAGTTTAGGATGCAGTCTTTTGGGTGGGAGCTGTAAAAGTTGGGGCAGTCAGTGTGTGGACAAACCTCTTCCAGAAAGAATGGGTAGATCTGGATATATCACAGGTGAACCACAGGAGAGGAGAAGGCTTAAGATGTGCTGAGCTACTGCTTAGCCTCCCGGAGGGCTATACACTAGTCCCCCTTATCCGTGGGTGATACAGTCCAAGACATTCTGCAGATTCCTGCAGCTGTGTATGGCACCAAACCCTATATATACTGTGCTTTGTTTCCTATACATACCTATGATGAAGTTTCATTTATAAATTAGGCACAATAATGAAGGAAACATAATAACTAATTATAAAATAGAACAATTATAACAACATATGGTGATAACAGTTATTTAAAACTTACAAACTGTCTATTTCTGGAATTTTCCGTTTAATATTTTCAGACTGCAGTTGGCCATAGTTAACTGAAACTTTGGAAAGAAAAACCATCAATAACAGAGGAATATTGTAGTTTGTCAGCCCGGTTAACTCCCTAATTCAGGCTAGTTAGAAGCTCTGCTGTTAGCAGAAGTTGGAGGAGTATACCAACAAACTCCTTTTAGGGTTTTGCTACTTTGTTCTGTGGTCTAGGGAGACTTGTGTATGCCTAGTCCCTTCCACTACCAGAGCTAGGTGAATTAAAAGTCAAACCATGGGAACCTTGGAGCTAGGGTCATATACATGTGGTCCATACCCTTCTCTCCTCAGGGAGAAGTTATGTGTTGGGAGTTTTTCCTGGTTTATGGTGCAGTACCCAGGGTGATATTTGTGCCTGCGTGTGCCTCAGCTTTTTCTACCTGCTTGATGTGAATATTTTCTCAGTTGTCTGCTGTGTAAGAGACTCTCAACTTTTTCTGACTTTCTCTCAAAGAAAATTTATCCATGTGTAGGTGTTTATTCCACGTGTCCATGGGTGGAGGGAGAGGTAGAAGTCTCCTGTGCCACCATGTTGCTGATGTCACCTCCCAGTAAAGTTTTCTAAAACAAATTACTTGACCATAAAGCCCAGAACAACAAGAAGTGAATCAAAATAAAACTTAGACAATGGGGTTTTCTAGAAATACAATCATGTCATCTGCAAACAGGGACAATTTGATTTCCTCTTTTCCTAATTGAATACCCTTTATTTCCTTCTCCTGTCTAATTGCCCTGGCCAGAACTTCCAACACTATGTTGAATAGGAGTGGTGAGAGAGGGCATCCCTGTCTTGTGCCAGTTTTCAAAGGGAATGCTTCCAGTTTTTGCCCATTCAGTATGATATTGGCTGTGGGTTTGTCATAGATAGCTCTTATTATTTTGAAATACGTCCCATCAATACCTAATTTATTGAGAGTTTTTAGCATGAAGGGTTGTTGAATTTTGTCAAAGGCTTTTTCTGCATCTATTGAGATAATCATGTGGTTTTTGTCTTTGGCTCTGTTTATATGCTGGATTACATTTATTGATTTGCGTATATTGAACCAGCCTTGCATCCCAGGGATGAAGCCCACTTGATCATGGTGGATAAGCTTTTTGATGTGCTGCTGGATTCGTTTTGCCAGTATTTTATTGAGGGTTTTTGTATCAATGTTCATCAAGGATATTGGTCTAAAATTCTCTTTTTTGGTTGTGTCTCTGCCCGGCTTTGGTATCAGAATGATGCTGGCCTCATAAAATGAGTTAGGGAGGATTCCCTCTTTTTCTATTGATTGGAATAGTTTCAGAAGGAATGGTACCAGTTCCTCCTTGTACCTCTGGTAGAATTCGGCTGTGAATCCATCTAGTCCTGGACTCTTTTTGGTTGGTAAGCTATTGATTATTGCCACAATTTCAGATCCTGTTATTGGTCTATTCAGAGATTCAATTTCTTCCTGGTTTAGTCTTGGGAGAGTGTATGTGTCAAGGAATTTATCCATTTCTTCTAGATTTTCTAGTTAAGCTGATAAGCAACTTCATCAAAGTCTCAGGATACAAAATCAATGTACAAAAATCACAAGCATTCTTATACACCAATAACAGACAAACACAGAGCCAAATCATGAGTGAACTCCCATTCACAATTGCTTCAAAGAGAATAAAATACCTAGGAATCCAACTTACAAGGGATGTGAAGGACCTCTTCAAGGAGAACTACAAACCACTGCTCAAGGAAATAAAAGAGGATACAAACAAATGGAAGAACATTCCATGCTCATGGGTAGGAAGAATCAATATCATGAAAATGGCCATACTGCCCAAGGTAATTTACAGATTCAATGCCATCCCCATCAAGCTACCAATGACTTTCTTCACAGAATTGGAAAAAACTACTTTAAAGTTCATATGGAACCAAAAAAGAGCCCGCATCGCCAAGTCAATCCTGAGCCAAAAGAACAAAGCTGCAGGCATCACACTACCTGACTTCAAACTATACTACAAGGCTACAGTAACCAAAACAGCATGGTACTGGTACCAAAACAGAGATATAGATCAATGGAACAGAACAGAGCCCTCAGAAATAACGCCGCATATCTACAACTATCTGATCTTTGACAAACCTGAGAAAAACAAGCAATGGGGAAAGGATTCCCTATTTAATAAATGGTGCTGGGAAAACTGGCTAGCCATATGTAGAAAGCTGAAACTGGATCCCTTCCTTACACCTTATACAAAAATCAATTCAAGATGGATTAAAGACTTAAACGTTAGACCTAAAACCATAAAAACCCTAGAAGAAAACCTAGGCATTACCATTCAGGACATAGGCATGGGCAAGGACTTCATGTCTAAAACACCAAAAGCAATGGCAACAAAAGACAAAATTGACAAATGGGATCTAATTAAACTAAAGAGCTTCTGCACAGCAAAAGAAACTACCATCAGAGTGAACAGGCAACCTACAACATGGGAGAAAATTTTCACAACCTACTCATCTGACAAAGGGCTAATATCCAGAATCTACAATGAACTCAAACAAATTTACAAGAAAAAAACAAACAACCCCATCAAAAAGTGGGCGAAGGACATGAACAGACACTTCTCAAAAGAAGACATTTATGCAGCCAAAAAACACATGAAAAAATGCTCATCATCACTGGCCATCAGAGAAATGCAAATCAAAACCACAATGAGATACCATCTCACACCAGTTAGAATGGCAATCATAAAAAAGTCAGGAAACAACAGGTGCTGGAGAGGATGTGGAGAAATAGGAACACTTTTACACTGTTGGTGGGACTGTAAACTAGTTCAACCATTGTGGAAGTCAGTGTGGCGATTCCTCAGGGATCTAGAACTAGAAATACCATTTGACCCAGCCATCCCATTACTGGGTATATACCCAAAGGACTATAAATCATGCTGCTATAAAGACACATGCACACGTATGTTTATTGCGGCATTATTCACAATAGCAAAGACTTGGAACCAACCCAAATGTCCAACAATGATAGACTGGATTAAGAAAATGTGGCACATATACACCATGGAATACTATGCAGCCATAAAAAATGATGAGTTCATGTCCTTTGTAGGGACATGGATGAAATTGGAAATCATCATTCTCAGTAAACTATCGCAAGAACAAAAAACCAAACACCGCATATTCTCACTCATAGGTGGGAAATGAACAATGAGATCACATGGACACAGGAAGGGGAATATCACACTCTGGGGACTGTTGTGGGGTGGGGGGAGGGGGGAGGGATAGCATTGGGAGATATACCTAATGCTAGATGACGAGTTAGTGGGTGCAGCGCACCAGCATGGCACATGTATACATATGTAACTAACCTGCACAATGTGCACATGTACCCTAAAACTTAAAGTATAATAAAAAATAAAAATAAAAAATAAAAATAATAAAATAAATAAAACAGAAATAAAGAAGCTAGAATCAGAGGTTTCTGATCATATATACTGGTAGCCACTATATTTATAAAATATGAGAGTAAACAATTTTGGCATAGACTGTAAATGATATGAATTCTGACAAGATAACATAGGCAGACACCTCCTCATTTTTCATGGCAAGGAATGCGTTCATGTTGTCTAAAATTAAAATCTGTTTAGATACAACCAGTCTTCAATGTTTTTGTAAACTTCAGTGTATGTTCTAGGACACAGCAACAATCAGGGAGCTCCTTGCCTAAGTGAATGGCCATATTTTATTTCTTTTGAGATATATTTATGCTATAGTTTAGATATTAGACCTTCCAGACCTCATGTTGAAATATGATCCCCTGTGTTGGAAGTGGAGCTTAATGGGAGGTGTTTGGGTCATGGAGGTGGATCCCTCATGAATACATTAATGCCCTGGTGTAGTGACTTCTCACTTTATTAGTTCGCCCAAGAGATGGCTGTTGAAAAGAGCCTACCCATGATGGTTAATACTGAGTGTCAATTTGATTGGATTGAAGGATTCAAAGCATTAATCCTGGGTGTGTCTGTGAGGGTGTTGCCAAAGGAGATTCACATTTGAGTCAGTGGGCCGGGAAGGCAGACCCACCCTTAATCTGGTGGGTACCATCTAATGAGCTTCCAGCGAATATAAAGCAGGCAGAAAACCATGAAAAGGTGAGACTGGCCTAGACTCCCAGTCTATATCTTTCTCCCATGCTGGGTGCTTCCTGCCCTCGAACATCAGACTCCAAGTTCTCCAGTTTTGGGACTCAGACTGGCTCTCCTTGCTCCTTAGCTTGCAGATAGCCCATTGTGGGACTTTGTGATCATGTAAATTAATCTTAATAAACTTCCCTTTATATGTATATATAGTGTGTATATATACTCTAGAGAACCCTGATTAATACAGATTTTGGTACCAGGAATGGTTCTAGAGGAACAGAATATTAAGGATGGAGTTCTTTCATTGGTTTTTGGGTTTCTGGATTTGGCTGCTTAATATGATTAGGTGCAAAAATGCTAAGGTCTATACTTCTAATAGTATGTAAAACACTGCTAGTCCTTGGCATAAACTGTTTAGTAAGTTATGCAAAATAAATGCATTTGACACTCCTGATTCACCACCGCGTGTGAGAGGCAAGGAGTTAGTGACTCTGTACATAATACCTTTGACCATATGTGGGGAACCAAGAAACATAATGAAACTGGTTAGTTGCTCCTAAGTTCAGTGGACAAAGTGATGAAAGCAAATGATGAACTCAGGGATTCTGTCTCCTGGCTTCAGAGGCAGATACTGAGCCTCAAATCTGCTAAGGTTGCCCTGAATGAGAGTCTCATCTCTTTCAGTAAAGAGCTGAAATTGTGGAAAAACAGATGCAAGCTCTTATCATTTGAGTGGCTGACCTGCAATGAAAGATGCATGCACAGCCTCACCAGGTGTCTACTGTTAAAGTGAGTGCATTGACTGGAAAAAAATGAGATCCTCAAACTTGGAATGGGGACGTTTGGGAGGACCCTGATGAAGCTGGAGACACTTGAGTTCATAAATGCTGATGAACTTTTTTGGCCAGAAGAAACAGCTTCCCCATCCCCAGTAGTGGCAACATCCCCTCCCCGACCCATGCTGCCATCAGCCTTTCCACCTTTGTCTGAAGAGATAAACTCTGTGCTGCCTGAGACAACAGTGATGGCCTCCCCTGAGGCAGATGCCAGGCAAGATAATGTTGATTCTCCTCAGGAGCTACCCTCCAACACCTCTGTTTGCTTCTAGACCTGTAACTAGATTAAAGTCCTGGTGGGCACCTAGAGGTGAGGTTGAGAGTGTGACCCATGAGGAGGTGCACTACACTCAAAAAGATCTGCTTCAGTTCTCTAATTTATATAAACAGCAATCTGGAGAACAGGCATGGGAATGGATATTAAGGGCATAGGATAATGGGGAAGGAATATAGAGTTGGATCAGGCTGAATTTATTGATTTGGGCCCACTAAGTAGGAACTCTGCTTTTAATGTTGCAGCTTGGGGAATTAAAAAAGGTTCTAATAGTTTGTTTGATTGGTTTGCTGAAATATGGATTAAAAGATGGCTCATTGTGAGCGAGGTGGAAATGCCTGATCTCCCTTGGTTTAATGTAGAGGAAGGGATCCAAAGGCTTAGGGAGATTGGGATGGTGGAGTGGATTAGTCACTTTAGACCTACTCATCCCAGCTGGGAGGGTCCAGAAGATACACCCTTGACCAACGCCTTGCAAAATAGATTTGTGAGGGCAGCACCTGAATCTTTGAAGAGCCTTGCAATTGCTTTTCTCTGTATGTCAGATCTAATGGTGGGAGCCACAGTCACTCAACTACAAAACTTAAATATAATGGTAACAATTGGATCCCGAGGTGGCAGGGGCCAAGTGGTGGCACTCAGCTATCAAAAGCAAGGTGGGCATAGCTATCATAATGGACAGCAGAGGCAAAGCGGCAATCAGAATAGTCTGACTCGTGTAGAGCTCTGGCATTGGCTAATTAATCATGGTGTTCCTAGAAGTGAAATTGATAGAAAGCCTACTGCATTCCTACTTAATTTATACAAGCAGAAAACTTCTAGGTCGAATGGATAAAAGACTAATTTGAATTATAAAAATGTAGAATCATGGCCTCTTAATCAATTTCCAGACTTGAGCCAGTTTACAGATCCAGAACCACTTGAATGAAGGGGAAGCCAAGTTCCCATTAGGAAGGACCCTACTACATTACCAGCAATTTATGCAGTGAATCTTTCTCCCATCCTTCCCCAAGGAGACCTCTGGCCTTTTACCAGGATAACTGTGCGCTGGGGAAAGGGAAATGATCAGACATTTCAGGGACTACTGGACACTGGCTCTGAGCTGACATGGATTCCAGGGGACCCAAAACGTCATTGTGGTCCTCCAGTTAAAGTAGGGGCTTATGGGAGTCAGGTAATTAATGAAGTTTTAGCTCAGGTCTGACTTACAGTGGGTCCAGTGGGTCTCTGGACTCATCCTGTGGTCATTTCCCTAGTGCGAGAATGCATAATTGGCATAGACATACTTAGCAGCTGGCAGAACCTTCACATTGGCTCCCTGACTGGTAGGGTGACGGCTACTGTGGTGAGAAAGGCCAAATGAAAGCCATTAGAGCTGCCTCTACCTAGAAAAATAGTAAATCAAAAACAATATTGTGTCCCTGGAGGGATTGCAGAGATTAGTGCCACCACCAAGGACTTGAAAGACTCAGGGGTGGTGATTCCCACCACATTCCCATTCAACTCTCCCATTTGGCCTGTGCAGAAGACAGATGGATCTTGGAGAATGACAGTGGATTACCATAAGCTTAACCAAGTGATGATTCCAATTGCAGCTGCTGTACCAGATGTGGTTTCATTATTTGAGCAAATTAACACATCTCCTGGTACTTTGTGTGCAACCATTGACTTGGCAAATGCCTTTTTCTCCATTCCTGTCCATAAGGCCCACCAGAAACAATTTGCCTTCAGCTGTCAAGGCCAGCAATATACCTTTACTGTCCTACCTCAGGGGTATATGAATTATCTGGCTTTGTGTCATAATCTTATTCAGAGAGAACTTGATCGCTTTTTGCCTCCAAAAGATATCACACTGGTCCATTACATTGATGACATTATGCAGATTGGATCCAGTGAGCAAGAAGTAGCAAACACTGGACTTATTGGTGAAACATTTGCATGCCAGAGGATGGGAAGTGTATCTGCCTAAAATTCAGGGACCTTCTACCTCAGTAAAATTTCTAAGGGTCCAGTGGTATGGGGCCTGTAGAGATATTCCTCCTAAGGTGAAGGATAAGTTGCTGCATTTGGCCCCTCCTACAACCAAGAAAGAGGCACAATGCCTAGTGGGCCTATTTGGATTTTGGAGGCAACACATTCCTCATTTGGGTGTGTTACTCCAGCCCATTTATTGAGTGACCTGAAAAGCTGTCAGTTTTGAGTGGAGTCCAGAACAAGAGAAGGCTCTGCAGCAGGTCCAGGCTGCTGTGCAAGCTGCTCTGCCACTTGGGCCATATGGCCCAGCATATCCAATGGTGCTTGAGGTGTCAGTGGCAGATAGGCATGCTGTTTGGAGCCTTTGGCAGGCTCCCATAGGTGAATCACAGTGGAGGCCTCTAGGATTTTGGAGCGAGGCCCTGCCATCTTCTGCAGATAACTACTCTCCTTTTGAGAGACAGCTCTTAGCCTGTTACTGGGCTTTGGTGGAAACTGAACGTTTGACTGTAGGTCACCAAGTCACCACGCGACCTGAACTGCCTATCATAAACTGGGTGCTTTCTGACCCATCTAGCCATTAAGTGGGTTGTGCACAGCAGCATTCCGTCATCAAATGGAAGTGGCACTAGGGAAATGACCACAGGATGGAAGTGGTATATATGTGATCAGGTTCCAGCAGGTCCTGAAGGCACAAGTAAGTTACATGAGGAAGTGGTTCAAATGCCCATGGTCTCCACTCCTGCCACCCTTCCTTCTCTCCCCGAGCCTGCCCCAACGGCCTCATGGGAAGTTCCCTATAATTAGTTGGGCCTGGTTCGTGGATGGTTCCGCATGATATGCAGGCACCACCCAAAAGTGGAGAGCTGCAGCACTACAGCCCCTTTCTAGGACATCCCTGAAGGACAGTAGGGAAGGAAAATCTTCCCAGTGGGCAGAACTAAGAGCAGTGAACCTGGTTGTGCACTTTGCATGGAAGGAGAAATGGCCAGATGTGTGATTATATACTGATTCATGGGCTGTAGTTAATGGTTTGGTTGGATGGTCAGGGACTTGAAAGAAGAATGATCGGAAATTGTGACAAAGAAATGTGGGGAAGAGGTATGTGGATGGACCTCTCTGAGTGGTCAAAAACTGTGAAGATATTTGTATCCCATGTGAGTGCTCACCAATGGGTGACCTCAGCAGAGGAGGATTTTAATAATCAAGTGGATAGGATGACCACTTCTGTGGACACCATTCAGCCTCTTTCCCAAGCACCTCTGTCATTGCCCAATGGACCCGTGAACAAAGTGGCCATGGTGGCAGGGATGGAGGTTATGAATGGGCTCAGCAATATGAGCTTCCACTCACCAAGGCTGATCTGGCTATGGCCACTGCTGAGTGCCCAATTTGCCAGCAGCAGAGACCAACACTGATTCCTCGATATGGCACCATTTCTCAGGGTGGTCAGCCAGCTACCTGGTGGCAGGTTGATTATATTGAACCTCTTCCATCATGGAAAGGGCAGAGATTTGTCCTCACTGGAATAGATACTTATTCTGGATATCGGTTTGCCTATCCTGCACACGATACTTCTACCAAGACTACCATCTGTGGACTCATGGAATGCCTTATCCACCATCATGGTGTTCCACACAGTATTGCCTCTGACCAAGGTACTCACTTTACGGCCATAGAAGTGCAGCAGTGGGCTCATGTTCGTGGAATTCACTGGTCTTACCACGTTGCCCATCATCCTGAAGCAGCTGGATTGATAGAACGGTGGAATGGCCTTTCAAAGTCACAATTGCTGTGGGTGGCAAGCCACCCAGGTGCCAAGGCAAGAGACCGAGGACACGAGCTGTTCCAGTATAATAAAATATAAAATAAGAATAGTTATACCAGAGATAGATCTTAGATATGATTATATATGAATATCATTAATCATTAGTAGCAATTACTCTTTATTCCAATATTATAATAATCCTCACTCTATAATCATAAACTAGGAAAAACCAGGCCATACAGAGATAGGAGCTGAAGGGACATAGTGAGAAGTGACCAGAAGACAAGAGTGTGAGCCTTCTGTTATGCCCAGACAGGGCCACCAGAGGGCTCCTTGGTCTAGCGGTAACGCCAGCATCTGGGAAGATGCCCATTGCCAAGCAGACCGTGGTCTAGCAGTAGCGTTAGTGTCAAGGAAAAACACCCGCTACTTAGCAGACCGGGAAAGAGAGTCTCCCTTTCCCCAGGGGAGTTTAGAGAAGACTCTACTCCTCCACCTCTTGTGGAAGGCCTGACATTAGTCAGGCCCACCCACAGTTATTCGGAGGCCTAACCGTCTCCCTGTGATGCTGTGCTTCAGTGGTCACACTCCTAGTCTGCCTTCATGTTCCATCTTGTACACCTGGTTCTGCCGTTTAGTTAGCAGTAGCAAATTAGTGAAAGTACTAAAAGTCTCTGATAAGCAGAAATAATGGTGTAAGCTGTTTCTCTTTCTCCTCTCTCTCTCTGCCTCGGCTGCCAGGCAGGAAAGGGCCCCCTGTCCAGGGGACATGTGATCCATGTGGCCTTCCCTATCATTGGAGATGGCCCACACTCCTTATCCTGCCCCTTTGTCTTGTATCCAATAAATATCAGTGCAGCCTGGCATTCGGGGCCACTACCAGTCTCCGCATCTTGGTGGTAGTGGTCCCCCGGGCCCAGCTGTCTTTTCTTTTATCTCTTTGTCTTGTGTTTTTATTTCTACGCTCTCTCGTCTCCACACAGAAGGAGAAAATGCACCAACCCTGTGGGGCTGGACCCTACAATTACCATGTCAATTAGATGACAATACTTTGCAGGGCTGGGGCAAAGTACTCTAGAAGGCTGTGTATGCACTGGATCAGCATCTGATATATGGTACTGTTTCTCCCATAGCCAGGATTCACGGGTCCAGGAATCAAGGGGTGGAAGTGGAAGTGGCACCACTCACCATCACCCCTAATGATCCAGTAGCAAAATTTTTGCTTCCTGTTCCTGCAACATTACGTTCTGCTAGCCTAGAGATCTTAGTTCCAGAGGGAGTAACACTGCCACCAGGAGACACAACAACAATTCCATTAAACTGAAAGTTAAGATTGTCACCTGGACACTTCGGGCTCCTCCTACCTTTAAGTAAACAGGCTAAGAAGGGAGTTACAGTGTTGGCTAGGTTGATTGACCCAGACTATCAAGATGAAATCAGTCTACTACTCCATAACAGAGGTAAGGAGGAGCATGCATGGAATACAGGAGATCCATTAGGATGTCACTTAGTATTACCATGCCCTGTGATTAAGGTCAATGAGAAACTACAACAGCCCAATCCAGGGAGGACTACAAATGGTCCAGACCCTTCAGGAATGAAGGTTTAAGTCACTCCACCAGGAAAAAAACCTTGATCTGATGAGGTGCTTGCAGAAGGCAAAGGGAATACACAGTGGGTGATAGAAGAAGGTAGTCATCAATACCAGCTACGACCACATGACCAGCTGCAGAAATAAGGACTGTAAAAAGTATTAACCCTAGGTGAGTCTGTGTGGGTGTTGCCAAAGGAGATTTGAGTCAGTGGGCTGGGGAAGGCAGACCCACCCTTAATCAGGTGGACACCATCTAATGAGCTTCCAGCAAATATAAAGCAGGCAGAAAAACATGAAAAGGCAAGACTGGCTTAGCCTTCCAGCCTACATTTTTCTCCCATGCTGGATGCTTCCTGCCCTCAAACATCAGACTCCAAGTTCTTCAGTTTTGGGACTTGGACTGGCTCTCCTTGGTCCTCAGCTTGCAGACAGCCTATTGTGGGGACCTCGTGATCATGTTAGTTAATATTTAATAAACTCCCATTTACATATATACATATATATATACATATATAATATTTATCCTATTAGTTCTGTCCCTCTAGAGAACCCTGACTAATACAGATTTTGGTACCAGGAGTGGGCTGTTGTGTTGCTGAAAAGATACCCAAAAATGTGGAATTGACTTTGGAATTGGGTAACAGGCAGAGGTTGGAACAATTTGGAGGGCTCAGAAGAAGATAAGAAAATGTGGGAAAGTTTGGAACTTCCTAGAGACTTTGCCCAAAATGCTGATAGCAATATGGACAATAAAGTCCAGGCTGAGGTGATCTCAAATGGAAATTAGGAACTTGTTGGGAAGTGGAGCAAAGGTGACTCTTGTTATGTTTAACAAAGGGACTGGCAGCATTTTTCCCCTGCCCTACAGACCTGTGGAACTTTGAACCAGAGAGAGATGATTTAGGGTATCAGGTGGAAGAAATTTCTAAGCAGCAAACATTCAAGAGGTGATTCAGGTGCTGTTAAAGGCATCCCATTTTATAAGGAAAGCACAGCATAGAAGTTTGGAAAATTTGCAGCCTGACAATGCAATAGAAAAAGAAAATCCCATTTTCTGGGGAGAAATTTAAGCCAGCTGCAGAAATTTGCATAAGTAACGAGGAGCAGAATGTTAACTCACAAGACAATGGGGAAAAGACATGCCTCTCCAGGGCATGTCAGAGGTCTTCACAGCAGCCCTTCTCATCACAGGCCTGGAGGTGTACAAGATAAAAATGGCTTCCTGGGCTAGGCCCAGGGTCCCCATGCTGTGTACAGCCAAGGGACTTGGTGTCCTGTGTCCCAGCTGCCCCTAGCCATGACTAAAAGGGACCAAGGTAAAGCTCCAGCCATGGCTTCAGAGGGTGCAAGCCCTAAGCCTTAGCACCTTCCACATGGTGTTGAGCCTGTGGGTACACAGAAGTCAAGAATTGAGGTTTGGGCACCTCCGCCTAGATTTCAGAAGATGTATGGAAATGCCTGGATGCCCAGGCAAAAGTTTGTTGCAAGCGCAAGGCCTTCATAGAGAACCTCTGCCACAGCAGTGCAGAAGGGAAATGTGGGGTCAGAGCCCCCAAACAGAATCCCTAATGGGGTAACCACCTATTGGAGCTGTGAGAAGAGGGCCACCATCCTCCAGACCCCAGGATGATAGATCCACTGATAGCTTGCACTGTGTGCCTGGAAAAGCCACAGACACTCAACACCAGCCCATAAAAACAGCCGGGAGGGAGGCTGTATCCTGCAAAGCCAA
This sequence comes from Homo sapiens, assembly GCF_000001405.40. NCBI lineage: Eukaryota > Metazoa > Chordata > Mammalia > Primates > Hominidae > Homo > Homo sapiens. The sequence continues at coordinate 133,494,577 of NC_000010.11, read as the reverse complement.
GGGGCGGAGCTGCCCAAGACCATGGGAACCCACTTCTTGCATCAGTGTGACCTGGATGCGAGATGTGGAGTCAAAGGAAATAATTTTGGAACTTTAAGATTTAACTGCCCTGATGGATTTTGGACTTGCATGGGGCCTGTAGCCCCTTTGTTTTGGCCAATTCCTCCCATTTGGAATGGCTGTTTTTGCCCAATGCCTGTACCCACATTGTATCTAGGAAGTAACTAACTTGCTTTTGATTTTACAGGGTTGTAAGCAGAAGGGAGTTTTCTTGTCTCAGATGAGACATTGGACTGTGGACTTTTGAGTTAATGCTGAAATGAGTTAAGGCTTTGGGGGACTGTTGGGAAGGCATGATTGATTATGAAATGTGAGAACATGAGATTTGGGAGGGGCCAGGAGTGGAATGATATGGTTTGCCTGTGCCCCCACCCAAATCTCAACTTGAATTATATCTCCCAGAATTCCCATGTTTTGTGGGAGGGACCCAGTGGGAGGTAATTGAATCATAGGGGCTGGTCTTTCCTGTGCTATTCTCATGGTAGTGAAAAAGTCTCACAAGATCTGATGGGTTTATCACGGGTTTCTGCTTTTGCTCCCTCCTCATTCTCTCTTGCCACTGCCATGTAAGAAGTGCCTTTCGCCCTCCACCATGATTCTGAGACCTTCCCCAGCCACGTGGAACTGTAAGTCCAGTTAAACCTCTTTCTTTTGTAAATTGCCTAGTCTCAGGTATGTCTTTATCAGCAGCATGAAAATGGACTAATACACTTCCCCTCTTTGTCTTGCTCACTCACTCACTCACTTCCCCTCTTGCCTTGCCATGTGATCCCTGCACGCCAGCTCCACTTCACCCTCCACCATGCATGAAAACAGCCTGTGCCATCATCGGATGCAAATGCTGGCACCATGATTCCTGTACAGCCTGCAGAACCATGAGCCAAATAAACCTCTTTTCTTTACAAATTACCCAGCCCCAGCTATTCCTTTATAGCAACACTAAATGGACTAAGACAATTGAGATAGAAACTTTAAGCACCAGCCAGCAGATAGGGGTTTTAAGAGTTTTGTTTCCCATTGAACCTACCAAATGCCCTGAAAACAATGTCAAGTATTGCCTCATTACATCTGCCTCTGCTGCAAGTTGTGATGTCATAATAGAATCATCCAGAAATCCTTTCATTGTTTTTCTTATGGAAGACTTGTGGACCCAAGGTGGCATTTAATCATAACTCTCTTGTCTAACTTGGAAACAAGAATTTACTCTCCTTCTCTTTTTTGTTCTTTCTTTCTAAAAAAAAAAAAAAGTGGGGGGCAGTAAGCATGATGTCTGAAGAAATAAATACGCCCTGGAGATTTGGAGGTATTATGTATTACCTCCCACATTCTAGATGCCCACTCTTTCCCTGGGAAGAAACACAGAGACCCTGATAAGCCCCTGATTTAAGAATAACAGACTAATCTCCAAGAAGGAAAAACTGAAATGAGGTTTGTCAGGGCGTTTTGTGCCCTCACAGGGTGAGGATATGTAGTAATGTAGTTTCTTGGAAACTAATCTTTATGAGAAATATTTTCCTGAACTTCTTTAGCTTCATCAGTTTCCTTTCTTTTTATTAGTAAATATAGCTAAAACTTGCTTTTAAAACATATATGATATTCTCATAAAATTTTATCTTTCAACCTAATCTAAGCAGTTCTCTAGCTATACAAATTTAACTTTCTTTCTGTATATGCAGAGAGACATGGAATCATGATTGGAGCGATGTCCACCAGATGTCAAAATAGAGTTCTGGATTCTTGTTTTGTATCAACTTTAATGAGATATAATTTCCATATAATAAAATGTACATATTTGTGTATAATTTGATAAGTTCTCAAAAGCTTATACACCCATGTAAACACCTCCACATCATGATACAGAACGTTTCAATTACCCTAACAAGCTCTTCTCTGCCCTTTTGATACAAATCCTTCATCTCAGCCCCAAGCAATCACTATTCTCTCACTTTACATTAGTTCTCTTATTGTGCAGTTTTATATAAATGGAATTATACAATATGAACTTATTTTGTATCTATCTTCTTTTGCTAATCTAAACACTTTTCAGATTCATCCATGTTGGTGCATGGATGAATGCATGCTAAGTCCTATTCCATTATATAGATGTATCACATTCATATAATTATACTCCATTATATAGATTGCTAAATCCTATTCCATTATATAGATATATCACAATTGTTTTGTCCATCATCTATTGATGGATATTTGTCTTAATTTTAGCTTTAGATTAATTTGGATAAAGTTGGGGTAAGCATAAATACATAGGCCTTTGTGTTGATATATGTTTTTCAAGCTCTTATATAAATCCCTAGGAGTATACGTTCAACTTTCTAAAAAAAGCCATTTTTTCCCCAAAGTAGTTTTGCCATTTTACATTTCCACCAGAAATTTACGGTTGTTGCAGTTGTTCTACATTGTTTCCAACACTTGAAATTGTCAGTTTCTTTAATGTTAGTGGGTCTCTAATGGTATCCCATTTTGCTTATAATTTCTAGTTCCTTGATGACTAATGACGTTGAACATCTTTTCACATGCTGATTGGCTATGCATATAAGTTCTTTTATGTAGGGTCTGTTTGTATCAGTTAACCATTTTAAAAAACAATTAGGTTGATTGTCTCCCTATTATTGAATTTTTAGAATTATTTATATAATATGGAAATACAACTTTTGTCTAATATATATGTTATGAATATTTTCTCCAGGTTTGTGGTTTGCCTTTTCATTTTCTTATCTATGTCTTTCAAAAAGCAGAGGTTTCTAATTTTTATAAAGCCTACTTTGTAAATTATTTTCTTTGGTGGTTTGTGCTTTTTGTGTGTGTACTACCTACAAAATTTTTGTATACCCAAAAGTTGCATATTTTTTCTAGTAGCTTTTAGTTTAGCTTTACTGTTTTGGTATATGATCTGTTTAATGTTCATATATGGTTTGAGGGAGGGATTATGGTTCATTCTTTTCTATATACATAACCAGTTATTTCTTTTCTATATATAAGTAACCAGTTGTTTCAACACCATTTTTGAAAAGATTATCTTTTGGCTGGGCATGGAGGCTCATGCCTGTAAACCCAGCACTTTGGGAGGCCGAGGTGGGCAGATCACGTGAGGTCAGGAGTTCAAGACCAGCATGGCCAACATGTGAAACCCTGTCTCTACTAAAAATACAAAAATTAGCTGGGCATGGTGATACATACCTGTAATCCTAGCTACTCTGGAGGCTGAGGCATAAGAATTGCTTGAACCTGGGAGACAGAGGTTGCCGTGAGCCGAGATCACACCACTGTACTTCAGCCTAGGTGACAGAGCAAGACTCCATTAAAAAAAAAAAAAAAGACTATCTTTTCCCTGATTAGATTAAACTGTATTGATCCTTCGTTAAAGATCAATTGACCATTTAGGTATAGGTTTATTCATTTCTGAATATTTATCCTTACATATTTATCCTTATATCAATAGCAGACTGTCTTTAAATAATAGCTTTAAAGTAAATGTTCAAATCAAGTCATTTTATTTCCCTAATTATGTTCTTTCTTGTTCTTCAAAATTGTGTAAAATACTATATGACATTTGAATAACCATATAAAATTTAAAATCAAATGTCAATTTCTAGGTACTAGTTCAATTTTGGAAGAACTGAAATATTATCAATATTGACTCTGCAATCATAGCGTGTATCTCCACTTATTTTTATCTCCCTTGAGTTTTAGCAACAATGCTGTGATCATAGTACTTAAGTCTTAAACACATTTTGCTAAATTTATCCTTATTTCATGCCTTTGATGCAATTGCAAATGGTGTTTATTTGATTGCAATTTCCAATCCTTGTTATTAGTACATAAAACACTATTTATTTTTGTATGTTTTACTTTATATGACCTTGATAAACTCACTTATTAATTCAAGTAGCACTTTTAACATACATGTGATTATGTTACATTACATGGCATAGTTAACCTTAAGACAGTGAGATTTTCCTGGTAAGCCTGACCTAAGCACACAAGCTCTTCAAAAAAGAGAGGTTTTTTTTCTAGTTTCAAAAGGCAATGTAGAATAGAAGCAAACTGGTTTCACTCTCTCCCACAGAAAACCAAAAACAAAGATTATCACCAGAAATATCCCAGAACTCAAATAAAAAGATGAGACCACTTCCAGGCCCACAGAGAAGTGAAAACACTCTGAGTAGTTGGTAAGAGAACTAGACACCCACATTTGCAATGCCCCCTCCCCCATTCTGCCTGGCACCACATGTGTTGAAAAATTTCCCCAACTCATTGTTTCTACACTGAGAAAAGCAAAATGGAGGAGACAAACAGCTTCCCCACCATTTTGGGTTCCCTGGCAGGAGAACCGTCCCTACCTTAGCCCATGGGAAGCATCAAGAAGTATCCCTGAAGACAGGCAGAGACAAAGTGGGGAGGTGGGACTACCACCTCCAGCCCTGGAAACTCTGCTCTGAAACTCAGCCACAGAAGATGCAAATTACAGTGGATGTTCAGCAGCACCATGCTGTAGGAGTTTCATCCCACAGGTCCCCTGGGTACAAACCCCTAGCCAGCCTTCCCACACTACTGGGATATCCCTTTGGGACTTCCCCACCTCTAACTCGAGAAGAGCAGTGCTCTAACCATTTACTAGAGCCAAGGGGAGCTTGTTTTTAAGGTACCACCTAGAGCCATAAAGGAGGCCTGCCTATGTGACCTAGCATTAGAGAGCCTCTAAGCTTGGGAATAAGATAGCTGACTAGAGATGCCTGGTATTCATCTCCTCCCCACCCGCCACCCCAGACAAGAAGGAACCAAAGCAAAAAATAAACAGCTCAGTGTTGACTGGAGTGTTGAAGGAAGAGTGCTGGTATGCAAAAGAGGAGTGGAAATGCACCTGTGGTGATTAGAAGTCCAGGAGGGCAGTGTGGAAGCACTTGGCCTCTGAAACCCCTTGTCCCTCATCAAGATCAGAACTGCCTAATGTCAGGAGTCACTTATTGCAGATAAACAAAAGATCCCCACCATCCCTGATTGCCACTGCAAACACCTAAAGTCCTTACAACAGGAGAATCCCACCGTCACCCAGTTTGGAGAGCTGCAGGGCATTCACACAGCTTCATTGCCCTAGATTAGGAGCACAATATGTGCACTCCCCATCCCCCAACTATCCCCTGTAAGCCAGTCTGCTGCAGCAGGGCACCATCTTGAGACCAGAGTCATGTCTGGAGTGCACCCTATTCTGGAGGCCAGTATCCACTGCACCTTTCCAGCACTGGAGCTCTGTCTTTGTTCCACCAAGCCCACACTGGTGGCCGAGCACCACAATGCTGGCAGCATGAAGCCTGGGCCCAGGATTGGCTGTGACCCTGGAGAGCAGAAAAACCAACTCCTACCACCCTCACTTCCAGACAGAGGAAAAGTCTGGCAGTCCCACCCAGGGCAAAACTGCCCTTGAGCCAGCCACACTGCTGCATGCCCTCCTCCAAGTCGGAGAGGCCCTCAAGCCTCTGAGTAGCTGACACACTTCCAGGCCAGTGGAGTGGCTATGTGCCTATATTCAGGGTCTGAGTAACAGTTTTGAGGTGCCCTATTCCCTGCAGACAAGGCCCTGACTTGTCCAATGGCCCTGTGTCCACAATCAGTGGCTGAGAAACTGCTCTAGGGGCTGCCATTTGCAAAACACCCCCAGAATAACCAAGCAGTTGTGTGCCCTGGGACTGAAAAGCAGCTCAGCTGGCCAACCCTGGTGGGCAAATCCCCAGTCCAGCTGAGCAGATGTACACCCACATCCCAGGTCCAAGAAACAGCCTGGTGGCCCACCCCCAGCAGACACACACTCAGGCCAGCTGAGCAGTCATGCAGCTGTGTCCTGGGTCTGAGAAATAGTCCCATGGGCTGCCTGCAGCAGACACACCCCCAGGCCAGTCAAGCAGCCCTGTGCCTGCATACCAGGCCTGAGAAACAGCCCTGTCAGCCACCCATGGTGAGCATGCCCATAAGCTGGCCAAATATCTATGCTCATGCTCCTGGCCAGAGTAACAGCCCAGTGGCCCCAACCCCAGGGAGCCAGACCTCAAGTTGACCAGCCCATTGTGCATATGCACACACATCCCAACCTGAGAAACAGCCTGGTAAGCCTGACCTAAGTACACAAGCTCTTTAAAAAGGAGAGGGAAAGCTGCACCGCCAGTGCCACAGACTCTCTCAGACTAGGCCACTGAGAAACTTGAAACACCACTAATGTAGATTACAGCTGAAAAGACTACACAGAGACTACATTACTGCATCCATCTAGAGCCCAGGGCAATGCACCCCACTGAACTGATGCCCTGAGGCCCATTCACATGAATGAGTCTTTTGCTTCAAAACTTACTCCATACAAGCAAAAGAGGTGATTTTTTTTCCCACCAGATGTATAGAAATCAACATAGAGACACCTCAACACATTAACCTTGAAAACGCAAAGAAACATGTCACCTCCAAAGAAAAATAATAATTCTCCTATGACAGATCTCAATCATAAGGAAATATATAAAATGCCAGAAAAAGAATTCAAAATAATAATCTTAAGGAAACTCAGTGAGTTACAAGAGAATACAGATACAACATTCAATGAAATTAGAAAATAATTTATGATTTGAATAAGAAATTTAACTAAATGGTAGATATCATTAAAAAGAGCCAAATGGAAATCCTCAGCTGATGAATTCAATGAATGAAATTAAAATATACAATCAAGCACTTCAACAACAGATTAAACAAAGGAGAAGAAAGAACTTCTGTACTTGAAGATAGGTCTTTTGAAATAATACAGGCAGACAAAAAATAATTTAAAGGAATAAAGAAAGCCTGCAGGATTTATGGGACACCATTAAGCAAACAAATATTCTGGGCATTCCAGGAGGAGAAAAGAAGGGAAATGGAAAACACATTTAATGAAATAACAGCAGAAAAATCCCAAATCTTGGGAGAGGGATGAATGTCCAAGCCCAGGAAGCTCCAAGAACCCCAAATAGATTCAACCCAAACAGGTCCTCTCCAAGGCACATTATAGTCAAACTGTCAAAAGTCAAACATAAAGAATTTTTAAAGTAGCAGGAGAAAAGCATCAATTCAGATATAAGGGAATCCCAGTTTGATTAACAGCAGATTTCTCAGCAGAAACCTTACAGGTCAGAAGAGAATGAGATGATATATTCAAAGTACTGAAATAAATTTTTAAAAACCTGTCAACCAAGAATATTATATCCAGCAAATCTATCCTTCAAGAATGGAGGAGAAACAATTTTTCTTGAGAAGGAAAAATTGAGGGAATTCATCACCACTAAAGCAGTCTTACAGGAAATGCTCAAGGGAGCCTTACATTTGGAAGTGAAAAGACAATAACCCATCATGAAAACATGCAAAACTATAAAACTAACTGATATAACAAAGGGGAAAGATAAAGGAATCAAGCCTTATCACTACAGAAAACCACCCAACTGCAAAAATAAATAATAACAGATGAAGCAAGGACCAAAGAATATACAAAGCAACCAGAAAGCAATCAATAAAATAACAGGAGTAAGTTGCCACCTATCAGTAATAACTTTGAATGTAAATAGATTAAATTGCCCATTTAAAAGCTAGAGACTGGCTGAAGGACAAAAAAAAAAAAAGGCCCAACTATATGCGCTGCCTTACCTATAAAGACACACAAAGACTGAAAGTGAAGAAAGGAATGGAAAAAGATATTTCATGCAAATGAAAACCAAAAGTGCCAGAGACGGTGGCTCACATCCATATATCCAGCACTCTGGGAGGCCGAGGCAGGCAGATCACGAGGTTAGGAGTTCCAGACCAGCCTGGCCAATATGGTGAAACCCCATCTCTACTGAAAATACAAAAATAAAAATTAGCTGGGCATGGTGGCACACACCTGTAATCCCAGCTACTCAGGAGGCTGAGGCAGAAGAATCAGTTGAACCTGGGAGGAAGAGGTTGCAGTGAACCGAGAGAGTGCCTCTGCACTCCAGCCTGGGCAACAGAATGAGGCTCCGTCAAAACAAAAAACAAACAAACAACAAAAAAAACAAGCAGGAGTACCTGTATTTATATCAGAAAGTACAGATTTCAAGCTAAAAACTGTAAAAAGAGACAAAGAAGGACATTATATAATAATAAAGGGATCAGCTCATCAAGAGAACATAACAATTTTAAATATATATGCACCCAACACTAGAGCACCCAGATATATAGAGCAAATATCATTGGATCTAAAGGGAGAGGTAGACCCCACTACAATAATAGTTGGGGACTTCAGCACCCCACTCTCTGCACTGGACAGATCATCTAGACAGAAAATCAACAAAGAAACATTGGCTCTAAATTGCACCATAGAACAAATGGGTCTAATAAACCTTTACAGAACAGTTCACCCAACAGCTACATAAAACACATTCTTTTCATCACTACATGGAGCATTCTCCAGGACTGGTCATATACTAGGATACAAAACAGGTCTCAACAAATGTTTTAAATCAAAATTATATCAAATATCTTATCTGATCACAATGGAATAAAACTAAAAATCAATAACAAGAAAAACATTCAAAACTATGAAAATACATGGAAATTAAGCAGCATAATCCTGAACAAACAATGGGTGAAGGAAGAAATTAAGAATGAAATTTTAATACTTCTTGAAACAAATGAAAATAGAAACACAACGGAAAAGCAGTATTAAGAGGCAAGTTTACAGCAATAAATGCCTACGTTAAAAAAAAAAACTAGAAAGAAAATAAATGACTTAATAATGCACCTCAAGGAACTAGGAAAGCAAGAACAAACCAAACCCAAAATTAGTAGAAGAAAAGAAATAGTAAAGATCAGAGCAGAAATAAAATTAAACAAAAACACAATACAAAATAACAAAAAATGAAAAGCTGGTTTTTTGAAAAGAAAAAGTTGATAAACCGTTACCTAGACTAACATTAAGAAAAGAGAAGTCTCAAATAAATAACAGCAGCAACGAAAAAGAAGAAATCACAATGGATATCACAGAACTATCAAGGATCATTAGAGACTGCTATGAACAACTGTAGAGACTGATAAATTTCTGGACATGTACAACTTACCAAGATTAAACCAAGAAGAAATAGAAAACCTGAACAGACCAAGACAAGTAACAAGATTGAATCAGTAATAAAAAGTCCTTCAACAAAGAAAAGTCCAGTACTGGATGGCTTCACTGCTGAATCCTATAGAATTTTTAAAGAATAATTAATACTGCTTCCTCTTAAACTATTCCAAAAAATTAAAGCAGAGGGAATTCTTCCTAACTCATTCTTCAAGACCAGAATAACTTTGATACCAAAACCAGACAAGGACATAACAACAGCAAAAAGAAAACTACAGGCCAATATCTCTTGTGTACATAGATGCAAAAATCCTCAACAAAATACTAGCAAACTGAATTAAACAACACATCAAAAAACAATAACCATGCTCAAGTGGGCTTTATCCCAGGAATGCAAGGATAGTTCAACCTACACAAATCAACAAACATCATACATACATCAGTAGAATGAAGGGAAAAAAACATGATCATCTCAATAGATGCAGAAAAATGTTTTGATAAAATTCAACATCTCCTTCATGATAAAAACTCTTAATAAATTAAATATATAATCAAAGTAACTCAACATAATAAATATATATGACAAACCCACAGTTAACAGCTTATTGAATGAAGAAAAGTCGGGGGGGCATCCTTGTTTCAGTGCTTAGAGGAAAAGAAAGTTCTAACTCTTAGTACTGATAAATTTAGTAAAGTTGCAGGATTCTAATATACAAAAATCAGTAGCATTTCTATACGTGACAATACAGTTTAGATATTTGTCCCCTCCAAATCTCATGTTGAAATTTGTTCCCCAATGTTGGAGGTGGGGCCTAATGGCAGGTATTTGGAGCATGGGAGCAGATCCCTAATGAATGTCTTGGTGCCATCTTCATGGTAATGAGCAAGAACTGATTATATTTTAAAAGCCTGGCACCTTTCTTCCATCTTTCTCTCTCCCTTCACCTCACCATGTGAGGCAGCTCCGTCTTGCCTTCTTCCATGAGTGGAAGCTTTGAGGCCCTCACCAGAAGCATATGCTAGTGCCATGCTTCTGTTACAGCCTGCAGAACTGTGAGCCAAATAAACCTAATTTCTTCATAAATTACCCAACCTCAGGTATTCCTTTATAGCAACACAAATGGATTAAGGCACATGAACAATGAACTAGCTGAAAAAGAAATCAAGAAAGCAATCCCATTTACAATAGATACAAAAAAACAGTGCCTAGGAACAAATTTAGCCAAGGAAGTAAAAGATCTCTACAGGGAAAACTACAAAATATTGATAACAAAATTGAAGAGGATACAAATAGAGAGATATCTCATGCTTATGGATAGGAGAATGACAATACTACCCAAGGCAATCTACAGATTCAGTGCTATCTCTACCAAAATACCAATGACATTCCTACAGAACTAGAAAAAAAATCATAAAATTTGTATGGAATCACAAAATATCCCGAATAGCCAAAGCAATCCTGAGCAAAAGGAACAAAGCTGAAGCTATCATCACATTAGCAGACCTCAAAATATACTACAAAGCTGCAGTAACCAAAACAGCAATGGCATGGTACTGGCATAAAAACAGACACATAGACCAATGGAACAGAATGGAGAACCCAGAAATTAATCCACATATCTACAGCCAACTGATTTTTGACAAAGGTGCCAAGAATATTCACTGAGGAAAGGACAGCTTCTTTAATAAATGGTACTGGGAAAACTAGATATTCACATGCAGAAGAATAAAACTAGACCCCTTTCTACTCTATACAAAAATCAACTCAAAATGAATCAAAGATCTAAATGTAAGACCCAAAACTATAAAACTGCTAGAAGAAAACATAGGGTAAATGCTTCAGAACATTGGTCTGAAAAAAAAGATTTTATGAATAAGACCTTGAAATCACAAGCAACAAAAGCAAAAATTAACAAATAGTGTTATATCAAACTAAAAGATTTTTACATGGTGAAGGAAACAATCAAAAGAGTGGTGAGACAACCTATAGAATGGGAGAAAATATCTGCAAACCAATCATCCAAGAAGTGATTAATATCCAGAATATAAAAGAAGCTGCAACATCTCAACAGAAAAAAAAAGATTTAAAAATGGGCAAATGATCTGAATAGACATTTCTCAAAAGAAGACATGCAAATAGACAACAGGTATGTAAAAAAAATGCTCAACATCAAGAATCATCAGGGAGACACAAATCAAAACCACAATGAGATGTCATCTCATCCCAGTTAGGACGGTTATTATCAAAAAGACAAAAAAATAACAAATGGCGGCAAGAGCGCAGATAAAAGGGAACTCTCGTGCACTGTTAGTGGATATGTAAATTAGTACAGCCATCATGGCAAACAGTATGGAGGTTTCTCAAAAACTAAAAATAGAACTACCATATGAACCAGCAATCCCACTGGGTATTTATCCAAAGGAAAAGAAATCAGTATATCAAAGGGATACCTGTACCCCCATGTTTATTGCAGCACTATTCACAATAGCCAAGATATGGAATCAACCTAAGTGTCCATCAATGAATGAAGGGATAAGGAAAATGTGGTATATATACACAATGGAATACTATTCAGCCATAAAAAAGAATGAAATCTTATCATGTGCAGCAACATGGATGGAACTGGAGGTCATTATGACAAGTGAAATAAGCTGGCCATAGAAAGACAAATATTGCATGTTCTCACTCACATGTGGGAGCTTAAAAAGTTGATCTCATGGAGGTAGAGGGTAAAATGATAGTTACCAGATGCTGGGAAGAGTGTGGGGGAAGGGGATGAACAGAGGTTGTTAAGGGGTACAAACATACAATTAGACAGAAGGATCTGATCATCACACACGGGTACCCGATTTGATCATCACACATGGGCACCTGATTTGATAATTACATTACTCAGCAAACGTACACCCTTATTTATGCATTTTGTTGTTTGAAAATATTACCTTAAAAGGAAAAATAACTATAAACAAATGTTTAATGATATGCACGCAGAAGTATTTAAGAAGTGAAATGATGTTTGCAACTGGCTTTGAAATGCATAAAATAGATGGATTGGTGATGGACACAAGGATAATCAATTAAACAAAGATAATAAGTTAATGACAGAATGTAGGTGATTGGTGCATAAATTAAAGAATGAGAATGCCCTTCTCTGAAAGGAAGTAAATCAGTAAAGCCCCATGTATTTCCTGCAGGTCATTAAAAAGAAAGGCTGGATAACCCCATCTCTCACCCTTTATGGTGCCAGGACCACGAAACCTCACACAGGGAGGAGAGCATTTCTCATGTTTTCCTTGACCTCACACCAAGAGGAGTTGGGTTGGAGAGTCGGGGTTTGGGTGATTTTCTCCAAAGCAGGATATCAAGAAATGCCCCCACCCCGTCAACATAGACCAGGCAGTGTGCACAGTGGGCATATGTGACTCTCGACCCATCCCCGGGCAAGAACCCCTGACTAAACGAAGACACGGCCAGCGGCACCCCCAAGGTGAATGCTCCCACATTGCTCCTGGGACCCAGTTGCCAGTGAAAGGGAGTCAAGCAGGTGCATGGGGTGTCGGAGGGTGTTAAGTGGCCCTTTTGGGCTCCTGCTCAACTAGCCGCTGGCCCTCCCTTAGCTCCCTGCTGCCTTGTAGCCCTGACTGCACCTACCCATACAGCCTTGGGATGTTGGGAGTTCCACATTGAATGATGGCAGCCCCGTGCGGGAGCACATTATTTATAAATATGTGGCATTAATTACTTTCTTGTTCCTTGCTGCTTGCATGAGATTCTCAAAGTCATATGTTGAAATTAGTTTGTTAACACCTGGAACATTTCACACTAGAAACTTCCCTTCCTTTTACCTGATGCAAGAAAACACTCTCCTCAGTGCTACTGATAAGTCCTTGTTCCGCAGGGAGTAGGTGAGGGGTTCAGGGTGGGGCTGACCACTGTGTACAGCACAGCCACCACTCTGCTGTTGTCCATGGATGTGCAGACGATGTCTAAAAGGGCCAGGTTGGTGAGAAAGAAGTACACTGGCGTGTGGAGGCCTGGATTCAGACTGATGGCCATGACCATGAGGATGTTTCCTACAAGTGCCATCAGGTAAAGGAGGAAAAAAGCAAAGCAGCAGCCCTGGAGTGGAAGGTCTTCAGAGAAACCCTGCAGGACAAACGCCTCTACGCTGTGTGGTTGTCTGCTGCCATTAGGAGCGCGAGGCCCTCAGGGGTCACTGGGCACAGCTAGTGCCACCAGCCCAGGAACAGGGTGGCCAGGCGACCTGTCCTCTTGCTCGCCGTCCTGCTGAGACTCTCTGGGACCTGTCCGCTTGCTCGCTGTCCTGCTGAGACTCTCTGGGACCTGTCCTCTTGCTCGCCATCCTGCTGAGACTCTCTGGGACCTGTCCGCTTGCTCGCTGTCCTGCTGAGACTCTCTGGGACCTGTCGGCTTGCTCGCTGTCCTGCTGAGACTCTCTGGGACCTGTCCCCTTGCTCGCTGTCCTGCTGAGACTCTCTGGGACCTGTCCCCTTGCTCGCTGTCCTGCTGAGACTCTCTGGGACCTGTCCGCTTGCTCGCTGTCCTGCTGAGACTCTCTGGGACCTGTCCGCTTGCTCGCTGTCCTGCTGAGACTCTCTGGGACCTGTCCGCTTGCTCGCTGTTCTGCTGAGACTCTCTGGGACCTGTCCCCTTGCTCGCTGTCCTGCTGAGACTCTCTGGGACCTGTCCCCTTGCTCGCTGTCCTGCTGAGACTCTCTGGGACCTGTCCCCTTGCTCGCTGTCCTGCTGAGACTCTCTGGGACCTGTCCCCTTGCTCGCTGTCCTGCTGACACTCTCTGGGACCTGTCCCCTTGCTCGCTGTCCTGCTGAGACGCTCTGGGACCTGTCCGCTTGCTCGCTGTCCTGCTGAGACTCTCTGGGACCTGTCCCCTTGCTCGCTGTCCTGCTGAGACTCTCTGGGACCTGTCCCCTTGCTCGCTGTCCTGCTGAGACTCTCTGGGACCTGTCCCCTTGCTCGCTGTCCTGCTGACACTCTCTGGGACCTGTCCCCTTGCTCGCTGTCCTGCTGAGACGCTCTGGGACCTGTCCGCTTGCTTGCTGTCCTGCTGAGACTCTCTGGGACCTGTCCGCTTGCTCGCTGTCCTGCTGAGACTCTCTGGGACCTGTCCGCTTGCTCGCTGTCCTGCTGACACTCTCTGGGACCTGTCCGCTTGCTCGCTGTCCTGCTGAGACTCTCTGGGACCTGTCCCCTTGCTCGCTGTCCTGCTGACACTCTCTGGGACCTGTCCGCTTGCTCGCTGTCCTGCTGACACTCTCTGGGACCTGTCCGCTTGCTCGCTGTCCTGCTGAGACTCTCTGGGACCTGTCCCCTTGCTCGCTGTCCTGCTGAGACTCTCTGGGACCTGTCCGCTTGCTCGCTGTCCTGCTGACACTCTCTGGGACCTGTCCCCTTGCTCGCTGTCTTGCTGAGACTCTGGGACCTGTCCGCTTGCTCGCTGTCCTGCTGAGACTCTCTGGGACCTGTCGGCTTGCTCGCTGTCCTGCTGAGACTCTCTGGGACCTGTCCCCTTGCTCGCTGTCCTGCTGAGACTCTCTGGGACCTGTCCCCTTGCTCGCTGTCCTGCTGAGACTCTCTGGGACCTGTCCGCTTGCTCGCTGTCCTGCTGAGACTCTCTGGGACCTGTCCCCTTGCTCGCTGTCTTGCTGAGACTCTGGGACCTGTCCGCTTGCTCGCTGTCCTGCTGACACTCTCTGGGACCTGTCCGCTTGCTCGCTGTCCTGCTGAGACTCTCTGGGACCTGTCCCCTTGCTCGCTGTCCTGCTGAGACTCTCTGGGACCTGTCCGCTTGCTCGCTGTCCTGCTGACACTCTCTGGGACCTGTCCCCTTGCTCGCTGTCTTGCTGAGACTCTGGGACCTGTCCGCTTGCTCGCTGTCCTGCTGAGACTCTCTGGGACCTGTCGGCTTGCTCGCTGTCCTGCTGAGACTCTCTGGGACCTGTCCGCTTGCTCGCTGTCCTGCTGAGACTCTCTGGGACCTGTCCGCTTGCTCGCTGTCCTGCTGAGACTCTCTGGGACCTGTCCCCTTGCTCGCTGTCTTGCTGAGACTCTGGGACCTGTCCGCTTGCTTGCTGTCCTGCTGAGACTCTCTGGGACCTGTCGGCTTGCTCGCTGTCCTGCTGAGACTCTCTGGGACCTGTCCGCTTGCTCGCTGTCCTGCTGAGACTCTCTGGGACCTGTCCCCTTGCTCGCTGTCCTGCTGAGACTCTCTGGGACCTGTCCCCTTGCTCGCTGTCCTGCTGAGACTCTCTGGGACCTGTCCCCTTGCTCGCTGTCCTGCTGAGACTCTCTGGGACCTGTCCGCTTGCTCGCTGTCCTGCTGAGACTCTCTGGGACCTGTCCGCTTGCTCGCTGTCCTGCTGAGACTCTCTGGGACCTGTCCGCTTGCTCGCTGTCCTGCTGAGACTCTCTGGGACCTGTCCGCTTGCTCGCTGTCCTGCTGAGACTCTCTGGGACCTGTCCGCTTGCTCGCTGTCCTGCTGAGACTCTCTGGGACCTGTCCGCTTGCTCGCTGTCCTGCTGAGACTCTCTGGGACCTGTCCCCTTGCTCGCTGTCCTGCTGAGACGCTCTGGGACCTGTCGGCTTGCTCGCTGTCCTGCTGAGACTCTCTGGGACCTGTCCCCTTGCTCGCTGTCCTGCTGAGACTCTCTGGGACCTGTCCCCTTGCTCGCTGTCCTGCTGAGACTCTCTGGGACCTGTCCCCTTGCTCGCTGTCCTGCTGACACTCTCTGGGACCTGTCCCCTTGCTCGCTGTCCTGCTGAGACGCTCTGGGACCTGTCCGCTTGCTCGCTGTCCTGCTGAGACTCTCTGGGACCTGTCCCCTTGCTCGCTGTCCTGCTGAGACTCTCTGGGACCTGTCCCCTTGCTCGCTGTCCTGCTGAGACTCTCTGGGACCTGTCCCCTTGCTCGCTGTCCTGCTGACACTCTCTGGGACCTGTCCCCTTGCTCGCTGTCCTGCTGAGACGCTCTGGGACCTGTCCGCTTGCTCGCTGTCCTGCTGAGACTCTCTGGGACCTGTCCGCTTGCTCGCTGTCCTGCTGAGACTCTCTGGGACCTGTCCGCTTGCTCGCTGTCCTGCTGACACTCTCTGGGACCTGTCCGCTTGCTCGCTGTCCTGCTGAGACTCTCTGGGACCTGTCCCCTTGCTCGCTGTCCTGCTGAGACTCTCTGGGACCTGTCCGCTTGCTCGCTGTCCTGCTGACACTCTCTGGGACCTGTCCGCTTGCTCGCTGTCCTGCTGAGACTCTCTGGGACCTGTCCCCTTGCTCGCTGTCTTGCTGAGACTCTGGGACCTGTCCGCTTGCTCGCTGTCCTGCTGAGACTCTCTGGGACCTGTCGGCTTGCTCGCTGTCCTGCTGAGACTCTCTGGGACCTGTCCGCTTGCTCGCTGTCCTGCTGAGACTCTCTGGGACCTGTCGGCTTGCTCGCTGTCCTGCTGAGACTCTCTGGGACCTGTCCCCTTGCTCGCTGTCCTGCTGAGACTCTCTGGGACCTGTCCCCTTGCTCGCTGTCCTGCTGAGACTCTCTGGGACCTGTCCGCTTGCTCGCTGTCCTGCTGAGACTCTCTGGGACCTGTCCCCTTGCTCGCTGTCTTGCTGAGACTCTGGGACCTGTCCGCTTGCTCGCTGTCCTGCTGACACTCTCTGGGACCTGTCCGCTTGCTCGCTGTCCTGCTGAGACTCTCTGGGACCTGTCCCCTTGCTCGCTGTCCTGCTGAGACTCTCTGGGACCTGTCCGCTTGCTCGCTGTCCTGCTGACACTCTCTGGGACCTGTCCGCTTGCTCGCTGTCCTGCTGAGACTCTCTGGGACCTGTCCCCTTGCTCGCTGTCTTGCTGAGACTCTGGGACCTGTCTGCTTGCTCGCTGTCCTGCTGAGACTCTCTGGGACCTGTCGGCTTGCTCGCTGTCCTGCTGAGACTCTCTGGAACCTGTCCGCTTGCTCGCTGTCCTGCTGAGACTCTCTGGGACCTGTCCCCTTGCTCGCTGTCCTGCTGAGACTCTCTGGGACCTGTCCGCTTGCTCGCTGTCCTGCTGAGACTCTCTGGGACCTGTCCCCTTGCTCGCTGTCTTGCTGAGACTCTGGGACCTGTCCGCTTGCTCGCTGTCCTGCTGAGACTCTCTGGGACCTGTCGGCTTGCTCGCTGTCCTGCTGAGACTCTCTGGGACCTGTCCGCTTGCTCGCTGTCCTGCTGAGATTCTCTGGGACCTGTCCGCTTGCTCGCTGTCCTGCTGAGACTCTCTGGGACCTGTCCGCTTGCTCGCTGTCCTGCTGAGACTCTCTGGGACCTGTCCGCTTGCTCGCTGTCCTGCTGAGACTCTCTGGGACCTGTCCCCTTGCTCGCTGTCCTGCTGAGTCGCTCTGCGACCTGTCCGCTTGCTCGCTGTCCTGCTGAGACTCTCTGGGACCTGTCCCCTTGTTCGCTGTCCTGCTGAGACTCTCTGGGAAAGTTTGCTGTTGGCAACTTTGCTGCAGAAAGCACATAATTAAGATGTTAACATGGGTCCCTGCGCCCAGGGAGAATCAGAGCATTAACCCTCCACTCTGCGAGGGAGTCAACAAGCCCAGCGTCACTCACCCCCGAGGACAGTGCTCCCTGCCGGCCTGCAGCGGGGCTGGCATCACAGTAAATAACAAAAATGCAGCAAGAGCCTCTCATTGCTTTGATTTTAAACATTTCCTCCATTATTCCAGCACACAGAAGCTCGTGGTGTGCAAGTGTGTTTGGCCCCCGAGGCAGGTGGAGACCACATCAGTGACCTGGGCACAAGATTCTGGGTCGCGGAGAAGGAAAACCACCCAGCAGGCATGGGCTTTATGGAGAGTTAGCGTCAGGACAGCACAGGTTTCACCTGCAGAGGCTGTGAGGGGCACTCTCCAAAGGGAGGCATGTGGGGACATCAGGGCAGTGAGTGGCTCCAACTACCACCAGGCCAGACTCCAGCTCTTTTGGCCAGGTGACCTCAGCTGTCAGATTTCAGCTGTAGGTTGACCTGGCCACAGCTCCTTAGTAGAAACCATGACTGCGGCCCTACCTCAGCCACCCCAGGCCGCTCCCTCAGGAGGGCAGACTCCATGCAGAAGCGGGCATGGACTGGCCATTCCTGTTCCTGGTCTGGGTGGGAGGTTTGTTCCATCAGGGGGTGTCAGGCTGTGTCCGAGACTGGATACATCAAAGAAAGGCACAGACCCAGCCTCGGTGCAGCCCCTAATCCAGTGCCTCCACTCAACCAACCTCACATACCTCTCCCACCACCCATCTCTGACCACCTAGCCTCCTCGGGCAGGACAGGCCCAGCCCAGGGCAAGGAGAGGCGGCTTAGTCAACATCAGAGGAAACAAGGCCAAACCCACTTCCTTCCCAGCCCAGGAGGCACCCAGCCCAGGTAGTCTTCAACCCAGGCAGCCTTCAGCTGCAGTCCTCAGCCCAGGCAGTCCTCAGCCCAGGCAGTCCTCAGCCCAGGCAGTCCCCCCAGCCCAGGCAGTCCCTCAGCCCAGGCAGTCCTCAGCCCAGGCAGTCCCCCCAGCCCAGGCAGCCCTCAGCCCAGGCAGTCCCCCCAGCCCAGGCAGTCCTCAGCCCAGGCAGCCCTCAGCCCAGGCAGTCCCCCCAGCCCAGGCAGTCCCTCAGCCCAGGCAGTCCTCAGCCCAGGCAGCCCTCAGCTCAGGCAGTCCCAAAGACCTCCTGGCTGCCCAGTCTGAGGCCCGAAATCCATCCTCCATCACAGGAGCCCCATTTGCCTGTGAAACCAAGGGCAGGTGGAGCCTTGCACCAGATTCACAGGAAGCTTCCAGGCCCCTCTTACAGATCCTGATCTGCCTTAAAGGCCAAACCACGGGGCTCCGGCTTCTTGCTCACCTGATCGAGGGCACAGATAGGGCACAGTGCAGGCCCACAGAGGTTCCCAGGCACTTAGAGTTTCAAACGGAAACCCTCAACACAACAGCAAAGCAATTTCAGCAACATTTTTTCCACATTAATGTAGGTCAGGGCAGGGTAGAATCAGATCTGACTTTTCAAAAACATTGAAAGGAAAATTAGGTGGGTCATCCATGTGGAAGGCAGGCATGGAGGGTTGCAGCCACTCACTGAGTGAGGAGTGTGGCTAGGCCAGCTCCTGTCTAAATGGGAGCCCACATGTCCATGGACATGATGGTGCCTCAAGGCTGACGCCCGTCTCTTCCCAGTCAGTGTCTCCTGTGTTTGATGCTGACCTTTGAGTGAAGTCTGTCCCCTCGGGGTGGATGCTGAGGTTGCTACAGAGGCCCACGTGTCCCCAGGAGCGGCTCTCAGGGAGCAATTACCCCACTCGGAGGTAGAAAGGGGTCCCCATGGGAACCGCCCCCAGGCTCGAGCAGAGACAGGCCAGGGCACCTGCAGGGCTTCTGGGTGATGGACCTGGGGAGATCAATTCCAGAGCTGGTGGCTTCTCCCCAGCACCTCTGCCCTGGGCACACAAGGGCCATGTGCAACCCTCCCTGCAGGAGGATGGAATTTTATTTAAATAGACTTAATCTTTTAGAATAGTTTTAAATTTGCCCCCACCCAGTTTCCCGTTACTGACATCTCCCATTAGCATGTGTTACATTAATGTGCCAGTATCGATCCTATACTGTCAACTGCAATCCATGGCTGATTCCCAGTTCCTCCGTGTTCCCCTAACGTCCTTCTGTCCACATCACAGTTAGGAGTTTCCTTAGGCTTCTCTTGACTGCAGCATTTTCTCAGACTTTCCTTGCTTTTGATGAACTTGGTAGTTTTGGAGAATATTGGCCAGGTATTTTGTATCTTCCAGGTATTCCCTTGACTGGGATTCGCCTGATTATTTTTTTACTCATGATGAAAGTTACGGGTTTTGGGGCGGAAAGACACAGAGGCACGTGACATTCTCATCACACCACACCGGGATGCACACTGTCAGCATGTCTGGCTGTTGATGTGAACTCGGGAAGGTAAATATTTTCATCACAATTCTTATGTGCCCATCCAGACGCTGAGGTGGCCTGCAGTGTCCAGGGAGACACTGTCCTGACTTCAAGGATGGAGCATCCAAAGGGTCTGAGGAGACTAAGAGTCTTCTGGCAGGCTGAAGCCCAGACCCCCACTCTGCACTCAGCAGGCCTGGCCACGTAGATGAGGCATTGTGAGCCCATGGGGGTTGACTCACTTCCTTGTTTGGGCCAAAGGCCCACAACTGATTGGTAAAGCAGTGTAGGTGGTCACAGCAAGTGCCCACAGGTAGAACTGAGATGATAATTGTGCTCAGGAGAAACCTAGCAATTTATCTTAGAGACCAAGTGCAGAAAATAAGACATGGAGAAAACAGTCATTGCAAAAGAACCAGAGACGTGGCCATGGCTGATTTAAAGTGCTTCTTAATTTCATCACAGGAAGACAACTGGCCCCTTTAATTTTCCAAACCTTCTAACATCCTTCAACTCAATCAATCGGCACATGTTTTTAATCTCTGGCCAATGATTATCTATTTTCCATGACAGTATATGTAATAGCATTTCAGCAACCCAAGATTTGAACACTTCCTCTAATTTATTCAAATGTGTTATAACCTTCAGCTATGCCGGATTTTCCTAATCAAACACACCACTTTTCTTTAAAAATAATGTTGATTTATAAAAACATTCAGTATCAAAGGTCACTGCAACACTGATTTAAGGTTATTTCATGGCCCACAATAAGTAACCATATTTGTAGCATTTAAACCTCAAAATCCAAGCTAAGTGGTAAGATGTGGGAGCACCTGCTACATACCTGGAATTGTCCTAGGGCTACGGGGATCCTCAAAGCCCAATGAGAGTCCCTCATCTTCCAACGTTTTGGGATCCTCAGGCAGCAGGGCCATCCCCAGCAAGACTCAGCAGGTCTGAGCCACCTGACCACCGTCAACCAGGCACTCCCTGGGGGACCCTGTGCTCAGCCTATGGGAAACAAGCTAAGCAAAGGAGCTTCTTCAACTCTGGGGTCGGTGAGACACCCACCAACAATTAGACACAGGATGTTCCCTTGGGAGGGGTCTCTGTATTCATCTGTTCTCACACTGCTATAAAAAAATACCTGAGACTCTGTAATTTTTAAGAAAAAAAGGTTTAATTGGCTCATGGTTCTGCAGGCTGTACAGGAAGGAGAGTGGTATCTGCTTCTGGGGAGGCCTCAGGAAGTTTCCAGTCATGGTGGAAGGTGAAGGGGGAGCAGGTGCCTCACATGGCAAAAGAGGAACAAGAAAGAGGGGGAGACACCACACTCAATGACCAAATCTCAGGAGGGAGATGCCACACTCAACTGAACACATCTCAGGACGGAGACGCCACACTCAACAACTTACATCCCAGGAGGGAGACGCCACACTTTCCACTGACCAGATCTCAGGAGGGAGACACCATACTCAATGACCAGATCTCAGGAGGGAGACGCCACACTCAACGACCAGATCTCAGGAGGGAGACGCCACACTCAACGACCAGATCTCAGGAGGGAGACGCCACACTTTCCACTGACCAGATCTCAGGAGGGAGACGCCACACTTTCAACTGACCAGATCTCAGGAGGGAGACGCCACACTTTCCACTGACCAGATCTCAGGAGGGAGACGCCACACTTTCAACTGACCAGATCTCAGAAGGGAGACGCCACACTCAACGACCAGATCTCAGGAGGGAGACGCCACACTCAACTGACCAGACCTCAGGAGGGAGACGCCACACTCAACTGACCAGATCTCAGGAGGGAGACGCCACACTCAACTGACCAGATCTCAGGAGGGAGACGCCACACTCAACTGACCAGACCTCAGGAGGGAGACGCCACACTCAACTGACCAGACCTCAGGAGGGAGACGCCACACTCAACTGACCAGATCTCAGGAGGGAGACGCCACACTCAATGACCAGATCTCAGGACGGAGACGCCACACTTTCAACTGACCAGATCTCAGGAGGGAGATGCCACACTCAACTGACCAGACCTCAGGAGGGAGACGCCACACTCAACGACTAGATCTCAGGAGGGAGACGCCGCACTCAACAACCAGATCTCAGGAGGGAGACACCACATTCATCACCGTCTAATAATTTTGCTAAAATTCTCATTTTTTCTACATACTATTCTTTTCAGTAAAGTTAATTCATTATGTGTATAATTACTAAGCTAATATCTTTAATTTTTTAAGACTTTACACAAATAAACTCATAAGTAAGGAGCCCTCCTTTGTCAGCTCACACAGGCTGGTGATGGTTTAGGCAGTCACTCACCATCATCCTATCCAATCTGCTGCTAACCCAGAAGTTCCAACTGTGCTGATTTTGCCCCCAGGAAACATTTGGTGACGTCTGGAGACATTTTTTTATTGTCACAACTGGAAGGGGGCTGCCACTGGTGCCTGGTGGGTGGAGGCCAGGGATGCTGCTCAGCACCTGTGATGCACAGGATGGCCCCACGCAGAGAACAACCCAGCCCCAAGGTCAGTAGCGCCAAGGCTGGGGGCTGCTCTGCTGGCACGTGGACTCTTAACACTGAATTGTCATAGCAAATGCATTCTCTCCCCAACTCTCCAGCCCCACACGGCTGGGGCAGACACACCTCCCTCTGCCATTTTCCTCTCCAGGACACCTCTTCCCACAGGCCTGGGTGCCTTTGATACTTCCTAAGAGCCAGAGCCTCCCAGTCTCCCAGACTTTGCTCCTGCCCCACAGCCTCTTGGGCAACATCTGAGCCGCCAGCCCACCAAGAGCAAAGATCAGCAATGGCCCAAAGTACAATGGGGGCCGCTGTCAGGGTGGGGTCCCCTGTGTGCCCAATGGGACACCTGGCTCAGCTCTGTGAGTCTTGTGGGGAGACAGCCCAGAGGGAGGAAGGTGCTTAGTGTGGCCTGGCCCCCAAGCCCACATCTGGACCTGGCTGAGGCCATCCTGCAGGACTTGATTGAACACTTTCTTCCTGTGTTCCTGCTGTGGGGAGGACCCCTCAGTACCAGGGCCACAGTTGGAAAGGACCACCCCAGGGGAGCTCATGAGAATGCTCAAAACTCAAACAACCCAATAAAGCATGAGCAAAAATGTTGAACAGACACTTCAACAGAGTACATATACAGATGGCAAATAAACACATGAAAAGGTGTTCAATATCATTAGTCCTTAGGTAAATGCAAATTAAAACCACAAGGACACAGCACCATATACCTGTTAGAATGTCAAACGTTATCAACCGAGTGTTGGAACCTTGTGGAGGAAGCAGAACACTCAGAGATTACTGGGGAGATGTAACATGATGCAGCCACTCCAGAAAGGTTGGTAGAATGTTAAACTTGCACGTACCTTACAATCGTTCCATTCCTAGGTAGCCAAGAGAAATGAAAGCACGAGTCCATATGACGACTGGTACATGAATATTTGTAGCAGCTTTTTTTGCAATAGCTGGAAGCTTTAAGCAATGCAAATGTCCATCAAGTGAACAGGTAAACAGCACAATGGAGCGCTATTTGCCAAGAGGAAGAAATGAACTATGGTTTCTCACCACATGGATGAATCGCAAGTAATTGTGCTGAGCGAAAAAAGCCAGACTCTCATCCCCGAAAAAAGAGTACATACTATATAATCCATTTACATAAAATTAAAATAGTGCAAACTAGTCTACAGTGTCAGAAAGCTGAACTTTATCACCTGAGGGGCAGGACACAGGAAGGGACAGGACAGATGTTCAAACATACATGAAAAACGTTGGGGGCGATGGATGCGTCCATTCTCATAGACGCTGCGATCCTTTCAGGGGTGTACGTGCATGTCAAAACTTATTGCAATGTATTCTTTAAATATGTGAAGTTTATTATATGCTAATTATACCCCCATAAACCTATTAAAACAAAATCACAACATATCAAAACTCTTGGAATGCAGCCAAAGCCATGCTAAAAGGGAAAGTTATAACCTAAAATATATGCATTAAAAAAGAAAAAATGCTGAATATCAACAATCTGAATGTCCATATAAAAAAGCTAGAATAAGCAGAAGGAAATCACAAAGATGAGAACAGAAATAAACGAATTAGAAGGCAGATGTTCACCAAGAAAAATCAAGAAAACCAAAGGCACAAGCTCCACGTGCCTTGGAAAGACTAATGAGATGAAGCCGCCAGCAGCACCGGTCAAGAACAGCAGAGTGCCCAGAGTCCCAGCTGTGCGGGGGGCTGTGAGGGAGGATCGCTAGAGCCCAGGAGTTTGAGTCTGGTGTGGGCAACACAGTGAGACCTTGGTCTCGAAAAAAAAAAAAAAAAAGGAGAGAAGACACAAATTGCCACTATCAGGATTGAAAAATGCACATGACTACAGATTTTGTAGACATTAAGGCTAGTAGAAAGATACTATTAACAAATTTATATGGAAAAACTTGAAAATTTAGATTAAATGTACCAATTCATTTTTTAAAAGGACTGAACAAAGCAGATCTAATAGGAAATAGAGAATCTGAATACTTCAACTATTTATTTTAAAAAATTAAATCTGGAAAAAAAAAACCTCACTAAAGAGGAAACTCCAAGCCTAGAGAGCTTTACTAGTGAGTTCTTCCAACATTTAAGAAGAAATAAAACCAATGCTACATAAACTCTTGCAAATTTTTTTAAATTATTCTTTAAGTTCTGGGGTACCTGTGCAGAATGTGCAGGTTTGTTACATAGGTATACACGTGTCGTGGTGGTTTGCTGCACCCATCAACCCGTCATCTACCTTAGGTGTTTCTCCTCATGCTATCCCTTCCCTAGCCCCCCACCCCCTGACAGGCCCCAGTGTGTGATGTTCCCCTCCCCGTGTCCATGTGTTCTCATTGTTCAACTCCCACTTATGAGTGAGAACATGCAGTGTTTGGTTTTCTGTTCCAGTGTTAGTTTGCTGAGAATGATGTTTTCCAGCTTCATCCACGTCCCTGCAAAGGACATGAATTCATCCTTTTTTCTGGCTGCATAATATTCCATGGTGTATATGTGCCACATTTTCTTTATCCAGTCTATCATTGATAGGTCATCAGAGTGAACAGGCAACCTACGGGATGGGAGAAAATTTTTGCAATCTATCCATCTGACAAAGGGCTAATGTCCAGAATCTACAAGGAACTTAAACAAATTTACAAGGTAAAAGCAAACAACCCCATCAAAAAGTGGGTGAAGGATATGAACAGACACTTCTCAAAAGAAGACATTTATGCAGCCAACAAACATATGAAAAAAAGTTCATCATCACTGGTCATTAGAGAAATGCAAATCAAAACCACAATGAGATATCATCTCATGCCAGTTAGAATGGCGATTATTAAAAAGTCAGGAAACAACAGATGCTGGAGAGGATGTGGAGAAATAAGAACACTTTTACACTGTTGGTGGGAGTGTAAATTAGCAAATATTTTTTAAAAGAGAATATACTCCTAACTCTTATGAGACCTGAATAATCCTCATACCAAAAATTAAACAGAAATACTACAATAAAAGAAAAAAATTACACATCATTTTCTTTTTTAAACATTGACCCAACATATTACCAAACTAATTCCTGTGAAATACAAAAAGAATAATATATCATGATAAAGGTAAGTTTGTTTAACCCATGGTTAATTTAACATATGAAAATCAATCATCTATCATCTTAATAGATACAAAAAAGAATTTGATAAAAGTCAACACTTATGATAAAAAGCAAAACCCTTAACAAATTAGGTATAGACTGGGCTTTCCTTGATCTGATAAATAGCATCTACAAAACTGAACATCAAATATTATATTTCATAGTGAAATTAAATGTGGAACACATTTGCTCTGAGTCCTTGAATGAGACAAGACCTCCACTGGCTGCCTCTCTTCAACACTGGACTGAAGGGTCCCAGCCCCCGAAATAAGGCACAGAAAAAGAGATTAAATGTACACGGATTGGAAGGAGAAGATAAATCTGAATATTCACAGATGACATGATTACACAAGTAGAACATTTAAAAGATACTTTGGATTCAATTAAGAAGAGTTTTTAAGAAAAAAGAGGAAGGTTCTGGCATGGGGAGCTCTGCAACCCACTGCTGGGTGCCAGAAGCGAGCTGTGGAGCGGAAGATGAAGATGGCACCATGTGTCTCTAAACCACAAATGGAACCACTGATTTCTATGTGTATTTGCATTTGCTGTAATGTGTGGGAAATCTGAAGGTTACACAGCACAACTGTCCACAGCAGATGGCCCTCGAAGGGGATGAGGTTTAGAGCCAGGCAGGGCCTGGAAGGACTGGATTTTACATGGACATGGAGGACATTGCAAGAGAAAGGCATCCAAGGTGTTCTCACGAAATCCACTACAATTGTACAAGAAAATGAAGAGCTGTGATTTCGACAGCCAGCTGGTGTATCTCATCCTCAGGTTGCTTTACAACGTCATCTCCTCCAGAGGAAACGCAGCCTCGTCATATCCCTGAGAAACAGGTCTGCTGTGTCCTCCCTCCGCACGTATAGACTGTCCCTCCAGGAGGTTAGACACCTCCCCTGAAACTGGCGCAAGAGACACCGCGTGACCAAATCAGCACACGTGCAAGTTGTCCCCAGAGCACATTTGGCAAAGCCCGTAAGACAGGAACGCATAAACATGTCAACCAGAAAGCACCTGGCAATGTTCAAGGCATCCTGACATTGAAGCACCCCAAGCAGCCTGTGACAGCAGCACAGCTCCCACAGGTGATGAAACTGAGGCTGAGTGAGCTGCAGCATATGCCCCTGCCAGACCCGCGGCTCCCAGCACACCCGACCAGCCCTCTTCTCCCACCACAGGGCAGGCCTCTCCGATGGGGACTCCAGCCACTGACTCTGCCCTCATGGGTGTGGCCCTGCTCTCCCCTGCCCACGAGTCCCTTTGCATCCATGAGCCCTGTGGTCAGCAGCCTTCTGAAGCCAGGCTCCTGTGGTCAGAGTCCCTTTCCACTGCATCTTGTGGTCAGCATCCGTAGCCCACCCCAGAGCTCACCCCTGAGCTGGAGCACAAACCCACCTGCGGCTTCTGTGTCCACCTTCACCACACTTCCGTCCTCCTCATCTTGGAGCACAGCCTCGGCCTCCATGATTTCCTCGTACAGTCCTGCTGGCGGCATTTCCCCAATGACATCATAGATGGCTTCTCCAGGAGATACCTCGGATCTTCCCAGACCTGAGGCAAGGTGAGCATGGTCACACACAGGCCCTCAGTGTGGATGTGGCCACAGGCAAGGGAGGACAGCAACTCCAGGCAGGAACCCCAGCCAGGCAGCAAAGAGGCAGGATGCTGTGGGCTGGGATGGAGGGACCACGGCAACATAGCCAGACTCCCAGTGCCCTCCCATCCCTGGCCACCGTCCCTTGCCAGCAAACCACATGATGCTTCCCAGTGGGCCCCAATGTGCTGCCTGGGGGAACCTTCTAGGGTTGAGCTCAGTCTTGAGGGCTGGAGGCTGATGCAGATGTCTGCCACTCTCTCTGGCCAATAAAATGAGCCCTAAGTGAGATCAGCCTGCAGGCTGAAGCAACTCTGCCCTGAATGCTGATCCACCGTGTTGACTTCTGACCAACTCCAGTTCCGGGAAGGCCTCTAAGATTTCTATTTTATCTACTGTTCCTTGCATAAGAGCATGCATTCACTGTAAATCCTGCCCTTAAGCAATTGTCCTACATGTCCCCTTCCCCTGAGGTATATAAGTTCTAGTTGTGAGGGATGATAATATGGGCATCCACCGTCTCAGCTAGAGGCCATCCAAGGCATGGACATGGCTTGTCTTCATAAGTCCCTTTTAAGTGTTTCTTTCTAAGGAACTGGATTTGTCTGCCTCTTTCTTCAGCTTCTCAGTTCCTTGGACTTTGGGGGTAGGTCTGCATAGGCCTGACTGCTGTGGGGCACCCCGCCTGCCCAGACCCCAACACCAGGCTGGAGCTGTGAGCTGCTCTTGCTCCTGCACACCAGTTGATGGGATCAGGGTGGGCTCACGCTTACCCCTCTGCATGGCTTGTGTGACTCGAGGCAGAATCAGAAAAGCCATGAGGCCCAGAAGGAGAAGACCAAGAAGGGATCCCAGGACGACACTGACCACCCAGAATGTCCGGAAGGGAGCTGCAGGCAGTGGGGGGCCTGGGCCAGGCTCTGAGAAAGGAGAGGTCTTGAGCCAGCTGGGTGGTGGGGGGGACCTGCACACCCTCAGCAGGACAGGGTGGCTCCAAGGGCCCAGCCACACCCTCTCCCTCATGGAGGACCTGCGAGTCGGAAGTGCTGGGGGGGCATCTGCTGGTTTCAGCTGTGCAGAGCACCCCAAAATGGCTAGTGTCCACTGGGGGTGTCTGCTTTCAAGGGACAGCCCCCTTCCTTGGTAAAACATGGCCCCCAGGCAGATGCCAGGGCAAGTCACAAGAGGTGACCAGAGCACAGAGAATGGGAGTGGCTCAGGGAAAGTTACCACTGCTGCTGCTTTTGCTAAGGTCATCACTGTGGTTAACTGTTTGTTTTCTGCAAAGAGAATGAGGTGCAGGGAACAACTGAACCTGCCAACACCCAGGTGACACATACCCGAAATGAACAAGGATTGGAATAAACAAAAGGGAATTCCCAAAAAAGATTAGGGGGAAACCCCAGGGAGTGCATGTCCCAAACAGGCCTCCACAGCAAATCAGCCTATCCCAGAAAAATCCCAGGGTGGAAACCAACCCACTAACACCTGGGCGAGCTCTCCTGCCCACCGAAGTGACACTCAAGACTGACTCCATCCCAGCGCCCTCTGCCGGCCCCATGACCGACTTCCCACCGCCCCCCACTCACCCCAGCAGCGCACGCCCGCGTCCTCCTCGTGCGCGCGGTCTCCGCGTCCCCACCGCTCCGCAGGGCAGCCCCACAGGGACGCCTCGCTGCCCCGGCACCCCACCTCGTCCAGCCACACGGGCCCGGAGCCAGGGCCAAAGGCGGCGGCCCCCAGGGCGGCGACGGCCCGACCACAGCCCAGCTGGCGGCACACGACCTCCGCGTCCGCCAGGTCCCAGCCATCGTCGCACACGGTGCCCCAGGAGCCCGCGTGCCAGAGCTCCACGCGCCCGGAGCAGCGGTCCTCGCCCCCGCGCACGCGCAGTGCGCCCTCCTCTGCAAAAGGGGCTGCGGTCACTGCGGGGGCTGGACCGGGATGGGAAGGAGGACAGCGACAAGGACAGAGGGGTACCTGGGCAGCCGAGCCAGGAGGAGCAGTTGAGGGGCTCCCCAGCAGCCTGTGGCCTGTCCTCTGACAATCCTGCGGGTTAAACAGCAGCTCTGAGAGCTTCGGTGCCCAGAGAAGCTTCACAAGGAAGGCTGTGGATCCTAGTGACCCCCAGGCCCAGGCTCTGATTGAATGGCATCCCCTGTAAGTGACCTGTCAGGACAGATAAACCTCTTCCCAGGCACCCCCAGAGACCTCTAATGCCCACCTGCACAGGTAATCCAGACCTGCTCTCGAAGGTCGCAAGAGTGCGGGTGCCATGGGTGGGAAGGGCATTGCCACAGAGTGGAGTTGGGCAGCCTGCGGCACTCGATGTTGTCCACCCAGGCGGTCCCGGTGCCCGCAGAGGGGAAGGGCCTGTTCTCCAGCCAGCCCCACTCCCCACACCCCACACCCCAGCTGCTTGCAGATGATGGACAAGGAGAGGTCCTTCAGGGCATTGCTGCACATGGCGCCCCAGGTCCCATTGTAGAACACGTCCAGCCACCCAGCACAGCAGCAGGTCCCACCTCGCAGCCTCAGAGCCACCGACTCTGCAAGGCAAGCACAGTCAGGCCAGGGAGTGCCCTGCCTGGGCACCATGGGCAGTCTCAGAAGGAGGGGGCTAAGCTCAAGGGGTCCCAGCACTGAGATCAGTTATAGAAACAGTATAGAGCTTCTTCAGAAAATTTAAACTAGAGCTACTACACAATCCAGCAATCCCACTGCTGTGTATAGACCCAGAGGAAATGAAATCAGCCCAGCAGAAACATCTGCACGCCCAGGTTCACTGCACGCCCAGGTTCACTGCAGCACCCAGGTTCACTGCACGCCCAGGTTCACTGCACGCCCAGGTTCACTGCAGCACCCAGGTTCACTGCACGCCCAGGTTCACCGCAGCACTATTGACAATAGCCAAGATGTGGAATGAGTGTAATGTCCAACAACAGATACATGGATAGAGAAAATACAGCATATACACAATGGAGTTACTCAGCCATTAAAAAAACAATAAAATCCCATCATTTGCAGCAATACGGATGGAACTGGAGGACACTGTGTTAAGTGAAACAAGCTAGAAAGCTAAATAGCACATGTTCTCACTCATAAATGGAAGCTTAAAAATGTTGATCTCCTAGAAGTGAAAAGCAGAACAGAGGATACTAGAGGTTGGGAAGGGTTGGGGGAGGGAGGGATAAGAGGAGATCTGTAAAGATACAAAATTACAGCTGGATAAGAGGAATAAATTCTAGCATTCTATAGCACTGTAGGATGACTGTAATTAACAGTATATTATATGGTTTCAAATCGCTGGAAGGAGGATATTGAATGTTCCCAACACGAAGAAATGATACATGTCTGAGATGATGGCTTTGCCAATTACCCTGATCTTATCACTACACATTATATGGATTGAAACACCACTATGAACCCCATAGAGATGTACAAAGATTGTCAATTTAAAAAAAGAAAACAGAAATGTGGTACATAGATGCTATGGAATACTGTTCAGCCTCAAATAAGAAGGAAATTATGTGATCCGTGACAACATGGATGAACCTGGAGGACATTATGTTAAATGAAATAAACCAGGAATGGAAAGACAAATTCTGCATGATCCCACTTACATATGGGAGCAAAAAAAAAAAAAAAAAGTCAAATACGTAAAAACAATAGAATGTGGTTACCAGGGGCAGGTGGTGGGGGAATGGGGAGATGTAGGTCAAAGGGTACACAACTGTGCAGGATGAATAAATCTAGAAACCCAACATACAGCAGGAGGAATGTAGTTAATAATATTGCATTGTACACTGGAAGTTTGCTAGGAAAGTAGATTTTAGGTGCTCTTACCACAAAACCAAACGTAACTTTGTGAGATGGTGGAATGTTCATTAGCTTGACTGCAGTAATTATTTAAGTGTGTGTGTGTGTCTGTGTGTGTGTGTGTACCTCAGCCCCATGTTCAGAGATAGCTTTGGTCCTGAGGGATCAGTGCCCAAATATGTTCAATGTTACCCTTGGAGCAGTGTAAAGTCCAAAAGACTAATATGGTCACCTAATGGCATGTTAGACAATCCTTTAAAGCTGTGCCATGGAGCACTGTAATAACGCTTTTAAAATACCTATACCAGGATACTTGGAGAACATTGGGTATGAATTGCATCTGATAGGATCATATCTAATTAAAATAAGCTTAGAAAGAATACTGGAAAGAAATACACTGTAATAGAATACAAAAGTGTCCATAAGTATCCCCTGCCTGTTTCCACACCCTCTCACTGAGTCTGGGCCCCAGTCCTTGAATCGCGGCTGGCTTGGGACTTGGGTCAAGGAATAGGGTCTGAGACTCTGTGCCTGTTCCTAGGCTGACACTGCTATCATTTTTGGAACCAAGGCTGGATCATGACAGAACAGAGCCTCCACTACTCCTGCCTTCAGCCAGGGCCCCGAAGCAAGGCTCCACCTAACCATCAAGTGACTGAAGGCACTAAGGGAGCCCGGCTGGGACGGAGAACCAGCAGCTGAGCACAGCCAAAGGCAATGACCACAGAGGTCGGAGCCACACACCTTGCTGCTGCTGCCTGTGGCAGGGCTGGTTACTCAGCATTAATTTCACATATGTTACGCATTCACGATGGCTTTATCTCTGGGTGTTGGGATTACAGATGGTTTTTTCTTTCTAATTTTTTGGACTCAAATTTTAATAACATGTAACATACTTTATATCTCATTCTCTCAAAGATATTAGCAATATAGTATTTTTGTAAGTCTATCAAAAGAAATCTTCTACCTATGTCTAGAAATTACTGTTCTAATTCTTCTTTAAAATAGCTTCTGCCCCTCAGATATGAACAGTCCCATCTGGTTTCCCAAAACAATCAAAGTTTGTACCCTGGACGTATGCACAGGACCTTGGGCAAAGCAGCAGCATAGGCACAAAATGCAGGCCATGTGGGTGGCCCAGAGCTGAGCAGGGCTCCACGGCCTGCCTGTCCACCTGCCCACACGTGGGACAGCAGGAGCCACGAGTGCCCCGCCCCACCCGGGGGATGCAGCCCTGTCAGGCAGGGACCCTGAGGAGCCTGGAGGGGCCAGAAGTGACCGAGGCATAGCTGAGACCCAGGTGAAAAAGAGGCAGCCCCAGGAATTGAACTGGCTGTGCCCAACATGCTGGCTCCAGCAGATGGTCTGACAGCCGGGTGCCTGTAGATGCCAGCTCAGATGGGGTCCCCAGAATGAAGCTTCACAGAAAAACAAATAAAGCAGCCACCGGAGGAAAATGCTGCAAACCAGAGAGCAAGGACAACATGGAAGATGCAGAGGAAGGGCTAACATCCGCCGCTTTCCACAGAAACCAGCAGAATGTTCTAGAAAATGACCTGTCATTCTCACTGAGATGCCAGAAAAAGATGGACCTTTTATGAGAGCAGAGCATCATGTCATTAGGAGAAAACAAGCTGCCGAGAATAAAGACACAAAAATGAGATGATGGACGAGGTGAGGAGGGCGAAATAATACACCAAAGGACTGAAGAGCAGAATCGACAGAAACACAGATTGTGACGTGGGTGCCACCTGGAGAAACACCCCAAGAATGCCTGGGGAAAGAGTCATGCCAAAATTAATTTCAGAAGCATAGGGAAGGCTCAAACTCACGAGACTCCAGCATTGCATACAAAGAACACAGTAATTGAAATAAACGTAATAATCCAAGATATCGCTGAAGAAAGCGTTCCTAAAGTAAAATATAAACCAAAATCAATGAGAAGAGCCCACACTTGGATAAGCTGCCAGAGACTCTGCCAGCATCCAGCCTCTCCCCCAGGGTTGCCTGAAAATACCCTGGGAGACCACAGGTCAGATGGGCAGCCCGTGACCCTCTCAGGAGACCGCAGGTCAGATGGGCAGCCCGTGACCCGCTCAGGAGGCCGCAGGTCAGGTGGGCAGCCCGTGACCCACTCACAGGCTTCTCCAGAGAACCCATCCCCCAAAATGACAAAATTCCATCACCCAAGAATGACCACACCTGGACAAGATCAGAACACAAAGACGCTCAGGTATGTGTGAATAATAATAATAATAATAATAAAGCTCATCCACCATCTCAAAAATAGTCTGCAAAATGGTCAGGTGCGGTGGCTCACACCTGTAATCCCAACACTTTGGGAGGCTGAGGCAGGTGGATCGCTTGAGTCCAGGAGTTTGAGACCGGCCTGGGCAACATGGTGAAACTCCATCTCTACAAAAATAAACGTTAGCCAGACATGGTGGCACATGCCCGTAGTCCCAGCTACTTGGGAGGCTGAGGCAGGAGGATGGTTTGAGCCCAGGAAGCAGAGGTTGCACTGAGTCAAGATTGCACCATTGCACTCTAGCCTGACCAAGATCTTGTCAAAAAAAAAAAAGTCTGCAAAAAGTTCTCCAGTACACCAAAATATGGATCAAAATTAAGAATCTGAAGCCAGCGGCAGTGCCTCACTTCTGTAGTCCCAGCAGCTTGGGAGGCTGAGGCTGAAGGATCCCTGGACTACAGGAGGTCAAGACTGCGGTGACCGGTGATGGGGCCACTGCACTCCAGCCTGGGCAACACAGTGAGACCGTCTCAAAATAAATAAATAAATAAATAAATAAATATTTAAATAAATATAAAATATTTTTTAAAATATATAAATATATATATATATATATGAATTTCGGATGGAAACTTCAAGCGCACTTGAGCTGGTTACGGCGGAAAATGAGCCCAGGTGGGGCTGCCCCAGGGCCAACCTGCGACAGGAAGCTGACCAGCTCCCCAGGTGCACGGAACCAAAGTACTTTGTCCGGTAGCACTTACTATACCAACAGGAACCTCACCCAATCCACTGTGGAAGTTCTGCATT
Source organism: Homo sapiens (assembly GCF_000001405.40). Taxonomy (NCBI): domain Eukaryota; kingdom Metazoa; phylum Chordata; class Mammalia; order Primates; family Hominidae; genus Homo; species Homo sapiens. The sequence continues at coordinate 133,460,277 of NC_000010.11, read as the reverse complement.
CAGGGAAGAGAACAGCTCCCGATAGTTTGATGCTGTTCTGGAAAGCAAGTGCGCATGACTGTACGTAATAAAACAGCATGATCATTCCATACCCAACGGCCGCTCACCTGAGCAGAAGACGCCGGCGTCCTCCTTGTGCCTCCAGTCGTGCCGCCCCCAGCCCGCCGACGGGCACTGCCACAGCGCAGACTCGTGGCCCTGGCAGCCCAGCTCGTCCAGCCAGATGCGCCCTGCCCCGGCTCCGAAGTGTGCGGCCCCCAGGGCGCTCAGGGCGCGGCCACAGCCCAGCTGCCTGCAGACCACGTGCGCGTCCCGCAGGTCCCAGGCATCGTCACACACGGTGCCCCACGCGCCCCCGTGCAGCGCCCCGGCCCCGCGGCCAGCCGCACCCTGAGGCTCCCTGTGGAGAGACAGAGTCAGGGCGCCCGGGATCCCGTGGCGACGGGCCATGGGGGACGCGGTTCCGACCTCACCGGAGCACACCACGCCGGCGTCCCGCGAGGTCCCCGCGGGCTCCTGCAGGGTCGCGGACACGTTGCACTGAGTCAGGCGGGTTTCGGTGCCCAGACAGCGCACGCGGCTCAGCGCCACCTGGACGGATCCGCGGCTGGGGGCAGGTGCGTCATAGGCTTGCTGGGCCCCTCTGCACCCGAGTTGCCGGCACACCACGCCCGCGCCGCGCAGGTCCCAGGCATCGTCCAGGACGCGGCCCCACACGCCATCCAGGGAGACCTCCACGCGGCCGTCACAGCGGCTCTGTCCTTCCCTCAGTCGCAGGGCGTGGGCCAGACCTGGGGATGGGGACGCACAGGGGCCCAAGATGTCAGCGGGAGGGACCCAGGACCACCCCCCAGCAGGGCCCGTACCTCTCCGCCCCCTCTGTCCTTCCTTGCACTCCTCTGTCCATGCCTCTCACTCACCCTCCTGGTCCACCGTCCTGGCTGCACCCACCTGAGCAGACCGCGGAGGCTGTGTTTCCCGGGGCACAGGCCGGGGCCCCCAGGGTGCTTACTGGGCAATTCCACAAGTAGGACTCTGTCCCCTCACAGTGAAAGGCATCAGGCCAGATGGCAGCGTCCCCGTCCCCAAAATGGCCTCCTCCAGGTGCGGCCACCGCGTTGCCACAGTTGAGCTGGTGGCAGAGGACGGTGGCATCTGCTATGTCCCAGTGGGTGGCACAGAGGGGTGCCCAGGACCCCTGCACCTGGAACTCCACGCGGCCCTCACAGCTGCTGCTGCCGTTGACCATCCTGAACTCTGGGGGAGAGGAGGAGTCAGCCTGGCTTGCAGACGGCCGACCCAGAACATGGCTGTCTGTGGTCATTTCCTTCCTTCACACCCAGTGGGATGGGCACAGAGCCCAGCCTTGGTCTCACCAGCTCCCCCACCCTCCTCTGCATCAGCATCCAGCTCACACAGCTCTCCAGAAGAATTTGATCTTAGCTGCAGCCTTGGGGTACATCACTCTACACCCAGTCTCTTCCCTGCGCTTCTTTCAACCAACAGAAGCAAACATCAAAAGCACCCACACCTACTGGCCAGAGGCACCTTTAGGGCACGAAGGGATTTGACAGAGAACAAGGCAGGGCTGAGCCTTCAGAGCCCACACACAGGACTTCACCTGAGCACCTGAGCCCCGCGTCGTGACCATGCCCACACTGGCTCCCACGCCCCCGTGGGCAGTGGAACAGCAGCGACTCGTTGCCCGCACAGCGGAAGGCCTCCGTCCACACCGGCCCCGAGCCCCGGCCGAAGCGGGCGCCCTCGGGCGTGGACACGACCGCCCCACACTGCAGCTCCCGGCACACCACGTGGGCCGTGGCCAGGTCCAGGGCCGCATCACAGACGGTGCCCCAGGTCACCTCCAGGCGCCCGGCGCAGGGGTGCTCGCCGCCCACCAGTCGGGCCTCGGTGTGTCCTGGGGGCAGACGTCCTCTCAGGCAGGAGACAGGTGTTCTCAGGTCAACAGCCTGGCCCTGAGCCTCAGACTGCGGAAGGCTTCAGCCAGGAGCCATCACCTGCATCTAGGCAGAGGGTCTACCAAGCACAGGCAGGAACTTGCAGCCACAGGCCCTTCCACCCGGCACCCAGAGCAGAGCAGACGTCCTTGGCCGCATCACCAAGGTCAGGGTCAGGGTCACCTGCTGCAGGTGCTCACGTATTTCACAGCCTCTGCCTGTCCGAGGCCATGACAGCAACACCCTCTGCAATCCCAGAGGCGAGGTCAGGGCACCCCTTGGTCCACTGAGCACCACCCTCTCTGGGGTACCGCAGCAGGCAGACTATCCACCTCATTTCAGCTGCTCCTCATATGCACAACAAGGCCAGGAGCTGTGAGGCCAGTGCAGCTCACACACAGTTGAGGCAGGGCTGGGAAGAAGTGACCTCTACCCAACCCCGATCCATGTTAGACATGCAGAGATCACAGCTGAGGCAGCTCAGACTTGCAGCGGCAGCCAGGACCCCTAGATGGCCTGCGGGTTCTGAGCCAGGACACCTCTGTGGGGCCACCAGAAACTCAGCTCCACTCTGCTGAGAACCAGCGTGAGAGCTGAGGCCCTTTCCCACCTCTGCGCCCAATGTCTCATGCAGGACAGGGGGGCCCATCCGTGGGAACGCCCACCCCCCTTCTCCCTGCCCTCCCCAGGTCCGGGCCCAGCATCATCCCAAGGGTCACTGGGAACATCAGGTGGCAGCCTCACCTGAGCAGACCACCTCTGCGTCCAGCCGCAGGTCGCAGCCGCTGCGGAAGTTGTTGTCCAGTCTGCAGCTGCGGATGGTGGGCTCGGTACCCCTGCAGGCCAGGTACTTCCTGACGACGCCCACGTCCCGGCGGGGGGCCTGGAGCACAGGGCCGCACCCCAGCTCCCGGCAGAACACCATGGCCTCCTCCACATGCAGGACACAGAGGCGGTCCACCCCATTCACGTTTCTGATCTCGGGGAGTCCCGCGCAGGGACTGCGGCCCTTCACCAGCCGGAGCTCCCGGAAAGTGCCGTCTGTGGAGCACAGGCCGGTCCTCCTTAAGGTATGGACCCAGCTGGCCGCATGGTCACTCGGCAGCTCCTTTTTCAGGGAGGACAGTGATGGGCTGAGCCAGGGCCAGCTTCAGGGGCAGGTGACCGGGCAGTCACACAGGGCCCTGGGCTCAGAGAGACCCCTGTGCCCAGCTTCATGCTCTGCTGCTGGTCTCCTGAAACAAGGTTCCCCGCAGGATCCGTTCACACTGGGCCCCAAAATGGTAGGAGGTCCTGGCCAGGTGGTTCAGCCTCAGAGGCAGGACGCTATGAGGGGGTCCTCACAGCCACATAAAATGTGAGGGACAGCTGAGGACCCTCGAGCCAGACCTCAAAGGGAAAGCGTGTACCTGTCTGTCATTTGTCTAAGAAACCATCATCAGCTACCTGTGTGGGCCTCAGGCGTCCACAGACCCCGCCCCCGCTCGGCTGCTGCCTCCCCCACGCCTGGGCCGCACTCTGCTTCCTTCCTCCAATCTCTGACTCTCCCTGGCGTTGGTTTTTCCACAGCTGAATCTTACAGTCAGGATGGCCCCGGTGCCCAGAGAGGAGCCCCTCCCAGAGAGAGCTCCAGACCCACAGCCTCCCCGCCCGTCTCCGAGACCCGCCATCCTCCCAGTCCTCCTCTGCGTCCTCCCAGTCCTCCTCCTCGTCCTCCCACTCCTCCTCCTCCTCAGCCCCGTCCCCTTCACTCCTCCCTACTTACTGGAGCACAGCGCGACCACCACCCATGCGTGGGGGCACGGGCTCTGGCACCATGAGCCAAGGCTGCACTCCCAGAGGGAGGACTCGTTGCCCCGGCAGGACACGTTGTGAAGCCAGGGCTGGGCCATCTCTCCAGGCAGCGGGACATACTTGGGGGCGCCCACGGCAGGGCCGCAGCCCAGCTGCCTGCACACGACAGAGGCCTCTGCCAGCGTCCACTCCTGGTTGCACACGTATCCCCATGCCCCGTGGTGTCGGACCAACACCACTCCGTCGCACGTGCTGTGTCTGTACGCCAGCCTCAGAGCACCTGGTCCACCTACAGACAGACAGGTCCAGTTAGAGGGGCCAGAACCAACCAGAGGCGCAGGAGGAGATGGCAGCCGCGGCAGCAGGGAACGGCCTGTGAGGCCTCAGCAGCGAGTCGGGCTCCTCTCACCCCACCAAGCAGTCCCAGAGAGGTGATGGGCGCGGCTCACAGAGAAACCCTCACCCCATGTGTCTCCCCGGGGGCTACTCCCCTCCCTGGCCCTCTGGAGCCCCAACATCCTGGAGGACCCCATCCCCCAGGCAAGGAAGTCCCCTGTCCTCCTGGGTCTGCAGCTGGGTGGGTCCTCCCACCCACTCTCTGCCTCCCAAGCATCATTCCCCTACTTCCACTGGAGGCCCTGTGGTCTCCAGCCCACCACTGTCACACCTGCCCCACCCACGTGACTGTCCACACCCCTTGGAGTGCCCCGCTCACCCTTCGGTCCTGTCCTCTGCAACCCTGAGTATCCAGGAAAACCACCCCTGCCTGCCCTCCCACTATGCCAAACCCAGCCCCACTACCCCACCCATACCGGCTTCCAGGCAGGATCTCACCCTCCGGTCTCTGAGCATCTCAGCTACTCCAGCACCTTCTCTCCCACCCGCCACGGAGGCACCCCTAACCACCCTCTCCAGGCCTCTGCAACCCCACATCAACACAGCCACCCCGAGGAAAATGAAGCAACCAGTAGGAGGAAGTCCATGTGGGTGGTGCTGTGTGGTCCCAGAGCAGCCTCCAGGGCCCCTGGAGGACTCTCCACACCCAGAAAAGAGCCTCCCCGATGGCAGTCAGGAGCAGAGGGGGGACCCTGCCTGGTCCAAGATGAAGACCTTTCCCTCCCACCTCCTGGGGAGCCTTGAATCTCCTCTCTCTCAGTCTTCATCCATCCCTCCACACCCCCCAGCCTCCTCATCACCCTCCCCACCTGGTTCTTCTCAGGACATGGATGCGTGCTGGTGTCTGCAATTTTTTCTTTTTTAGACAAAAGTCTCGCTCTGTCACTCAGGCTGGAGTGCAATGGCACGATCTCAGCTCACTGCAATGTCCACCTCCAGGGTTGAACTGATTCTCGTGCCTCAGCCTCCCATGTAGCGGGAATTATAGGCGCCCACTACCACGACTGGCTAATTTTTGTATTTTTAGTAGAGATGGGGTTTCACCATGTTGGCCAGGCTGATCTCGAACTCATGACCTCAGGTAAACTGCCTGCCTCAGCCTCCCAAAGTGCTGGGATTACAGCCATAAGCCACCACGCCCGCTATGAATAGCTTTTCATTTTATATTTTCTAAAGCTATTTCTTGTTGTAATAGAGAATTCCGGCCCTTGTGCATGCGATCGTTGACACAAAAGCAAATCCCTTCAACCCCAGGCTTCCATCCATCTGTGGCCACATTGCTGCCTTTCCTTCAAATCCTAACCTCCTCTGCACTTTCTGCAGCTGCCCACAGACTTCCACCCCACCGCTGGGGATGTGGCTCCGTCCAGCACCAGGTCACCGCCCTGCTGGGCACCTGGACCAGCCTTGACAGTGAAGTGTTCCTCAGCCTCAAGGGCACCCTCCCCTGCCTCCCGCCCAGCCCCACACTCACATCATGGCTCCATGCCCACGTACGCAGGTCCCCGGGGCTCCCTCTCACCTCCAGCCTCTCCTGCTGTTCCTTCTAGCTAGACCCCCCTCTCTACACCTCCCTGCCCCTGACCCAGCAGCCCTTCCACATGGCTTCACACCCCAGTGTCTCCACCTGGGTGCAGCATCTCCATGGGACCCCATGCTCAACCTCACTGCCAGATGCAGCCAACCCTCCCACCTCCTTCCCAGGACCTCAGCCCTGCTCCAGGGCACGTGGATGGAGCAGCCCCCGCAGGACCCCTCAGGACTCTGTTGATCAGGGTCATTGGGACCAGACACTGGGCCGTGTCCCTCATTTTGTCCAGGGCCTGACCCAGCCCTGAACCCTGGGTTCCAAGCAGTGGGGCTAGGGTCTGGGGGCCCTGAGGTCACAGGGATCCAGCCATGTGGAGTCACCTCCCTCCTGCCCCAGCATGTCCCACCCACTCTGGGCTGAGTGAGACCCAGGCAGACGGCAGGTCACTGCAGGGACCCTCATGCCCCGGGGCCTGGGCATCAACAGAGCTGATGCCTCCAGAAAGTTCCATGGATGAAGGAAGCAGAAACTTACCAATGGGGACTGCCCAGAGATTCAGAAGAAGGGGCCCGAGTCCCAGGGTCCAGAGAGCTGCCCTCATGGTCCCACAGCCCTCTGGGCTTCAGCAAGCTCTCGCTGCTTAGCTGGGGCAATGGCAGAGGTCACAGCCCAGAGTCACATATACAGAAGTGGGAGCTGCCAAGGACCTCCAGGGTCCAATGGGGACAGCCACAGCCTTTCCAGAGCGAATCAGCAGCTCTGCCTCTCAGCCGTGAGCAGAGCAGCCAATGCCTTGCTGGCCTGAGCATCACCAGACATGGGGAGGGTGCAGGCTGTGGGTTTCCTCCCACACTGATCAAGCTGCTGATGGGACTAGACCCAACCATCAGGCAGAGATGGTCCAACCTGCCCACAGCACAGCATCAGTGAAGCCCTGCGTCTCTGCCCTCCACCCGGGCCCGTCGGCTTCAGCCATGCCACCACCACAGAAGGCAGTGGCCCCAGACAGCCAAGGAGGCGTCCTCTGTGCCAGCAGATGGCACTAGCAGAGTTAGGGGTAGGGGTAGGATTAGGGTTTGAGTGGGAGTCCCAGCAGCACCAGAAGAATGACACGGAAGAGCTTTGCAAGAACTCTGAGAACTGAACTGTCGTTGGAATGAAAACCCTTGAGAGAAGATACAGTTAAGAATCACTCATCATATGAAGACCCAGGGACACGACCATTTCAGTAAGAGACAACCAACTAAGGGCGGCACCAGGAAGAGTCAGGTGTCAGAATTATCTGACAAGGATTTTAAAACAGGCATCATAAAAATGTTTCCACAACAAATTGCAAATGCTCTTGAAATAAGTGGAAAAATTGAAATCTCAGCAAAGAAATAGAAGTTATAAAAATGGAACAGGCTAGGCGCAGTGGCTCACGCCTGTAATCCTAGCACTTTGGGAGGCTGAGGTGGGCAGATACCTGAGGTCAGGAGTTCGAGACCACCCTGGCCAACATGGTGAAACCCTGTCTCTACTAAAAATACAAAAATTAGCCGGGCAGGGTGACATGCACCTGTAGTCCCAGCTACTCGGGAGGCTGAGGCATGAGAATGGCGTGAGCCCAAGAGGCGGAGGTTGCAGTGAGCTGAGATTGCACCACTGCACTCCAGCCTGGGTGACAGAGCAAGACTTTGTCTTAAAAACAAAATGAAACAGTGGTAAGGATGTAGAGAAATGGGACCTCTCAGATTTTGCTGGTAGATTCAAAAATGGTGCAACTGCTTTGAGAAAGTTTGGCAGTTTGTCAAAATGTTAAACAGAGATACTCCTGGAAGATACCACTTGAGCCCAGAAGGGGCAACTCCACTCTTGGGTACATATCTAAGAGGAATGTAAACTTATGTCCACACAAAAATCTCTACATGAATGTCCATGCAGCATTATTCATAATAAAGATGAAAACAGCTCACGTGTGCATCCACTGATAAATGGAGAAACAAAATGCGGTATGTCCACATTATGGAATGTCACTCAGCCATAGAAAGGGAACAAGGCACCCACACAGGCTGGATGTGCGTCAACCTTGAAAACATGCTCAGTGAGAGAAGCCAGATGTAAAAGACCACATACTGGGTACGATTCCATTCATATGAGATTTCCAGAATAGGCAAATCAATAGACAAGGAAATTAGATTCATGGTTTCCAGGGGCTAGAGAAGGAGGAAAGAGAAAATGACTGAAAATAGTATAGTGTTTTTCTTTTTTATTTTTATTTATTTATGTATTTATATATTCATTTATTTATTGGGAGACAGAGTCTCACTTTCTCATCCAGGCTGGAGTGCAGTGGCATGATCATAGCTCACTGCAGCCTCAACTTCCTGGCCTCAAGTGATCTTCCTACCTTAACCTCCTGAGTAACTGGGACTATAGGTGCATGCCACCATGTCTGGCTAATTTTTTAAATTTTTTTGTAGAGATGGAAAGCCTTGCCATGTACCCAGGCTGGTCTCAAACGCCTGGCCTCATCGGACCCTCCCACCTTGGCCTCCCAAAGTGCTGAGATTACAGGTGTGAGCCACCACAGCCAGCTACAGGATTTCTTTTTCAGGTGATGAAAATGTTCTGAAATTAGTGGTGCTGGTTGCATAATCCTGAATATACTAAAATCCTCTGCACCACACACTTTAAAAGAGTGCATTTATGATACATGAACCTCAATTAAATTGTTTTTAAAATAAATGATTACAGAACTGAAAATATAATAACTGAAATGTTAAAAACTCAATGAACGGACTAGTAGAATGGAAATGACAGAGGAACCAGTGAACCTGATGATACTTCAATAGAATTTACACAGTGCAAACAACAGAGAGAAAATAGAAAAATTTATAGAGCCTCGGGGATCTGTGGGACAATAATAACAAGACTTAATCTTTGTATCTGGGAAATTCAGGAAAGATAAGAGAGCGTATGGGGCTGAAAATGTATTTAAAGTAACAACTACTAAATATTCTCCAAATATGGTGAAAGGCACAAAACTACAGATTCAAGAAGCTGAGAAATCCAAAATAAGATGAATTCAAAGACATTCACACCAAGACACATCATAATTAAACGTTTGGAAACCAAAGGAAAAAAAAATCCTAAAAACAGCCAGACAAAAAGGATTGCACTGACTATAAAAAATGGTAAAATGTGAATTACAGCTAATTTCTCGTCTGAAATGGAAGCAAGCAGGAAGTGCCTTATTTTTAATTGACATGTAAGAATTGTACATATTTATGGGATACAGAGTGATACTTTGATACATGTGTGCAATGCATAATGATCGAATCAGGGTAACTACCAAACCCATCAAACATTTATCATTTATCTGTTGGGAACATTCAAAACCCTCTCTTCTAGCTATTTGAAAATACACAACAAGTTATTTTGAATTATAGTCACCCTACAGAGCTACAGAACACTGGAACTTATTCCTCTGTAACTTTGTATTTATTAAACAACCTCTCCCTATCTGCTTCTCCCCTAACCCTTACCAGTCTCTAGTAACTCTAATTCTACTCTACTAATATGAGGTCAATTTCTTAGTCCCGACATGTGAGTGACAACTAGCAGTATTGCAGTATTGATATTTTTGTACCTGATTTATTGCACTTAATAGAATGTCCTACATGCACACACTGCCACAAATGGCAAGTTTTTTTTTTTTTTTTTGAGATGGAGTTTCACTCGTGTTGCCCAGGCTGGAGTGCAATGGTGCAGTCTCGGCTCACTGCAACTTCCGCCTCCCAGGTTCAAGCGATTCTTCTGCCTCAGCCTCCCAAGTAGCTGAGATTACAGGCACATGGCACCACGACCAGCTAATTTTTGTATTTTTAGTAGAGACAGGGTTTCGCCATGTTGGCCAGGCTGGTCTTGAAATCCTGACCTCAGGTGATCCACCTGCCTTGGCCTCCCAAAGTGCTGAGATTACAGGTTTCTTTAATCTACTTATTTTTTTTCTTGAGACACCCCCAGGGTCTCATTCTGTGGCCCAGGTTGGAGTGCAGTGGCATGATCTTGGCTCACTGCAACCTCTGCCTCCTGGACTCAAGTAATCCCCCTACCTCAGCCTCCCTTGTAGCTGGGACCACAGGTGCATGCCACCACACCCAGATAATTTGTTTTTTTTTTTTTTTTTTTTTGTAGAGATGGGGTTTCACCATGTTGCCCAGGCTGGTCTCAAACTCCAGGACTCAAGCAATCCACCAGTCTTGGCCTCCCAAAGTGCTGGGATTACAGGTGTTAGTCACCATGCCCAGCCTATTTCACTCTTTTTTATGGCTTAATAGTATTCCATTGTGTATATATATTACATTTCCTTTATATAGTTATCTATTCATGAACACTTAGGTTGATTCCATGTCTTGTCTATTGTGAATAGTGCTGCAGTGAACATAGGGGTGCAGATATCTCTTCAATTCACTGATTTCCCTTCCTTTGGATAAATACCCAGTAGTGGGATTGCTGGATCATATGGTCGTTCTATGTTTATTTTTTTTTGAGGAAACCCCATACTGTTTTCCATAATGGCTGTACTAATTTACATTCCCACCAACAGTGTGTAAGTTTTACCATTTCTCTGCATTCTCACCAGCATTTGTTACTGTTTGTCTTTTAGATAAAAGCCCTTCAAACTTGGGTGAGATGATATCTTATTGTGGTTTCAATATGCATTTCTCTGGTAATTACTGATGTTGAGCTTTTTTCCATATATTTTGGTTCTTTATATGTTTTCTATTGATAAATGCCTATTCAGAAACTTTCACCCATTTTTTTATCGACTTAATTTTTTTTTTTTTTTTTTTTTTGCTATTCAATTGTTTGAATTCCTTATATATTCTGATTATTCACTCCTGGTCAGATGGATAATTTGTGAATATTTTCTCCCATTCTGTTGGTTGTTACCTTGTCATTTGTTTCCTGTGCTGTGCAGAGCAATTTTAGATTGATATATGCCCATTTGTCCATTTTTGCTTTCATTACCAGTGCTTCTGAAGTTTTGTTCATAAAATCTTTGCCCAAACCAATGTCCTGACTCATTTCCCCTATATTTTCTTCTGGTAGTATTATAGTTTGGATCTTACATTTAAGTCTTTAATCCATTTTGAGTTGATTTTTATATGGTGAAAGATAGAGGCCTAGTTTTATTTTCTGCATATGAATATCCAGTTTTCCCAGCACCATTTATTGAAGAGGGTGTACTTTCCCCAAGTGTGTTCTTGGCACTTTTGTCAAAAGTCAGTTAGGGCTAATGTGGATTTGTTTATGGGTTCTGCATTTTGTTCAACTGCCCTGTGTGTCTGTTTTCATACCAGTACCATGCTGTTTTGGTTACTATAGCTTTGTAGTATGTTTTGAACCCAGGTAGTGTGATTCCTCCAACTTTGCTCTTTTTGGTCAGGATTGCTTTAGCTATTCAGAGTCTTTGTGGTTTCATAGGAATTTTAGGAATCTTTTTTCTATTTCAGTGAAGAATGTAATTTATATTTTGATAGGAATTGCATTGAATCTACAGATTGTGTGGATAATATGGTTATTTGGACAATATTAATTCTTCCAATTCATGAACATAGGATGTCTTTTCTTTCTTTTGTGTCATGTTCAATTTCTTACATCAGTGTTTTGTAGTTTTCATTGTAGAGATCCTTTACCTCCTTGGTTAAATTTATTCCTGGGGGTGGAGGTTTGTAGCTATTGTGAATGGGAATGCTTTCTTAATTTCTTTTTTAGGTAGTTTGTTATTGTTGCATAGAAATGCTATGGATTTGTGTTTGTTGATTTTGTATTCTGCAACTTTACTGAATATATTTATCAGTACTAAAAGTTTTGGGTGGAGTCTTAAGGTTTTTCTATATATAAAATTATGTCATCTGGAAACAGGGACAACTCGACTTCCTCATTTCCAATTTGGATGGCTTTTATTTCTTTTGTCTAACTGTTCTGGCTAGAACCTTCAGTACTATGTTGAATAAGAGTGTTAAAAGTAGACATCCTTGTCTTGTTCCAGTTCTTAAAGAAAAAGCTTTCTACTTTTCCCCCAATCAGTATGATTTTGGCTGTGGGTTTGTCATATATGGCCTTTTTTTTGTATTGAGGTACATTCCTTATATACCTAATTTGTTAAGAATTTTTATCATGAAGGGATGTTGATTTGATTAAATGCTTTTTCTGCATCTCCTAAGATGATCATATGGTTTTTGTCCATTCTGCTGTTGTGATGTACCACATTTATTGATTTTCATGTATTGAACCATCCTTGCATTCCTGAAATAAATCCCACTTGATCATGGTGTATAATCTTTTTGATATGCTGTTGGATTTGGTTTGTTAGTATTTTGTTGAGAATTTTTACATCTATTTTCACCAGGGATATTGGCCTATAGTTTTCTCTTTTAGTTGTGTCCTTGTCTGGTTTTGGTGTCAGGGTAATTCTGGCCTCATAGAATGAGTTTGGACAAATTCCACTCCCACACCCCCCGCCTTCAAGTTTCTGGAATAGTTTGAGAAGAGTTAGTATTTTTTCTTTTTAAAGATTGGTAGAATTCAGCTGTGAAGCCATGCAGTCCTGGTCTTTTCTTTGTTGGGGGACTTTTTATTACTCATTCAATCTCGTTACTCATTAATGGTCCGTTCATGTTTTGTATTTCTTCTTGGTTCAGTCTTGGTAAGTTATATGTGTCCAGGAGTTTGTATAGTTTCCAAAGTTATTCTTGGTATTAATTTCTAGTTTCACTGTGGTCTGAGAAGATACTTGATATGATTTTTATTTTGTTGTCATTTTGTATATCCTTTTTTCCTTTCTTCCTCTCTTAGTGTCTATCTTTGCAGTTTGGTGGTTTTTGTAATGATAAGATTTTATTTCTTTCTCGTTCTCATCTGATTTCCTAGTGATTTTTATTCTTTTGTAAGTTTTTATCATGGTGGTTAACATCCTATCACTTCTAGATGTAGGACTCCCTTAAGCATTTCTTGTAGGGCTGATCTAGTGATGATTAATTCCCTCAATGTTTGCCTGTCTTGAATCCAGACACAGGACCCACAGAATCAGCAATGCGTGCAAAGCACATCACTGACGCCAAAGCTGGTTTTCTCCAGGCCTGCAAAGTTGCATTTAGGAAAAAAGCTAACACTAGAAAATCAATCACTGTAATTTGCCACACTGAAAGGCTAAGGGAGAACAATCATATTGTCATTTTCAAAGATGTAAAATTTTTAATATAGAATTCAGTATCCATTTCTGATAATAAAGTGTTTGCAAACTAGAACTAGAAGGGAACTTCCTTAATCTGAAAACAAGAACATACAAACGCAGCTCACAGAAGCGTCCCCGTTCCTGCTCTCACCACCTGCAGCCCACTTTGCCCTGGCGGCCAAACCCAGTGCAGAAAGATAAAAAAGAAAAGGCACGATGCTTGGAGAATGACAGTCAAGACCAGCGTGACTCACAGACACGCTGCTGGGAATGCCGAGACCCACAGGAACCACGGATCAGTTAGCGACATGGGAACGTTTAGTGAGTTTACTGAACATAGACAAAAGTCACTTGTTTTTCTACATATAAGCAATGAACAGAAAATGACTTTTTAAAAATACCTACCACTTACAAAGGCAACAAAAATACCAACTTTCTAGGAATTAATCTGGTGAAAGACGTGGAAGACGTTAATGCAGAAAGTTGAGAGGCGTTGAAGGAAGATCTGAGTAAATGCGGAAACGCACCACGTTTCTGGGTTGGAAGCTTTCCTGTTGCAAAGATGTGAAATTTCCCCCAAAGTAAACTCTAGGAGGGAGACGGGACTTGAGAACTGACTTAAGATTCACATGGAAATCCAGCCCACAGCGGAGGGCGGAGAAGGCTGTGGGGTTTCACAACCAGGCGGCCGCGGGTTCTCCCTGGGCGGTGCTGAGGAGTGGGGGCGTCCGGGGGCCGTGTTGGGAGTGGGTTCCTCCCTGCCAGCCCGGCGTGGGGGGAGGGGACCCTCGTGGATGGGACCCCAAACGCGCACACACACAGCCAGGAGGCTGCCCGGGGCCCCCGGGCCCAGGACGTATGGCTGCGGGCGCTGTGCGGGGCGGGGTCCCCGGGGCGGGTCGCTGAGGGGTGGCGGCCCCGGTCTTGGGCTCTCAGTGAGGCGGACCCGGGGCCGTGGGAGAGACCGTGAGAAACGGGCAGGACCTGGAGTCTGCACCTGCCCGAGGCGGGGGGCGCGGTGGGGCGTGGGGCTGGGTGGGCGGCGCCGCCACGGTGCGCGCCGGGTCCAGGAAGAGCCTCCCGCGCGTGCAGAGGCCTCAGCCCGGGGACTCCAGGTGGGGGCTCTGCCTGTGGGTGGGTGGTCGCGCCCGGAAGCTGCCCCGGGAGAGGGGGCTCCGCCAGGGCAGGGCTGGCCCGGACGGGGCAGGGCAGAGCCGCGAGTCCGCGGTGCTCGTGCCCTCGGGGGTCCTGGCCGCCCCGGCAAAGCCTCCTGGTGGGCACCGCAGGGCGGAGCTGGGCTGCGGCCACCGACGCAGGCCCAGAAAAGCTCCCGGGCTGCCCCAGGCACAAAACTGGAGGAGATGAGAATGGCGCCTTCGCCGACGGACACCCAGCCTCTGCTCTCCCCCCACCCACAGCCCCGGCCTTTGGAGCCCCGGGGTCGGTCCCGACGCACCCCAATGCCCACCTCCAGCCCAGGCCCCTGCTCCACACGCCTGTGTCCATGCCTTTGCCCAGCCGCTCCTCCATCTCTGCACTTGCACCCCAAAACCTTACTTCCGACTTCCCCCAGCCCCCAAAACCACGCTGACCTCACAGCCTTCGGCTTATCTCTGTTCTACACCCACATCCAATCCATCAGCGAATCCATCGGGCTGCACCCCGGCAGGGTCTGCCCGATTTCAGCTACGAGGGCCGCCCCCAACTGGGCCCTGCCCCGCCCATGCTCCACCAGCGTCCAGAGGTCGAGGGGGCTCCTTGAAAGCAAAGTCACATCAGTCCCCTCTCTGCTCGCCACCCCGCAGCCACTCAGTCGGTGACAGCCGAGGACACACCACAGGCCTGTGTGCCGACACCCACCGCTGAGCTCAGCCCTCCCTGCCCACTGCTCGTCCCCCACCACGCAGGGCCCAGGCCCACCTTCACCTGCGCAGCCGCTGTCCCCTTCCCTGGCACTCTCTTCCCTGACACCTCCAGGGTGGACCCTGGCCTTGGGTGTTCTGTCCAAGCAGTGGCCCTGATCCCACTCCTTTGTGTGCCTGCCTCTCCATGCCACGCTCCACCCCCGCGTGCTGCAGAGTTACCCACCATTAGCTGTTGTCTGTCTCCCTCCAACACCTGATCCCCCAGGCAAAAATTCATGCGTCCACTGCTGGGTCGGAAGCCAGTGCTGAGGCCCAGTAAGGACCCTCAGACATGGCTGAATGTGAATAAATGTGACATTTATGAATGTGGTTTTGGGACGTGGGAACACAGAGCCATACACCTGCCCCCGGCAGCCTTGGAGGTCTGTACCCCGTGTGGACCAGGACACCAGGCCAGGCTGGATGGACTGATCAGCTGTCTCTGGGACCAGTGAAGTCCCTTCTCCAAGCACACACAGAAGGCAGGGGCCAAAGACCCCTTGGTGGGTCCTGAGCACCTTCTCCTGACCTCCCACTGCCCTCTGCCACCTTGAGCTGTCCAGCCTGGACCACCCCTCTGTGGAGCATCAGCCAGGCTCAGCCAACCAGGTGGGGAGCAGTCAGAGGACCTTGGTGTCCAGGGAGAGGGCTCTGCCCCAGGGCCGTGGTCCTCACGGGTCTAGGTGAGGAGGGCAGAGGGTTCAGGTGCCTTTGCCCCTTTCACAGCCCATGAAAAGGTTTCCTCAATCAACCCTGTGACCCTCACAGTGGCCTGGCCAGAGATCAGGAGGTAGGGGACAATGAGTCAAACTCCAGTCTCAGACCCGACTGCTCTGAGCAGGCAGGCGGAGCCCACCTGTGGGAGACCCTGGGGGACCGGCACCCTCTGCTCTGGGATGTAGGGGCTGGGGGGCATACAGGGATCCCCAGGGGGGCTCATCTTTGCAGCCAGGCTTCTCTGGTTTTGCCTCTTCCAAGCCCTGATCTTGTTGGCCTGAGTGGTCACAGGAGCCCCTGCTTCGTCCAAGAGCAAACTCCAAACTCCCCACCTCAGCACCTCACAGGTGAGGAGATGGGCCGCCAGGTCAGAGCAGAGTGTGTGGGGCAGGGCTGGGACTCAGACCCAGATCCACCACCTAGAAACCACGTCATCCTCTGCACAGGTGACATGCTGGGACTCAAATCCAGATCCACCACCTAGAAACCACGTCATCCTCTGCACAGGTGACATGCTGGGACTCAGACCCAGATCCACCACCTAAAAACCACGTCATCCTCTGCACAGGTGACATGCTGGGACTCAGACCCAGACCCACCACCTAGAAACCACGTCATCCTCTGCACAGGTGACATGCTGGGACTCAGACCCAGACCCACCACCTAGAAACCATGTCATCCTCTGCACAGGTGACATGCTGGGACTCAAACCGAGATCCACCACCTAAAAACCACGTCATCTTCTGCACAGGTGACACGTGAGTGCTTGTGTTCATGAGTGTGCCTGGGTGCACCTGTGTATATCTGTGCACCCACCTGTGTATGTGCCTGTGTATGCCTGTGTCTCGGTGCACCTGTGTATATCTGTGCACCCACCTGTGTATGCACCTGTGTATACCTGTGTCTCGGTGCACCTGTGTATATCTGTGCACCCACCTGTGTATGCACCTGTGTATACCTGTGTGTCTCGATGCACCTGTGTATATCTGTGCACCCACCTGTGTATGTGCCTTTGTGTACCTGTGTCTCAGTGCACCTGTGTATATCTGTGCACCCACCTGTGTATGCACCTGTGTATACCTGTGTCTCGGTGCACCTGTGTATATCTGTGCACCCACCTGTGTATGTGCCTGTGCATGCCTGTGTGTGCCTGTGTGCACCTGTGTCTGTGCTCACCTGCATGTGCACCTGGGCATATCTGAGTGTCTGTGCAGCTGCATGTGTACCTCTGTGTGTCTGTGTATACCTGTGGATACCTGTGTGCACCTGTGGATACCTGTGTGTGCCTGTGTGCTGCCGTGTGTCTGCATGCGCACCTATGTGTGCTTGTGTGTCCCTGTCTGAATGAGCACCTATGTGTGTCTGGGAGTGCCTGTGTGAGCACCTGTGTGTAACTGTGTATGCCACGGCACATCTGCACATGCCTGTGCCTATAACTACATTGGGCAGCGAGCTGTCTGGGGTGTGCTGGTCAACAAGCTTCCCTGAAGCAGGCGGCCATGTGGAGGGACAGCATGTCTGTGGTTTCACATTTGTCCCCGTCATGGCCTTGTCTGTCCACTTGTTTCTGTGGGAAGCACCGGGCCCCAGAGGCCGGGGTGAGTGGTGCCTGCCTGTCTCCTGGGCAGGGGCAGCATGTCTGCATGGATGACTGTGTGCCGGGTCTGGATCTGCTGTGTGCGTGTTTTTGTCTGTCTGCTGGGAGCCTGCTGTCTGCGTGGGGGCCTGTGCTGGCGGCACATGTGTCTGGGTGTGGATGGGTGTAGTTCTGATGCAGGTACCTGGGTGCCCTGTGAGTGAAGCCAAGTGTGGGGTCGGGGCATGTGATTCTGCACTTACGGTAGGTGTGGGGGAGCACATGGGCTGTGTGAGAGCATCTCTGTAGGGCCTGCATGCCAGGCTGTCCGTGGGCACCTCTGTGTAAAGGGCGTGAAGCTCTCCTGCTCCATACTTGGCAGCAGCTGGGGTCCCCCACACCCCACAGCCCCACGGCAGCAGAGCACAGGGTGCTCCACATACCTATGTGACAAGGACTCGAGGACTCCGCTGCAGATCCTGCCTCAAATTCTATCAGATAAGGCAACGCTGGCTGCATCTTCCAGAGAGGGAACCTGGGACCGGAAGAGGCAGAGGGGCACCTCAAGCCCCACAGCTGCTGAGTGGCAGCTCTGAGAGGAAGTCAGTGGTCATGAGTCACAGGAGCCATGGGCAGTGAGGGGCCCAGCTCACCGGGGAGATGGCAGCATCAGAGACGGGGGATGTGCAAAGGTGAGGGCTTCGGCCACACTGGGTCTGACTTCACTAAGATCTGGCCCGAAACCTCCTGGTGCACAGCTTCACGCCACCCCCGACGGACGCCCAAAGCCCCAGAGCGAGCTCATCCATGGGGGACCAGCACAGCGGCCGGCACCGCAGAGACTCCTGACCCCTCCCAATCCACAGGTCCGAGGTCACAAACCAAGGGTGGGTCCGGGATTTGACTTCCAGCCCCTGTCCCAGAGCCCACACTCTGAGGAGCTCTGCTGCCCCCATAGTCTTTTCAGAACAAAACTGCACATTTCTGCTGGCCTCACATAGGCACTGAGCCGGCTGGGGAGGGAAAGGCACAGAGGGTCTGGGCAGCCCAGGCACAGAGGCAGGGGAGGCGGTGGACGAGCAGTGCAGGCTGAGGGTGGGGGCTGCCCTCCCAAGTCCATCCTGCAGGGTTCTTGGTCCAGGGACGTCCTTGGGGAGTGGCAGGGTGGGCAGAGCAGCCGCCCCTCATAGCATCTACTAGCTGGCCAGCCTCCAAGGCCCCCATGGCCCAGGGCTGGAGGGACCCCCCAACACACCGCCTGCCACGCCCCAAGCTCAGCTCTGCGGTGGTTCGTTGTCAGCCGTCCCCGGCCCAAATGCGTTCACAAAATTACCCAGCTTGTTTACCAAACTGGCTGAGCTTCACCTTGAGGTTAAGTGGAGGATGCATGGAGGGCTCACCTGAGGCACTTAGGGTGCAGATAAGCAGGAAAAGCCCAACCACAGTGCACACGAGTAGATTTACTTTAAAACAGGGCGAGGAGGAGGAGAAATAGGAAAATAGGACAAAGGACTCAGGTGGCCAAGAATGTTACCAAACAAAAACCAAGCTGCTGGGTCACCCACTGCCCACCATGACCCAGTCTCCATGGACGGCTGGCCCCCGGCTCTGTTGGGAACCAGTGGGTAAGGGCGGCTGGAACCTGAGCTCACAGCCCCGTCGGACCCTGACCCAGACCCCGACAGACGCTGACCCAGACACCGATGGACCCCGACCCAGACCCCGACAGACGCTGACCCAGACACCGATGGACCCCGACCCAGACCCCGACAGACGCTGACCCAGACACCGATGGACCCCGACCCAGACCCCGACAGACGCTGACCCAGACACCGATGGACCCCGACCCAGACCCCGACAGACGCTGACCCAGACACCGATGGACCCCGACCCAGACCTCCATGGACGCTGACCCAGACACCGATGGACCCCGACCTAGACCCCAATGGACCCCAACCTAGACCCCGATGGACCCAGACCTAGACCCCAATGGACCCCAACCTAGACCCTGATGTACCCTGACCTGGACCCTGATGGACGCTGACCCAGACACTGATGGACCCCAACCCAGACCTCAATGGACGCTGACCCAGACCACAACAGACACTGACCCAGGCACTCATGGACCCTGTCCCAGGCACTGGGGTTCCCCACAGGGATTCACACCCGGTGCCCCATCCTTAGGTCCCTCCCTGCATCCCTCCCTAACCTTCCCCCAGACCATAACATAAGGAGACCCTGGAGAGGCTGAGCCACTCTTCCAGGCAAATATCCTTCAATCCCACTGCAGGGCGGGCATCTGCAGAAGGCCAGGTTCGGAGACCGGACGAGGCTGCCCATGCTGAATACAGCCCAGCATGCAGGGCCGACGGGGGCTACAGCCTTGGCCTCCCGGAGGAATCTGTCCCCTGCTCCTCCTAAGAGGCTGTGAGGAGAGGGAGGGCAGTAGACCAGGTGCAGGAGCCTCCGGTTCCCCTTCGAACGCAGTGGCTCCAGGCTG
Source organism: Homo sapiens (assembly GCF_000001405.40). Classification (NCBI taxonomy): domain Eukaryota; kingdom Metazoa; phylum Chordata; class Mammalia; order Primates; family Hominidae; genus Homo; species Homo sapiens. The sequence continues at coordinate 133,440,676 of NC_000010.11, read as the reverse complement.
GCGGAGCTGTGTGGCTCCATGTGTCTTCTATGGTGACCTTCAGGTGTCATGGGGACCCACAGCTGGGAGCTGCTGACACAGCCTGCGTGTAGGTCAGAATCACATGTATCTGCAACAACTGTTTCAGTAATGACTGTCAGTCCTGCTGGCAAGGTTGTAAAAATCTGGGATGTTCACCCTGTGCAGTGGACACTTGCGAGTCCTGAGCTTCACTCTCGGGACCAAAGTAGAAACACACAGAGGCTGAGGCATGAGGCCTCTTTCCACACTCAGGTATTGGCCCGGCCATGTGGCGTGGGCCTCGTGCTGACCGAAAGCCTGCAGGCCGTGGGGCCCCTGCATGCAGAGCTCATAGGCACAGACACACAGTCACAAGGACAGATGCCAGGGCCGTCCAAGCCCAGGGTGACCCGGCTGCCCCGGGGTGGTGCATGGCCTGGGGGTCTCTCTGGGATGCCTTTGTCTGCAGTGGAGACAGGGCAGGAACAGAGGGAGGAAACAGCCAGGTGCTCTGAAAGCAACATGCCGGTGGGGCTGAAGGTAGGGATTTTCAGAAGGTGGCAAAGCCAGCCCTGACCCCAGTAGAACTCTGAAGACAGTGAGCCAGGGAAAGCCAGGGGGGCCAGACTTGGACACACCCAGACCTCCTCTGTGAGCCAGGGAAAGGCAGGGGGCCCGGACTTGGACACACCCAGACCTCTGAGAGCAGAGGGACAGACATCAGGGAATTGCCCGAAGGCCCCCGTACTAAACAGAGAGACCCCAGCCCCACCAGATCCCTAGACGGTAGATGGCAGCCACTGACACCTCCAGGCAGGACCCCGGAAGATGTTCCTCTCAGGAATCTGCGTGATGCTGGCAGGCGAGGCAGGGCCTCCGCCAGCCAGATGACTCTGCCACGGCCTGGTCAGCATTTTGGATCTCTCCAGTGTGGGCTGACAGCCAACAGTCACCAGACATCAGACGAGAGCCCCTAACAGGGGAGATAGACAGAGGCTGAGAGAATGAGAAGAGGCTGGAAGACACGGAGACAGAGGGCGGTGAAATCCGTGAATATCCTCACGGACATCAGAACATGCAGTTTGCACCCTTGAAACAATAGAACACTACGAGAAAAGAAAGGAAAGACAGAGTCAGAGAAAGAAAGACAGATAACCCACAAATTGGAAATAGGATGCCAGAAATAAACTCAAGAAGGACTGGAAGAAATCACTCAGAAAGTTAAACCAAAATGTGATATGGAAAATGGAGATTAAGTATGTTTTACAATTAGCCCAGTAGATCCAATATCTAAGCAGGAGAGAGTTCCACATGTCCAGAGAAAACAACTTACTAATTCAGAGCCTCCCTTTCCTGGAGGACAACAGGATGCGTCTGATCTTCTTAAAAGCAGCCGGGGGTAGATGTGAGTGAGGAGCTGCTGGGCTGGGGGCAGGAGCCAATGGGCACCAGGGAGGCAAGCCCAGCACTCGGGCCCCATGCCAGTTCCTCCAAGTCCTCCCAACACAGTGGCCCTGGAAACCCACATCTATGCCCCCGAGGAATGAGGATAAACCCGACAAGCCCCAGCCCCTGGGTCCAGGACAACCCTGAAGCTTCAGTTGGAACATCAAGTGTAGACTGAATTGAGTCACGTGGTTCTAGACAACTACCGCCACCATGTGTCCAGAAAAAGTAAAAACAAGCAAAAATACTCAAGGTTGCATCAAAGCAAGCTCTCATCAGTCCCTCAAGTAAGTCTCTAAGCACAGTGCTCAGCACACAGCGGAAGATAACCAGGCCTAGAGACGGTGGGAAGAGCAGGCATCAGACACCAACAGACAGACTCGAAACTGCTGCACTTACAAGATCCAAGGAGGCAGAACAAGCAACAAGTCAGAAGGGTATGGAAGGCAGGAACGGCACCGCCACCTTGGCCTAACTGATGTTTACAGAACACTCCATCCAAAAACAGCAGGGTACGCATTCTTTTCAAGTGCACATGCAACATTTACCCCGACAGACCCATATTCTAGGCCGAGAAATGTGTCTCAAACTTAAAAGAATTGAAAGTAATACACAGTAATTTGCAGGGACCAGTCCTACAGGGTCTGTGGGTTTTTCTCCTCATGTGCAGAGACGAGAGATCTTAGAGATAAAGACACAAGACAAAGAGATAGACGAAAAAATAGCTGGGCCCGGGGAACCACTACCACCAAGACATGGAGACCGGTAGTGGCCCCGAATGCCTGGCTGTGCTGTTATTTATTGGATACAAGACAAAGGGGCAGGGTAAGGAGTGTGAGTCACCTCCAATGATTGATAAGGTCACATGAGTCACATGTCCACTGGACAGGTGGCTGAGGCGGAGAGAGAGAGAGGGCAGCTTATGCCATTCTTTCTTCTATGCATTTCAAAGACTTTTAGTATTTTCACTAATTCTGCTACTGCTATCTAGAAGGCAGAGCCAGGTGTACAGGGTGGAACATGAAAGCAGACCAGGAGCGTGACCGCTGAAGCACAGCATCACAGGGAGACGGTCAGGCCTCCGGATGGCTGCAGGTGGGTTTGACTGATGTCAGGCCCTCCACAAGAGGTGGTGGAGTAGAGTCTTCTCCAACTCCTCTGTGGAAAAGGAGACTCCCTTTCCCGGTCTGCTAAGTAACGGGTGCCTTCCCTAGGCACTGACGCTACCACTAGACCAAGGTCAGCCAAGTAACAGTTGTCTTCCCAGACGCTGGTGTTACTGCTAGACCAAGGAGCCCTCTAGTGGCCCTGTCCGGGCGTGACAGAGGCTCACACTCTTGTCTTCTGGTCGCTTCTCACCGTGTCCCCTCAGCTCCTATCTCTGTATGGCCTGGTTTTTCCTAGGTTATAATAGTAGAGCGAGGATTATTATAATATTGGAATAAAGAGTAATTGCTACAAACTAATGATTAATAATATTCATATATCATCATATCTATAATCTATTTCTAGTATAACTATTCTTATTCTATATATTTTCTTCATTACACTGGAATAGCTCGTGCCCTTAGTCTCTTGCCTCAGCACCTGGATGGCTTCTCGCCCACAGTAATTAAAAAGAGAAATCAACAGAAGAAAATGATTTATGGGAAATATTTTGATATTTGGGAAAAATACAGTTCTAAATAACCCATCGTCAAAGAAGAAATCAAAACAGAAGTTAGTAAATGTTTTGAAATGAAAATAAACACAACATATCAAAAAATTACTGGATTTTACTAATGCAGTACTTAGAGGAAAATGTATAGCACCAAACACCTATAAGAAAAGAAAGGTCTTAAATCAGTTACCTCAGTTTCCACCCTAAGAAACTAGAAATGTAATAACAAATTAAGCAGAAAGTGATCAAAATAAATAATAAAGATCAGAGCAGAAATCAATAAAATAGAAAACAAAAATGGCAATAGAGAAAATCAACAAAACCAAAAGCTAGTTCTTTGAAAATATCAATGAAATTGGGGCCAGGTGTGGTGGCTCACACCTGTAATCCCAGCACATTGGGAGGCCAAGGTGGGCAGATCACCTAAGATTAGGAGTTCGAGACCAGCCTGGCCAACACGGTGAAACCCTGTGTCTACTAAAATTACAAAAATGAGCTGGGTGTGGTGGCAGGCACCTGTAATCCCAGCTACTTGGGAGGCTGAGCCAGGAGAATTGCTTGAACCCGGGAGGTTAGCTGTCACTGAGCCGAGATTGCACCACTGCACTCCAGCCTGGAATACAGGGCAAGACTCCATCACAAAACAACAACAACAACAACAACAAACCATCTGATTAGAAATTGCAGAAGCAAAGATAAATTCAAGGCACAGCAGCAGAAACTACCAAAAAATGAAAAAGAGAGAAGAGAATAATGTTTTAAGTGAAACAGAGTATCAGTGACAACTGTTGGATGACTCCAAGCAGATTAATATACATGTAACTGAATCAACAAAGAAGAAGAGAGAGCAAAGATATTTGAAAAACTAATGGCCAAAATTTTTCTAACTTTGAAGGAAACTACAAACTCCTAAGTCCAAGTTGCTCATTGAATCTCAAGATAAGAAACATAAAGAAAACTACACGGAGGCACATCATAATTAAATTGCTCAGTACCAGTGATCAAGGGAAAATCTTAAAAGCAGCCATTGTCTCAAGAGAAGTAATGCAAGCAAGAGAACAGTGGAACCAAAAGTTTTAAAGACTGTAAGAAAAAAAAACTGTCAATCTAGAATTCTGTACACAGGAAAAATATCTTTTTTTTTTTTTTTTTTTTTTTGAGATGGAGACTCGCCCTGTCACCAACGCTGGAGTGCAGTGGCGAGATCTCGGCTCACTGCAACCTCTGCTTCCCGGGTTCAAGATATTCTCCTGCCTCAGCCTCCCGAGTAGCTGGGATTACAGGCGCACACCACCATGCCTGGCTAATTTTTTGTATTTTTAGTAGAGACGGGGTTTCCCCATGTTGGCCAGGCTGGTCTAGAATTCCTGACCTCAGATGATCCACCCACGTCATCCTCCCAAAGTGCTGGGATTACTGGCATGAGCTACCACACCAGGCCAAAAATATCTTTCAAAAACAAAAGTTAAATGAAGAATTGTTCATACATACAAAAGATGAAGGAATATATCATGAGCAGACCAAAAGATGAAGGAATATATCATGAGCATTACAAAAAATATTTAGAGAAACCCTCCAGGTAAAAGGCAAATGATGCCAAGTGGAAATAAGGATCTATAAAAAGAAATAAAGAGCACAATGAATGCCAATAGGAATAAATGCACATCACTTTTCCTTATTATTTAAAAGATAAGTATCTGTATAAACAAAAATAATAACAATTTATCGTGGAATTTATAACACATGAACATAAAATGCATGACCACAGTAGCACAAAGGCCAGTAGGAGAGAAACGGAAGTACACTATTGTACAGCTTGTAAAATATACGTGAAGAAATAACATATCACTTGAAGGTAGAGGATGACAAGTTAAAGGAATACACTAACCCTAAAACAACCACTAAAGTAACAAAAGAAGGAGTTACAGGTCATAGTCAGCAAAGGAGATAAAATGTAATCAGAAAAAGGGAAGTAAAAGATGACAACGGGAACAAAAATCAGACAGGATAAATAGTAAACAAATAGTAATGTGGTAGATAATAAGTGTAATCATATTAGTAATCACATTAAATGTAAATGGTTAAATACCACAAATAAAAGACAGAGATTATCAGACTGAATAAAAATGCAAGACCCAACTATAGGCTGCCTACAAGAAGCACAATTTAAAAAGAAAGACAGAAGTAGGTTTAAAGTAAAATAATGGTAAAAGGTATATCATGCACTATTTAAAGAAAGCTGCAGTTAATATCAGACAAAGTAGATTTTAAAACAACAAATATTACCAGGCATAAAGCAAATCATTGCATAACTATTAAGGGGTTAATTCTTTAGAGGGACAAAATCATCCTAAGTAGGTATGCACCTAATAACCACCTAAAAATACATGAAGCAAAAACAATATAACATCAAGGAGAAAGAGACAAATCCACAATTAGAACCACAGATTTCAATAAAGATTGAACATCACTATTAACCAGCTTACCTGATTGACATCTACAAGATGTGCCACCCAATAACACAAAATGCACATTCTTTTGGGAGAACACAGATCAATTACCAAGATAGACCCATATTCTAGGCCATAAAATAAATCTCAAATTTAAAACAAAGTATGTTCTCTAATCTCAAGGGAATTAAAATAGAAGTGAACAACAGTGAAATGTCTCCAGAAAATCTCTGAACATTTGGAAACTAAATAACACATTTCCAGATCATCTGGAAACTATCTAATAATGGAACAAACAAACCCTGGATATGCCTCAAAAACACTGTGCTGAGCAGAAACTGGAGACGAAAGAGAGGACGTTGTGTGTTCCACTTATATTACATTCTAGAATGAACAAAACCTATGAAGGAAAGAATCTCAGCAGTGGTTGCCTCAAGGTTGAGAGTCAGGGATAAAGTGGGAAAGGGTATGCAGGATGTCTGTGGGGTGACGGAAGTTGGCATCCTGATGCGTCTGGGTTCCAGGCACACACACACATTTATCAAAACCCATCACCTCAACACTAAGCGCATTACTGTGTAAACTGTGCCTCCACAGAGAAATTTAGAAAGGGCTAAAGAATTCCTACAAATCAATAACTAAAAGATGACCCCGTTGGGAGAAATGTACAAAAGACACACAGAAGCAGAAACACACATTGATACCAAATCTGTGGGACAAGCAGGAAAATACGAGTCACCAACACAATGAGACGCTGCTTCTCACCCATTAAAGTGGCCAAGACTGAGAATTCCACGAGACCACCTGCTGGAGAGGGTGGGAGAGCCATAGTAGCTGTGGAGCAGTACAGCCACACTGGGAAAAGAATCTGGTATTTTCTTAGGAGGTTTTGAGTAAAGTTTGACCTCAGCATTCCCATTCTTACGGGTGGATTACAAGAGAAATATTCACACATGACAACCAGGAACCAGGCACAGGAATGTCATCCAGTGCCATTCGCAAGAACAGAGGACTGGGGATCGTTCCAAGTGTCCGTGAACAAAGAATGTGTTATGACTTGCGGTGTAGTCACACCATGGAATATTACACAGGTGTCCGACTGAGTGGAGTGCAGCTGCTGAGAAGAGGGAGAGTCTTGACATGAAAGAGCAAGACCTAGAGGACAGCGCACAGCCCGGGGCTCTGGGTTATGAAGCTTGAATCCAACAAAGCCCCGTGTTTCGGGTCATCAACGTGCTTTCAAGAAAGCAGCCAGAGAATCCCAACGAATGGTCTCTGAGGGTGGGAGAGGGGAGGAGATACGCTCAGGGGTTAGTAATTGTCTATGTCCTGTGCTGAGGGGAGGTTCATGTGCTCTTTGTATTATTTTATAAATAGATGAATAAATGCCATGCATCGAAAAATAAATGAAATGGGTGTTCCAAAGGCAGCCTACTGGGTAGCATTCAGCAGCCCCCACCCTCAAGGGAAGGGCCTCGAGTCTGCGACCTGTCCCAGGTTGGTGTCCCCGGGGTGAGGGCACCGGGAGGGAAGTTTGCATGGAAAGCTCTATTTGCGGCTGAGCAGAGCGTGGGGAGGCCTCCCAGCTCAGCGGGTCCCTCCATGGGCCTGCAGAGCACTTTACAAATCGCTCTGGCAGTCCCATCGGAGTGAAAATTTGCAATGAGAGACTTCCAGGATGGGGAGCAGATAGGGGGTGGGGAGGGCAAGGTCACAAAGGAACCGAATAAGAAACACCAGCGGAGGCAGGTAGAGGCGGGGCCGGGGGAGACGCACCTGCGAGGGAGGCGGGGCCCGCCGTGACCTTGGTCTCCACGCGAAGACCTGGGGGAGGCTGCGCGGATGCACCCAGGGCCCCAGCCCTGAGCCCCAAGGTGCCTCGCTGGCTGGTCCACGTCGCCCGGGGTGCTGTGGGACTGGGGCGGGGTGGACGGGGGCGCTGCAGAGGGTCCTCAGCGCTGAGCCTTCGTCGGCCCAGCCCCTCCCCGCAGCCGCCCACGCTGCACCCAGGGCGGGGCCCATGCATCTCCTGAGGCTGGCCAGTGGCGCCCCCCAGCACTCCGTCCTCGCCCCCGCCATGGGTAGGGGTCTCTGAAGTCGCCTCACCAGGTGGGCCTGGAGCAGCCGCCAGCTCAGACCCCCGAGCGCCGGTGAGGGAGGGGTGGTAGAAGGCTGGGTCAAGGGTCACCCAGGAATTCCACTTGTCCACGGGGACCCGGCCGCTGCCCAGGCGCAGACAGACCCAGAGGCAGAGTGCGAGGTAGGGGTCTGGGGCTTACATCCCCCGAGAGGGGCGGGGACCTCCCAGAGGAGCTGCTGCACAGGCCTGCGGAGCTCCTTCTCCCACCACTGTCCCAGCTCACCCTCCAACCCCCATCCTGCCCTCAGACACCCAACTGCAGGCAAGTCCAGGAACCAGAACCCCACGCCACACAGACCCATTGGAGGCTCTGAGTGGACAGCTCCCGCCCTTCCCTCGTCCGCCCCTTTGCTGGCTCAGAAAGTACAAGATAAAGATGTCAGGACCTAAAAGGTGGGGAGGAGCCTCCCTCCCCTCTGCAAAACCCCTGGAAGCTTTGTTCACCCGTACAGGGTGCCCCTGGCCCCTGGGGGCCAGCAGGGTTGAGGTCCAGGAAGGGCCCCAAGGCACACAGCCCCGAGAAGGCACGCCAGGCAGAATGGGTCTTCCCTTGCGCTGTGTGTACATCTGGGGGTGTGCACTTGGGTGCATGTGTGTGCACCAGGGTGTGTGTGCAGCTGGGGAGGGACGTGCACTGAGTGTATATGTGTGCACCTGGCCACGTACCTGTGTGTTGGGGCAGGGAAGATTATGCACCTCAGGGCGTATAAGTGTAAGAGGGGGTATACCTGATCATATGAGTGTGTACAGGTCCCAAGGCCCCTTGGCCAGGCGTTAGCTCTGGGTAAGTGGGCATGTTGGGCTGAGAGGTGGGGATGACAGATAAGTATTGCAGCAGGTCCCAAAGGTGCATGGTGGGACAGTCTGTGAGCCTGAGCCCCTGCCCTAAGATCCCAGGAGGGCTTACAGTGCTCTTACCTAGCTCTCACCAGTGGAGCAGGGCTGTGACCCCATCACACACCACAGCCTAGTCTCCCCACTGTTCTGGAGTGCTGAGAAGTGACTTGCCTGACCAGGAGGGCCACGTACAATTCCAGCAATACTGTGGTGACAGAGTTTGTCTTTCTGAGCTTCCCAGAGCTGCCTGACCAGGAGGGCCACGTACAATTCCAGCAATACTGTGGTGACAGAGTTTGTCTTTCTGAGCTTCCCAGAGCTGCCTGACCAGGAGGGCCACGTACAATTCCAGCAATACTGTGGTGACAGAGTTTGTCTTTCTGAGCTTCCCAGAGCTGCCTGACCAGGAGGGCCACGTACAATTCCAGCAATACTGTGGTGACAGAGTTTGTCTTTCTGAGCTTCCCAGAGCTGCCTGACCAGGAGGGCCACGTACAATTCCAGCAATACTGTGGTGACAGAGTTTGTCTTTCTGGGCTTCCCAGAGCTGCCTGACCAGGAGGGCCACGTACAATTCCAGCAATACTGTGGTGACAGAGTTTGTCTTTCTGAGCTTCCCAGAGCTGCCTGACCAGGAGGGCCACGTACAATTCCAGCAATACTGTGGTGACAGAGTTTGTCTTTCTGGGCTTCCCAGAGCTGCCTGACCAGGAGGGCCACGTACAATTCCAGCAATACTGTGGTGACAGAGTTTGTCTTTCTGGGCTTCCCAGAGCTGCCTGACCAGGAGGGCCACGTACAATTCCAGCAATACTGTGGTGACAGAGTTTGTCTTTCTGGGCTTCCCAGAGCTGCCTGACCAGGAGGGCCACATACAATTCCAGCAATACTGTGGTGACAGAGTTTGTCTTTCTGAGCTTCCCAGAGCTGCGCCATCTTCAAGGGCTGCTATTTGGTCACTCCTCATCATCTATGTGGTGACCATCCTAGAGGACCTGGCTGTCGTGGGGACCATCAGAGCCAGCCACCACCTGCACATATCCACACACCTCTTCCTGGCCAAACTCTCGGTGCTGGAGACCCTGTACACCTCGGTCACCGTCCCAAAGCTGTTGGCCGGACTCCCAGCACGAGCGACGACCATCTATCTCCTTCTCGGGGCACCTCACCTGGCTGCTCCTCTTCCTCTCACTCAGCTCCTCTGAGTGCATCCTCCCGGCCAACATGGACTGTGACTGGCACCCGGTCATCTGCCACCTGCTGCACTACCCAGCCCATCATGGACTCCATGCAGCTGGCTCTGCCTGCACCTGGCCATCAGCGCCCAGCTCAGCAGCTTCCCAGCCTCCTTTGTGTCCACGGCTCTCAACTCCAGCCTGAGGCTCCGCAGCCCCGATGTCCTCAACCACTTCTGTGATATCCCACCCCCGCTAGGGCTCTCTTGCTCCAGCACCACTACCATAGAAATGCGGACTCAGGCAGCCCAGGTGATCCTTGCGGCTTCCCTGCAGGCAACCACGGTCTCCTACACCCACATCCTGGCCAGATCGCTGAGGATTCCAGAAAGGCCCAGCAGCTAAAGGCCTTCCCCACCTATGCCTCCCACCTGGGGTGGCGGCTCCTCTAACCTCATCAAGCTGGTGTCAGGGGTCTACTTGGTTGGGATCCCTCTGCTCAAACCCATCATCTACTGCCTGGGAACTGCAACATCAGGGAGGCCCTGGCCAAACTCCTCCAGGCCCTTCCCCTTTAGAGCTGCAGGAGGGAGAGCTGCCCAATCCCTCTTCCTCCTTCTCTGTGCTCACAGACACTGGTGACCACCCAAGGCAGCCACAGCCCTCTCCCACCAGGGCAGTCAGCAAGTCCTGCCCTCGCCCATATCACCCAGAGTTGCCAAGAGCACAGAGTGGCCACAGGCAAGCATCTCCTTGAGCAGTGGAGGGGCAGAGATGCCAGACCTGGGCCTCAGCACTGCCAGGACAGCTCCTTGCCACAGCAGCTAGGAGCCTCCAGCCCAGGAGAAGCTGGGCCTGGAGCTCACAAGAAGCCCCCTCTCACGGCCTCTCCCCTGACCCTCTCGGATGAACAGCTGCTATGGAGGCCAGCCACTCTGCCCAGTCCTGCAGGCCCAGAGGGATGGTCTCCTTGCCATGAGGTCCCAGCTTCTCAGAGCAGAGCCTGAGGCCAGGTGAGCAAAGGGCTCTGGCACATCCAGGCAGCACCACCAAACACACAGGTGTCCCCTTTCCTCAGAAACAGGAATGTCATTTTGTGTCCTTTTATTGAAAACTCCATGGGTCTAATGAATAGACAACATGCCCTTACCTGTTTTCTCTGCCTTTTCTCTCTGGTGCTTGAGGGCAGAAACTAAGTTGACCGAGCACGTCTCTTCCTATTGGGCTGCGGCACCTGGTTGTGGGGAGGTATCTCTCACTTGATTTCAGTTTTTCCATGCCCCAATCCCACCTCCCTCATCACAGCCACCCAGTGTGATGCATTCAGCATGTGTCCTTGGAGAGAGAGGTACTCAACAGATGCGTGGTATTTGTGTTTTAAATTTATGTCAATGAGTTTTCACTCTAAATCTCCTTTCTTACTATTTTTGTTTTGTATATTGTGAGGTTATGTCATGAAGTGCATACAGATTTAGAAATGTTTTATCATCTTGGTAAATTTACCTTTCATCACTAAGAGGCATTACTCTTTGTCCCTAGTAGTGCTTTTACCTCAACCTTTAAGTATAAAGTCTACTTTGTCTGGCATTAATACAGCTACACTGGCTTCCTTTTAGTTAGTATTTGCATGGTATCTATTTTTTATCCATGCCAATTATTAATCTGCTGCCTCTTAGCTTCTAACCACCCTTCACAGTCAGCTCTGTGACGCTGGGACAGGGACTTGACAAACTGCATTTCTGCTTTGTCACCCACTGCCTCTTTCTGTTGAGAAGTCAGCTGCCAGTCTTACTTTTACTCTTTTGCAGGTAATTTGAGTTTCCCGCTTCTGGAAGTTGTTTGGTTTACAGCTGTCTTACCTAGGTATGCCTTTTTTTTTTTTTTTTTTTTTTTTTTTTTTTTGATTTATTGCACTTGGAGTTTGTAATGCCTCTAGAATTCATGATTTAATTTCTTTCATCAGTTTTTGGAACTTATTGGTGATTATTTCCTTAAATATTACATCTACCTCATTCTCTTCTTCCATTGGTTCTAATATTACATGGCATGTCAGGCCTTTCTATAGTGTACCCTCTGCCTCCTAACATCCTATTCTGCATGCTTTTTTTTTTCTGGATATTTTCTGATCTTTCAGGTTACTAATTCTCTCTCTAGCCATGTCTAATCTTCTGTGTTTTAAAATGTATTTTTTGATTCTAGACTTTCCTTTTTGTCCTTTTAGTTTCCCATTCTCTACTAAAATTCTCAATCTTGTTTTATTCCTGTAGACGTGGACAGGCTCCTACATGAGTTTCTTAATGGTATCCTTGTTCTCTTGTGTTGGTCTCTGTCTAATCCTTGCCAAGACTGGGTTGTTTTATTACTATGGCTTTTTATGTCTTAATATGACATGGTGAGTTACTCTTCTTTGATCTTCTTTTTCAAAATTATTTTATTAATAGTTATTTTAGGCCTTTATTTTTCCATATAGACTTTAGAAACTTTTGGGCTCTGTGCTATTTTGTTACTACCATAACAAAGTGCCACAGACAGGGTGGCTTAAACAACAGAAATTTGTTTTCTCACAGTTTGGCAGGGTTGGTTTCTTCTGCAGCCTCTCTTCTTGGCTTGTAGACACCATCTTCTCCCTATGTCTTCACAGGGCCATCCCACAGTGGGTGTCTGGGTCCTGAGTTGCTCTTGTTAACGACATCAAGCTCACCTCACCTCATTTAACCTTAGTCACCTCTTTAAGGTCCTATTTCCAAATGCACCCACCCCCACAGTATTAGGGGTTGGGACTTCAATGCATGAATTTGAGGGAGACACGGTTCAGCTCATAACAGAGTCTTTTAAAAATTATGTAAAGATTTTTATTGTAATTTCATTAAATTTATGGATCAATTTGTGGTGAACTGTCACCTTCACAATATCCTGTGCATCCTCCATTTATGCAGATTTTCTTTTATATTCTTTAATAACTTTAGGATGTTCTTCATAGAGGTCTTTTACATTGCGGACTGTGGTGAATGGCTTTTTTTTTTTTTTTTTTTTTGGAGGAGGAGTCTTGCTCTGTCACCCAGGCTGGAGTGCAGTGGCGCAATCTCAGCTCACTGCAACCTCCACCTCCTGGGTTCAAGTGATTCTCGTGCCTCAGCCTCCCGTGTAGCTAGGATTACAGGCATGTACCACCATGACTAGCTAATTTTTGTAATTTTAGTAGAGACGGGGTTTCACCATTTTGACCAGTCTGGTCTCGAACTCCTGGCCTCAGGTGATCTGCCCGACTCGGCCTCCCAAAGTGCTAGGATTACAGGCATGAGCCATCGTGCCAGACTATGAATGGCTTTTTATCTTATATTTTTTAAAGCTATTTTTTGTTCTGGTAGAGAAATTCTACCATCTTTTAAATCTAAGGTATACATCTGGCTGCAAGTCTAGGGAGTACCTGCTTAATACAGGGATGAGATGTGAGACACCCAGCAGTGCAGAGTGGCAGAGCAGCACCGCTGTGTGCCGGGGACAACCCCACCCTCCACCCGCCTAGCCGCTGACCCAGCATCCTGGGGTCTTCCGATGGCAGGAGCCACCCTTGGCACCAAGTCCCACTCCCAGCAGGAAAAAGGGGGAAAGGACAATAGCACACAGGTTCTACGCAGCCCCTCTCCTTAGGGGGGACGGAGGCTCTCCCAGGAGCCCCCGACACCCTCAGTTGCAGGTTTCACCAGCTATGCCTATGTCCTGTGGCCTCTGCCAGCTGCAGCACTTGTGGTGGAATCAGGTCTCAGGGCTACAGCTGCAGGAGCCACCCCACCTTCCATGGTACAATCAGGTCTCAGGGCTGCAGCTTCAGGAGCCACCGTGCCTTCAACGTGCTGTGTTCTTCTTGGTGGCAGCTCTGCCAATGCTGTGTTAAACAGAAGCGGTGAAAGTAGGCAATCTTCTCATTGGTTCGTATTTTTAAAAATACATTTAAAAGCTCTCCACTACGTATGTCTTCTGAGATTAGCCTTTATCAAAGAAAACATTTCACTTCTATGATGAGTTTTCTCAACATGTTTCACCACAAACGAATGTTGATTGAAATCAAATGCTTTGTCTTTCTCTGTAGAAAACCGTATTTTTTGCCTTTGGTCCACTAATAGGTAAAGCACACTGACATATATCATGACATAAAACCACCCTGAACCTGACCTGATCATGGTGATTTGCTTTCTGATGTGCCGCTGGACTCATTGTGCTGCTGCTTTATTTAAAACTTTCATGTCTCTACTCAAACATAAAACAGCCTAAATGTTTCTCTTGCGCTTCTCTTATACACCCTAAGATACATCCTATACATCTTAAGATAGAAGGCTTCTGGAATCATAAAATCAGCTGGAGCACCGCCTCCCCCTTCCTTTTCCCATTCTGTGTTCTCGGCCTTGGAACAACTGTTAGATGTTAGAGCCCAAAATGGATCCCCTGGGTCTATCCCCTTTTCTTTCATATTTGCTGCCTTTTTGCCAGAAACATTTCCTTAAATATACAATTCCATCCTTCTGTTGGTTTTTTTTTTTTGCAGTAATTTTTTAATCTCAAAAGTGTCTTTTTTGTCTTATTTCATCTTCACAGTTTCCTGTTCTTATTATATAAATATATCTCCCTAATCTGAGTCTATGGATTGGAGTTTTATCCAATCCATTCATTCCAATGATTGGAATGATTGGAGTCATTCACATTTCTCAATCCATTTATTTTCCGTTTCTTTGCCTGGTCTTTCTTTTATGTGATGCAGCTCTCCTTGAATGTCTGATACATTTTCATCCTTTAAAATGAAGCCGATGGGTGACAGGAAGACGTGCTTCCATGAAAGGCAGTGTTTCACTCCGGAACCTCAGCTCCCGCACGCTGGATCCAGATCCACAGCATCCCCAGGACCTCTTCTCCCCTCTGGGTCCTGCCCCCATCTCACTGGCTCCCATCTCAGATTCCCTGTGAGGCTCCACGCTTGGCTTCACATGCAAAGTCTAGGGGTGAGGGGCCCCTCCCAGCCTCTCAGCTGGCAGTCCTGGGCCTGTGCTGGGAAACATGCCCTCCCCGCCCGCAGCCGGAGGAGCCGCATGGCTGTCTTGAGTGGAGGTCACACATCCCCTCCCAGGGCCAGGGGAGGGAACGGTCACAGATGTTCCTCATGAGCCAAAAATAAGCAAGGTCTGGCTGCGGTGCTGTCCACTGCCGGCTCCAGCACCAGGGGTTGCCCAAGAACCCCCTTGACTCCTTGGGGTAAGCAGCTCACTGCTGGCTGTCCTGTGTGTGATGGGGAAGGGGGACTCAACCCGAGTGTGCAGACCTATGATGACCCCCGCTCCCACCTCCACGTCCCATGGCCACGGCCCCTCCCTTCCAAGCTCCTTCTGCCTGATGGGCAGCACCCCCTCCCGTCTGGAGTCTGCCGGGGCCCTTCCTGCTCTCCTTCTTAATTTATTTTCTGTCTTGGAGGGAAGCTGGGTGCACCTGCTCAGGTGGCCCCCTAGGGCCAGAAGACCTGTCAGTCACTTTCAAATACATGTTCTTTCCAGCTCTTCCTTGCCAAAGGTTCTAAAAACACTGTTGTCCGTCTCACCCAAAAAGCTAAGCTTCTGTCCAATCCTTAACGGTAGCTATAAATGAGAAGCATAAGCTTGGTTTCCTTCTAACATCCGGCAAGTTAGAAGATAGAACGTATTTCTTCACTTATTCATCACATATTTGCAGGGCACCCCTACGCGGGACAGCAGAGGTCCCAGGCCGGTGCTGCACCCGGAGCCAGGCTCGGAGCTGGCCGTGCGCCCTCAGCTGAAACTCACCGGAGGCGCGGCCGCCCTGGGCTGAGAAGACGCCGTCGGCCCAGGTGGCATCAGAACCCACAGGAGGAAGACAGCCAGCCCAGGAGGAGCCATGGGGGGCCTCTGGGGATCGCAAGGGTCGACCCCATCCTCCCTGAAACAAGGCCGGAGGTTGAGGAGGTCTCCGCCCGGCCCCGCAGCTGACAACCGGTGGAGAAACCGCACCTGCCACGGGAGGGGCCGCGGGGTGGGCTCGAGCCACCATGGGGCTGGTACAAGCACCCTCTCCGCTCAGGACCTCGGCCCTCATCCCAGGGCACCAGGGCTCACAGGGGGATGGGCCCGGGTGGGGACGAGGGTGTGGAGGGGCAGGAAGCACGGCGGGTGGAGCGGGGCCGGGTGCGGGGGTCGCGGGGGACCGCGGGGACGGGGCCTTGTGATGCAGGAGACGGAGGGGGCTGGTGACGGAGGACGGGAGGCCGCAAGGATGGGGGACGCGACATCCTTTTCCCCTCCCACCGGCTCACCAGGGATGCGCCTCCGCGACTGCCCGCCCCAATCCCAGGGCGGAGGCCTCGCGCAAAACCCAGGCGCCGCGGCTCCGCGCTCCGGCTGAGGGTCCGCGCCGCCGCCCGCCCGCTCCTTCCCGCTCGGCCGCGGCCTCAGGGACGGATACTCCAGCGCGCGGTTCCAACCGAGGCCCGTGGCGGGTAAGGCCGGGAGGCTGGGGCGGGTACGGGGCCGGGAGCGAGGGGCGGCGCGGGGAGGGGATGCAGCTGTCGCCCGCACAGCCGTGTCTGGACGCGGCCCCGCAACTCGACCCCGTCCCGCCCCCAGCCAGCTGCTGAACTAGGCGGCCGGGGACGGCATTGAGCGCCGGGCGCGCGCGGGAGGGACTGCCCCTGGGGCACGGGTCTGCTGGGGCGGAGTCCGCACGATGTCAGCAGCCGCTTGTCCTCCGCAGCATCCGCAAGGCCCGCACCCAGGCTTTGGCCCCAAAGGTGGGGACCAGGCCCAGGCACGGCCCGTCCCCGTTCCAGACCCTGATCTGAGCCAGCTCTTGGTCCCGGCTACCGCGTCCTCCAAACACAACGCCCCTCCCCCCATGCCGCCTCCCCCCGCCCCCCACATCCCAGCAACGCGTGCAGAGCTCCCTCCCCCAGGCTTGCTCCCCCGCCCGGGCCTGGACGCCCCCAGAGGCCTGAACGCTCCTGCCCCGCTTCTACACCCCCAATCCAGGTGCACAACCTTCAGGTGCAGAACCCTCCTGCCCCACCTGCCACTTCCCAGCGCCTCCCCCAGGCCTAAGTCCCTGATGCTAGAGGTTAAACCGCGCCCCCCCAGGCCTCAGTGGGCCTCCAAGATGCTGGGGGCACCCTGATCCCACAAAAGATGGGGGTCCCTCTGCTCTCCAGCCTTGAGCCCTCCGCCCCTGGGCACCCGATCTCCATGGAAACTAAGGGCCCTTTCCCTCTCTTCCCGCAGGTTTAGCCCCACGAAGATGAACTGGGCACCCGCAACGTGCTGGGCTCTGCTACTGGCGGCCGCCTTCCTCTGCGACAGCGGCGCAGCCAAGGGCGGCCGCGGAGGTGCGCGGGGCAGTGCCCGGGGAGGGGTCCGCGGGGGTGCGCGCGGGGCCTCGAGGGTGCGCGTGAGGCCGGCGCAGCGCTACGGTGCCCCGGGCTCCTCCCTGCGCGTGGCTGCCGCCGGGGCGGCAGCCGGGGCGGCGGCGGGAGCGGCCGCGGGCCTGGCGGCGGGCTCGGGCTGGAGAAGGGCCGCGGGACCCGGGGAACGCGGCCTGGAGGACGAGGAGGACGGGGTGCCCGGAGGCAACGGGACAGGCCCCGGCATCTACAGCTACCGGGCGTGGACTTCGGGCGCTGGACCCACGCGCGGCCCGCGTCTCTGTCTCGTGCTGGGCGGCGCCCTCGGAGCCCTGGGGCTGCTGCGGCCCTAGGCCTGGCTGGGCTCGGGGACCACATCTGGCCCCCGGCCCGCGCCATCCCCCAGGATCCTCCGGCCTGGGCTCCCCCTTCCTCCCTTGCCCACGGTCTTGGAGCCCCACTGGGTGCAGGAGCTGCTGGCTGTCCCTGTGGACCCGCCATCCACCGTCCTGCCCACGCCGCCTCAGCCTGCCACCTCCCACCTAGAGGAGACCATGGGCCCTGCCCCACCCACTCCAGGATGTTAGGGTCCCCTCAGCCAAAAAGGCAGCTGCCTGTGGCTCCTGTACCAACCGCCCAGCCACGCTCCATCGCCGCCCAAAGGGAGGTGCCAAGGCCAGGAACCCAAGCCACCCCGGCTCCCCTCGCCTGCCCAGGGGCCGTGGTGACTCACGGGCAGGGAGGCGACATCAGGCTGGTTCTGCCACTGAGCCCCTGAGGAATCTGACCCTCCCCAAAAGAAGCAGTGAAATGGACCAAAGGACTTAAGAATTTGGGGGGAAGTGAGGGAAAAACGTTAGGTGCTAACCACCTGCCCAGAAGAGTGGATCTCACAGCCCAGGAACATTCCCAAGCAGGAAAACCGTCCGTCCGAGGAACGTCCATCCTGGCTCTCTGCGGCTGGTGGGAAAACACACCCTGCCCTGAGGGGCTGTCCAGGCCTTCTCCCCCACACCCTCAGGCCGAGATCCGTGAGAGACCCACTTTGCTCCAACAACTTGAAACAAGTCACTTTACCCTCCTTAGGACCCATTTTGGGGGGGAAAAACCAACACATTCCAGAGCTTTCCAAGTCCTTTGAACTTCAGGTTCACATTCAGGGATCACACAGTTCTGCCTGTTCTCAGGGCACAGCAACTGCCAATCCCGCTGAAGAGGCCTCCCTGGGCACAGCACAGGCTGCACGGTGCACGCATTTCCCTGAAGGCAGCCCCTTCTTCGGAAGCAGCTGTTCCAGGCCTCGGAACAGGGCCTGGGTATCCGCGTGGTGGGCTGGCAGCTGACGGCCTGCTCAGTGGAGCCAGGAGCTAACTCAGACCCCAAAGCAAGCAGGGGGCCAGTGGCGGGGCCCAGCGCCCAGCAGGACACCCATGCAAGAGGCTGAGCCCCCCAACATCCAAGGACAGGAGAGACATGGAGTGGCGCTGGACAGTCACGACAAGGACTTGCCTCCAGCACTGGACACACCTGTGTTAAGACCAGCCCTCTGCTTCCCAGTCCCGCCAGCCTGGGGCATCCTCCATGGGCTCAGCACTGAGAGGTCTTGGGTCTGCCACGTTCTCTAGCTCTCCAGTCACCCACTCATCCAGGGTAGGAGGGGTTCTCCCTGCCCCCCGCCGTGGCCTTGGGATCTCACCCTCTCCATGTCCTGGGGACAGCCTCGCCCTCAGCCGGACTGCATCCCTCCTGGGCCTGAGCCTCGGGACTCAGTGGACACCAAAGTCAAGACCAGCACCCACCACGGGCCCTGCCAGCCTCTGCCTTCCCCAGCTGGCCTGGGTTCTGGCCTGGGTGAGGATCTGGAAGCTGTTGGCAGGACTCAACCAAGCACTGCTCTCTAGCTCCAGGGCACTAAGCCACAGGAGGCAGCGCCCTGCAGCCTCCCGTCCACACTGCCAGCAATGCCCCTGGCCCAGTGAGCCCAGACGCTCCTCCACCCCTTCCAGACCAAGCTCAACGCCTCCAAGACCAGCAGGCCAAGGCCAAGCCCTGCCCCAGATCCTCATAGGCAGAGAAGCCCTTCTGACATTTCCCCCAGGAGGCAGGGGGTGGTCTGAGTCTCCTCACAGCAGAGAGACCCACCGGAGCCCCCTCAACTTTGCAGATGCCCACCTGGAAAATGGGCTGAGCTGCACCAGACCCTCACACACCACAGCACTGCAAGCTGATGGAATGTTCCAGTTATGATGGACACTTCGTGATCTGCAATGACTGTTGATTCAGCACATTAGCATCTGACACAGCCAACCTGAATACTTCCTGCCCCAGGCGGTCAGGGTTATGGCACGATGCAGGTGGCACTCAGGGGCTAACTTCAGGCTGATGAGTGTGTGGGGTATGGGGCAGCAGAGGCAGCCAGCCAGCAAAGAGGGGCCACTGAGCACCAGGGCCCTGGTGGAGGCTGCTGTGGGACGGTCAGGCCACCACCGCAAAGAGGCAGCCGGAGCTTCTGCACAGGATGTCCCTGGCCCCAGGTCCTGCAGCACCTTAGTCCATACTACCAGCCCCACCCACCTTCCTTCCTCTTCCCTCTTCTAGGACACAGGCTGTGGACCCCTTCAGGTGCACTATAATGGGGCTGGAGGGGCCCCCACATCTCTCAGCCCCACTAATGCAGAATCCCACTACCCGTGAGCTAGAAGGTGCTCAGAGGCCAGGGGTCTCTACTGCCCATGCCGGGCGGCCTTCCAGTCATTGCACAGCAAAGCCATGTGCAGGGCGTCCCCCTCAACCCTGCCCTGAACATGCCCCAGGGCACTGAGGGGCGAAGCCAGTGCTTGGGCTCTGCTGCTGGGAGTCTCTGGTCTGTGTCTGTGTGTGCCTGTAAGTGTGAAATAAACCTCTCTGATGGCAGCAAGCCTCTCACTTGTTGTAGGACTGCAAGACACTGGACCGAAAGCCTCCAACACAAACCCTAGCTGCCAACCTGCTCATTTCTTAGGTTTCACTGGTGAGAGCAGCTTTAACACACAGGCCCAAGGCACTACGGTGCACCTCACAGGCCAGTAAGAAACAGGCCCTTTAACTGGAGATTTTAAAGGTTACAGGTTATAGCTTTAACTCCTTCTGAGACAGCATCCATTTCTCAAGAGGCCTGAGCAGGAAGCTCCGGGAGAACCAAGCATGCGGAGCTGCTCAGGGACGTCCACTGGGAAGCCTGGTGTCCACTCCCACCTGCTTGGGCCCTGCAACTGGGGTCCCTGGAGCTGGCCAGGCTGTGGGGCGCCAGAGAGCACAGCACCCTAGTGACCAGCATGGAGCTTCTGGACCGGGTGAGCTGTCTTGAGCCTCAACCACCCAGGTCAGGAGGTCTGGGAGGCCACATGCCTCCGGCCCTCCCTACCCGGACAAGTTCAGGGCAAAGTCTCAGCCGGGGGGTGGCCCCGCAGGACGTCGAGGTCCAGCATCACGGAACCCAGCAGCCCACGGCGGAAAGTCTGCAGGAAGTCACGGGCTGCCGCAGGATAGTTAGGCTGAATAATGTTCACGTTACCTGGGGGACGGGAGGGTTCAGTGAGGAAGGAGCCTTCACAGCAGGACAGGCCCAGCCCTTACCCACCTGAGGGACCAGCCCTAAGAGGCTCCATGATGGCATCAGGGAAGCCCAGGGAACGGGATCACACTCAGAAAGAAAACAGCTTGAGCTACGCTGCCCGGAGCCTCCAAGGCCAGGCATGTGAGGCCTGCAGGTGTCCACCTAGCACTGCCCAATACGCGGCAGGGCTGGTCTCACCCTCGGAAGCCTGGACTACAAGCCCTTCCTCTCCAGAACTTTCTGTAGCTCCCCTGCCCTGAAACCCATTCCCAGAAGACCCGGCGCATGCTCCTTGACACGTTCCTCTCCTCCCTGCCTCCTCCAGGGATGGCCGGGGTCCCCCAGGGTGATGGGGTGAGGCTCCGGTGCCCGCATCAGCGACCTCACTCACCCGTGCCCGTGAGCACCTTCACCTTCTGCGTCTTCCCCAGCTTCACAGCCACACTCTTCAGCACGCGCTCTACGTTGTCACAGGCACTGCCCAGGCCGTAGTGCTGCACGTACCTGCACATAGGCTGCAGGTCAGCACCAGGGGGCCCAGCACTGACACCGCGCGGCCAGCCAGGCCGGGCCCTTCCTCCTGAATGCCACAAAGGCCACGGCCAGGCACCTCCTGTGGGTGACAGTGACTGCGGCGCTGTGGATGACCAAGATGAGACTGCAGGTGACCGGTGCTGGGCCCCGGGGGAGAGCCACTATCTAAGAATCATCCCTGAGCTTCGTCCTGTGTGGCCACGGCCAGCAGCATGGGGGGCGGCTCCCACCACCGGAGCCCTTGCCGCAGCGGGAGGAGTAACAGCTGTTCACACACACAGGCTTCATCCACTCTATCCGGGGTAGGACAGGCAGGCCTCTGTGCAGGCCCAGGTCCTGGAAACTAAAAGAGGAGCACAGCAGACCATCTGCAAACATACTCTGTTTGCTGCTAAGGATGGCACTCGGTAACTTCCAGGCAGCCAGTACACCTGCATCCTCTCCACCCGGCTGGGTGTTTGAGCGGTGTTTTCCTAGCACAGGGACCAGCATGGGCTGACTAGGCACCCACCGCTGCTAAGCGTCACCCAGTGATTGTAACGGGCACTCTGACTCCTCACAGTGCAGGCTCTGGGCAGAGAGGCCTGGAGGGAAAGGCCAGCACAGAGCAGCCACTCACAGGGACAAACACCACCCTAAGCCTTGGGAGCCCGACTAACCCAGACCCAACACTCTCCCAACCTTCCTGACAGCCAGGGGTGAGGGGAACCTGTCTCGTGGCTCCCACGAGGGCAGGCTCAACCTTGAGGAGGCTGGTGCCCTCGGACCTGGTCACAGCATGAGCCGGTAACAGAGGACTCACCCCAAGGCCCAGCAAAGCAAGACATGAGCTCAGAGCCCATAGGAGCATCAGAACCCTGAGTAACACAGGTTCTAAATCTAACTTCTCGGAGGCACCAAGCATGAGCTCTGAATCAGCAGCCTCAAGGGTGCCCTGGTGCTCCAAAAAAGCTGTCCCAGGAGAGAGGAGCAAGCCTGGAGGAGGCGCCCCGGACCACCCCCGAGACCTGCCAATGGGAAGAACTCCTGAAAGGACCGGACTGTTTCCAATAATCTAACTGTCCCACAACAAAGCTCAAGAATTTTTACAGGAATGTAGATATCCATCACCTAACAAGGTGAAACTCAAAATACATGGCATCCAGCCAGGCATGGTGGCTCACGCCTGTAATCCCAGAACTTTGGGAGGCCAAGGTGGACGGATCACTTGAGGTCAGGAGTTCGACACCAGCCTGTTCACCAATATGGTGAAACCCTGTCTCTACTAAAAATACAAAAATTAGCCAGGTGTGGTGGCACATGCTTGTAATCCCAGCTACTTGGGAGGCTAAGGCGGGAGAATCGCTTGAACCCAGGAGGTGGAGGCTGCAGTGGGCTGAGATTGTGCCACTGCACTGTAGCCTGGCTGGGCGACAGAGTGAGATGCCATCTCAAAAAAAAGAAAAAAAGAAAGTCATTGGTAGCTTGATGGGGATGGCATTGAATCTATAAATTACCTTGGGCAGTATGGCCATTTTCACAATATTGATTCTTCCTACCAATGAGCATGGAATGTTCTTCCATTTGTTTGTATTCTCTTTTATTTCATTGAGCAGTGGTTTGTAGTTCTCCTTGAAGAGGTCCTTCACGTCCCTTGTAAGTTGGATTCCTAGGTATTTTATTCTCTTTGAAGCAATTGTGAATGGGAGTTCACTCATGATTTGGCTGTTTGTCTGTTATTGGTGTATAAGAATGCTGGTGATTTTTGTACATTGATTTTGTATCCTGAGACTTTGCTGAAGTTGCTTATCAGCTTAAGGAGATTTTGGGCTGAGACAATGGGGTTTTCTAGATATACAATCATGTCATCTGCAAACAGGGACAATTTGATTTCCTCTTTTCCTAATTGAATACCCTTTATTTCCTTCTCCTGCCTAACTGCCCTGGCCAGAACTTCCAACACTATGTTGAATAGGAGTGGTGAGAGAGGGCATCCCTGTCTTGTGCCAGTTTTCAAAGGGAATGCTTCCAGTTTTTGCCCATTCAGTATGATATTGGCTGTGGGTTTGTCATAGATAGCTCTTATTATTTTGAGATACGTCCCATCAATACCTAATTTATTGAGAGTTTTTAGCATGAAGGTTGTTGAATTTTGTCAAAGGCCTTTTCTGCATCTATTGAGATAATCATGTGGTTTTTGTCTTTGGTTCTGTTTATATGCTGGATTACATTTATTGATTTGCGTATATTGAACCAGCCTTGCATCCCAGGGATGAAGCCCACTTGATCATGGTGGATAAGCTTTTTGATGTGCTGCTGGCCATCAGAGAAATGCAAATCAAAACCACAATGAGATACCATCTCACACCAGTTAGAATGGCAATCATTAAAAAGTCAGGAAACAACAGGTGCTGGAGAGGATGTGGAGAAATAGGAACACTTTTACACTGTTGGTGGGACTGTAAACTAGTTCAACCATTGTGGAAGTCAGTGTGGCGATTCCTCAGGGATCTAGAACTGGAAATACCATTTGACCCAGCTATCCCATTACTGGGTATATACCCAAAGGACTATAAATCATGCTGCTATAAAGACACATGCACACATGTGTTTATTGCGGCATTATTCACAATAGCAAAGACTTGGAACCAACCCAAATGTCCAACAATAATAGACTGGATTAAGAAAATGTGGCACATATACACCATGGAATACTATGCAGCCATAAAAAATGATGAGTTCATGTCCTTTGTAGGGACATGGATGAAATTGGAAATCATCATTCTCAGTAAACTATCGCAAGAACAAAAAACCAAACACCGCATATTCTCACTCATAGGTGGGAATTGAACAATGAGAACACATGGACACAGGAAGGGGAACATCACACACCTGGGACTGTTGTGGGGTGGGGGGAGGGGGGAGGGATAGCATTAGGAGATATACCTAATGCTAAATGACGAGTTAATGGGTGCAGTACACCAGCATGGCACATGTGTACATATGTAACTAACCTACACATTGTGCACATGTACCCTAAAACTTAAAGTATAATAATAATAAAATAAAATAAAAAGAAAAATATATATATATATATATCATCCAAAAATTGCCAGGCCTACAAAGCAAAAAAACAGACCCCCTAATGAGAAGAAAAATCAGTCAACTCAAACTGACCCAATGTTAGAATTAGCAGACAAGACATTAAATCTAAGCTGAAACACGAAAGATATTTTTTAAAACGATCCAAACTCAACTTGCGGAAGTGAAAACTATGAAAACTACTGAGTGGGATGAACAGCAGATTATACATTGCAGAAGAAAAGATGAGTGAACCCGAAGACACAGCAACAGAAACCACAAAACAGGCACAAAGCTTTACTGAGCTGCGGTGGGGCAAAGCCAAGCAGCCTGACGCCCGCCTGCCCGACGCCCGCCTGCCCGACACCCACGTGCCCGACACCCGCCTGCCCGACACCCGCGTGCCGACACCCGCCTGCCCGACACCCGCGTGCCTGATAACTGCGTGCCTGATACCCACGTGATACCTGTGTGCCTGAGGCCCACGTGCCTGATACCGGCATGCCTGATAACTGCATGCCTGATACCCACCTGCCTGATACCCGCGTGCCTGATACCTGCATGCCTGAGGTCCTGAGGAGTAGAGGGACAGAAAAAACACCTGCAGATATGAAGTTTCAAAATGATGCAAATTTCATGAAAACTACAAAGACCCAGATCCAAAAATCTCAATGAACTACAAGCACAAGGAACACATAGAAAACCATACCAAGGTCCATCGTAATCAAGTTGCTCAAAAGCACTGAGAGAGAAAATCCTGGAAGCAGCAGAGGAACAAACACACACGACCACAGACGGCTCATCAGACACCACGCAGGTGAAAAAGGGAGACCAACCCCTCTCAAGCACTAAAACAAACAAACATGACCGCAGACGGCTCATCAGACACCACGCAAGTGAGAAAGGGAGACCAACCCCTCTCAAGCACTAAAAAACCCCGTCAATCTGGAATTCTACACGTAGAGAAAATATCTTTCAAAACAAAGGTGAAATAAAGACATCTTCAGACAACCAAAAGCTGAAAGAATTCATCACTAGCAAACCTGCCTTACAATACATGTTAAAGGAAATCCTTCAGACAGAAGTAAAATCACACCAGAAGGAAACCTGGACCTACACAAAGAAATGAGTGCAGGACCCGTCTATGAAAAAACAGGGGCGCCCGCTCCCGCTCCCTCTCCCGCTCCCGCTCCGCTCCCTCTCCCTCTCCACGGTCTCCCTCTCCCTCTCTTTCCACGGTCTCCCTCTGATGCCGAGCCGAAGCTGGACTGTACTGCCGCCATCTCTGCTCACTGCAACCTCCCTGCCTGATTCTCCTGCCTCAGCCTGCCGAGTGCCTCCAATTGCAGGCGCGCGCCACCACGCCTGACTGGTTTTCGTATTTTTTTGGTGGAGATGGGGTTTCGCTGTGTTGGCCGGGCTGGTCTCCAGCTCCTAACCACAAGTGATCCGCCAGCCTCGGCCTCCCGAGGTGCAGGGATTGCAGACGGAGTCTCGTTCACTCAGTGCTCAATGGTGCCCAGGCTGGAGTGCAGTGGTGTGATCTCGGCTCGCTACAACCTCCACCTCCCAGCCGCCTGCCTTGGCCTCCCAAAGTGCCGAGATTGCAGCCTCTGCCCGGCCGCCACCCCATCTGGGAAGCGAGGAGCGTCTCTGCCTGGCCGCCCATTGTCTGGGATGTGAGGAGCCCCTCTGCCTGGCCGCCCATCGTCTGGGATGTGAGGAGCCCCTCTGCCTGGCTGCCCAGTCTGGGAAGTGATGAGCGCCTCTTCCCGGCCGCCATCCCATCTAGGAAGTGAGGAGTGTCTCTGCCCCGCCGCCCATCGTCTGAGATGTGGGGAGCGCCTCTGCCCGGCCGCGACCCCGTCTGGGATGTGAGGAGCCCCTCCGCCCAGCAGCCACCCCGTCTGGGAAGTGAGGAGCCCCTCTGCCCGGCCACCACCCCGTCTGGGAGTTGTACCCAACAGCTCATTGAGAACAGGCCATGATGACAATGGCGGTTTTGTGGAATAGAGAAGGGGGAAAGGTGGGGAAAAGATTGAGAAATCGGATGGTTGCCGTGTCTGTGTAGAAAGAAGTAGACATGGGAGACTTTTCATTTTGTTCTGTACTAAGAAAAATTCTTCTGCCTTGGGATCCTGTTGATCTGTGACCTTACCCCCAACCCTGTGCTCTCTGAAACATGTGCTGTGTCCACTCAGGGTTAAATGGATTAAGGGCAGTGCAAGATGTGCTTTGTTAAACAGATGCTTGAAGGCAGCATGCTCGTTAAGAGTCATCACCACTCCCTAATCTCAAGTACCCAGGGACACAAACACTGCGGAAGGTCGCAGGGTCCTCTGCCTAGGAAAACCAGAGACCTTCGTTCACTTGTTTATCTGCTGACCTTCCCTCCACTATTGTCCTGTGACCCTGCCAAATCCCCCTCTGCGAGAAACACCCAAGAATGATCAATAAAAAAAAAAAAAAAAGAAAAGAAAACACAAAGAAATGAGAAGGTGTGGATGGTAAACTGATGGGAAAATATATACAACTTTTTTTCTGGTATTTTATATTTCTTTAAAAGATAACTGTATGAAGGAAAGAAAGTATATCTGGAGGTTATAAAATATGTAAAGGTAAAATATATCATGATGATGATGGCACAAGAATCAGGATAAGAAAAACAGAAATGCATTATTGTAAGGTCATCACTTAAAGACATACTATACACCCTAAAGCAACCTCTCCCAAAAGTTGTAGACAATAAGCTAACAAAGAAGATACAGTAGAATCGTTTAAAAATATTCAATCCTAAAGAGGCAAGAGAGAGGAAAAAAGAAAACAAAAATTGAGACAAATGGGCCGGGCACGGTGGCTCACATCTGAAATCCCAGCACTTTGGGAGGCACGTGGATCACTTGAGGTCAGGAGTTCAAGACCAGCCTGGCCAACATGGCGAAACTCCCATCTCTACTAAAAACACACAAAAAAATTAGCCAGGCGCAGTGGCTCACACCTGTAATCCCAGCACTTTGGGAGGCCGACATGGGTGGATCACCTGAGATTAGGAGTTCAAGACCAGCCTGGCCAACATGGTGAAACCCCATCTCTACTAAAAATACAAAAACAATTAGCTGGGCATGGTGGCAGGCGCCTGTAATCCCAGCTACTCAGGAGACTGAGGCATGAAAATCATTTGAACCCAGGAGGCGGAGGTTGCAGTGAGACAACATTGTACCTCTGCACTCCAGCCTGAGAAACAGAGTGAGACTCTGTCTCAAAAAAACAAAAGTGGTGGCTATATTAATATCAGACAAGAAAGATTTCAGAGCAGAGAATATTCTGAAGGATAAAAAAAGATCATTTCCTAATGATAAAGGCATCAAATCATCAAGAGGACATAACAATCTCCTGAGCGTTTCTGTACCTAACAGCAGAGCTTCGAAATACACGAAGCCA
Source organism: Homo sapiens (assembly GCF_000001405.40). NCBI lineage: Eukaryota > Metazoa > Chordata > Mammalia > Primates > Hominidae > Homo > Homo sapiens. The sequence goes on along the minus strand of NC_000010.11, from coordinate 133,412,948 downwards.
AAACTGACTGAACAGCAAGAAGAAACAGAAATTCAGTTACAGTGGGAAATTTCAGTGCCCCTCTCACAATAATTGGTAGTACAAATAGAAAATTACCAAAGTAGAAATAAAAAAATAAACATCGAATGGAAATCAATGACATAAAAAACAAAGACAACAGAAAGTCAATGAAACCAGAAGCTGATTCTTTGGGAAAAATCAATAAAATTAATAAGCCTCTAGCCAGACTGTTCTCTTCAACCTGATAAAGGGCATCTAAGAAACACCCATACCTAATACTGCACTCAATGGTAAGAGACTAAAAGCTTCCTACCTTAGATCAGGAACAAAAAAAGATGTCTGTTCTCACCACATCTCAAATACTAAAAAAACCTGTCAATTGTATTGAAGACTGTAGCCAGTGCAATAAAGCAAGAAAACAAAATATGGCATCTGGACTGGAAAAGAAAAAGTAAGATGATCTTTATTTGCAAATGACATAATTGTCTAGGTAAAAAATCTAACTGGAATCTACAAAGAGCTAATAGAATGAATAAATGAGTTTAGCAGGGTTACAAGATACAAGATCAATATACAAAAATCAATTCTACTTCTGTATACTAGCAATGAAAAATCAAAAGTGAACATAAAAACAATACCATTTACAATAGTATCAAAAATAGCGAAGAGTTAATAGAGGGAATGACATCACCAAATAGAGAAGTAGAAGCAATCTGGCTTCCCTCACCCTCTCAAAGAAAACCAAAACCAAACATCCAGTGCCAAGAATATCACCAGCAATATTCCAGAACTCAAATCTGAGGATGAGACCAGAGAAGTGAAAAAAACTCCAGGCAGAAAGTAAGCTGCAAAAAACCTCTAAGCAAACATCCAAGAAAAAAAAAGCCAGACAGGAAAGCCTGGATAACAAATCCTTCAATGCAAAACCACAGACATATGTGCACAAGAAACAACAGCTAACGGAAAACCGCGACCTTCTCAAACAGACAAAGCAAAGAGCCAGTGGCCAACCCTAATGAGATGGCAACGTGTAAGCGCTCAAATCAAGAATTCAAGGTAACAGTTAAAAAAAAACTCAGCAAACTCCAATAAAACACAGAAAAACAACTCACAAATTTGTCAGACAAATTTAACAGAGATTGAAATTAAAAAAAAAAAATCAAACAGAAATCCTGGAAGTAAAAAATACATTTGCTGAAAAATATATTAGAGGCTCTCAACAGCAGAATGGACCAAGCAGAGGAAAAAATCAGTGAGCCTGAAGACTGGCTATTTGAAAACATATAGAAGAGGAAAGAGAAAAAAGAAGAATGAAAAGGAATGAAGAACACATGCAAGATACAGAAAACTGCCTCAGAGGAGCAAACCTAGGAATTACTGGGGTTCAAGAAGGAACCGAGCAAGAGGAAGGCACAGAAAGTTTATTCAAAGAAATAATTACAGAAAAATTTTCAAACCCTCAGAAAGACATAAATGTCCAGGTACAGGGAGGTCAGAGATCACCAAACAGATTTAACCCAAATAAAACTACCCTACAGAATATAATAATCAAACTCTCAAAAGTCAAGGACAAAGAAAGAATCCTACAAGCAGTAAGTAGTACAAGTAGTAAGAGAAAAGCAGCAAATATATTTATAAAAGAGCTCCAATGTAACTGGCAACAGACTTCTCCAGGAAATCCATATAGGCCAGGAGGCAATGGGATGATATATTCAAAGTGCTGAAGGAAAAAAAAATGCAACTGTCAACTGAGGACACACCTTCAAACATGAAAGAGTAAAGCTGAGGGAATTCATCAGACCCAACTTTCAAGAAATGCTAAAAAAAAGTTCTTCAATCTGAAAGAAAAAGACACTAATGTACAAAAAGAAAACATGTGAAGTATAAAACCCACTGGCAAAAGTAAACACACAGACTCAGAATAATACTGTGAATGTGGTGTGCATTCATTCACATCTCTAGTGTGAAGACTAAAAGAAAAATGTATCAAAAATAATAACTACAGCAACCTGGAAAGAGAGAGCCAATATAAAAAAAAATAAATTGAAATAAGAAAACGTGAAAATTTGGGGGAAAGATGCAGTTAAAGTACAGAATTCTTCAGTTTCTCCTTTGTTTCTATTCTTTCCTCTGTGATCACAGATAAGGTGTCATGTGTTTAAAATGATTGTTTTTTAAGAGAGGGGTCTCACTCTGTCACCCAGGCTGAAGTGCGATGGCACGATCATAGCTCACTGCAGCCTCAAACTCCTGGGCTCCAGCAATCCTCCTATCTCAGCCTCCTGAGTACCTAGGGTACAGTCACAGAGCACCACGCCCAGCTAAAATAACTAAATAACTTGTTATAAATATAAAATGCTTTTTGTAAGCCTGATGGTACACTACATATAATACATAGACTAAAAATACAAAGCAACAAATTAAAACATACCAACAGAGAAAATCTCTTAACCACATGCGAAGGAAGACAGTAAAAAAGGAAGAGAGGAGTTACAATCAGAAAACAAGCAACAAAATGGCAATATTAAGTCTTTATCCATAATAATATTGAAAGCAAATGTACTATATTCTCCAACTAAAAGACATAGAGTAGGCCAGGCACAGTGGCTCACATTTGTAATCCCAGCGCTTTGGGAGGCCAATGTGGAAAGATCATCTGAGGCCAAGAGTTCAAGACCAGCCTCAGCAACATAGCAAGACCTCGCCTCTACAAAAAATAAATAAATAAATAAATAAAACAGCCAGGTGTGGTGGCACACGCCTGTAGTCCTAACTATCAGGAGGCTGCGGTGGGAAGACTGCTTGAGCCCAGGAGTTCAAGGCTACAGTGAGCTATGATCACACCACTGCACACCAGCCTGGGCAACAGAGTGAGACCCTGTCTCAAAAACAAGCAAAAAACACAGAGTGGCTAAATGGATAAAAAACAAGATCAAACTATATGCTACCTATAAGAAACCGACTTTACCTATAAAGACATACGCAGACTGAAAGTCAAAGGGTGGAAAAACATATTCCATGTAAACAGAAACCAAAAAAAAAAAAAAAGAGCAGGAATAGCTATACTTACAGATGACAGAACAGACTAAAAGTCAAAGACTGTATAAAGAGCAGGAGCAGCAATACTTACACAAAATAGACTACAGGTCAGACTGTAAAAAGACACAGAGAAAGTCACTATACGATTGATAAAGGGGTCAATTCAGCAAGCAGATATAACAATTATAAATATCTATGCACCCAACACCAGAGCACCCAGATATATAAAGCAAACATTGATAGATTGAAAGTGAGAGGCAGAGTGCAATACAGTAATAGTAGGGGGCTTCAACACCCCCTCTCCGTAGGGTGTTTCCAGCCAGAAATCAACAGAAACACTGGAGTGAAACTACATGCTAGATCAAACAGGTCTAACTGACATTTACAGAACATTTCACCCAACTGCTGCAAAACACACATTCTTCTCATCGGCACATGGAACATTCTACAGAATATACCATATGTTAGGCCACAGAACAAGTTTCAACAAATCAAAATCTTATTGAGTATCTTTTCTGACTCGATGAAATAAAACAAGAAAGCAGTAACAAGAGGAACCTCAAAAACTACACAAACACATGGAAATTAAACAACACGCTCCTGAATGATCAATGGGTTAATAAAGAAATTAATAAGAAAAATTTTAAATTTCTTCAAACAAACGGAAATGGAAACACCATATATCAAAGTCTATGGGATTCAGCAAAAGTGTTGCTAAGACGGAAGTTTATAGCAACAAACACCTACGCTAAAAAAAGCAGAAGACTCCAAATAACCTAACCATGAACCTCAAGGCACCAGAAAAGTGAGAGCAAACCAAATCCAAAATTAGTAGAAGAAGAGAAATAACAGAGATCAGGAGACCAGAGCAGAAATAAATGAAATTGAGTTGAAAAAAAAAATACCAAAGATCAATGAAACAAAAAATTATTTCAAAAACATAAACAAAATCCACAAACATTTAGCTAGAATTTTAAAAAGATCAAAATAAATAAAATCAGTAAACAAAAAAGGAGACATTACAACCAATACCACAGAAATACAAGGGATCATTAGGGACTACTACGAACAACTACACAGCAACGAACTGGAAAACCCAGACGAAAGGGATGAATTCCTGGATACAAACACCCTGCAAGACTGAGCCATGAAGAAATGGAAAAACTTGAACAGATCGATAATAAGTAACAAGATCAAAGCAGTAATAAAACGTCTTTCATCAAAGAAAATCCCAGGTCCTGATGGCTTCACTGCTGAACTATCAACAGTTAAGGAAGAACTAGTATCAACTGTACTCAAACTATTCAAAAAAACTGAAGGGGGGAACACTTCCAAAGTCACTGTATATGGCATTATCCTCCTACAAAAACCAGACAAGGATACGGCAGAAAAAGAAAACGACAGGCCAATATCCCTGATGAACACAGATGCAGAAATCCTCAACAAATGACCAGCAACCCAAATTCAACAACATGTTACAAAGATCATTCACCACGATCAAGTGGGATGTGTCTCAAGGTTGCAAGGATGGTTTAACATATGCACATCAATAAACATATAACATTAAACAGAACCAAGGAAAAAAAACAATCATTTCAACAAATGCTGAAAAAGCATTCAATAAAATTCAGCATCGCTTCACGATAAAAGCTCTCAGCAAACTGAGTATAGAAGGAACACACCTCAAAACAATAAAGGCCACGCATGACAAGCCCACAGCCAACAGTATATTGAACAAGGAAAAACAGCTTTTCTCCAAGATCTGGAACAACACACAGATGCCCATTTCTACCACTTTTATTCAACAGAATACTGGAAGTCCTACCCAGAACAATTAGGCAAGAGAAAGAAATAACAGTCACCCAAATTGGAGAGGAAGAAGTCAAAATTATCCTTATTCACAGATGACAATCTTATATTGGGAAAAACTGAAAGACTCCACCAAAAAACTATTAGAACTGATAAAAAGGTTTCAGTAAAGTTGCAGAATTCAAAACCAACATAAAAAAATCAGCAGCAGGTAATCGGAAAAAGAAATCAGGCCAGGCACGGTGGCTCACGCCTGTAATCCCAGCACTTTGGGAGGTCAAGGCAGGCGGATTACCTGAGGTCAAGAGTTCGAGACCAGCCTGACCAACGTGGAGAAACCCCATCTCTACTAAAATTATAAAAAATGAGCCAGGCGTGGTGGCACACGCCTGTAATCCCAGCTACTTGGGAGGCTGAGGCAGGAGAATCGCTTGAACCCAGGAAGCGGAGGTTGCGGTGAGCCAAGATCATGCCATTGCACTCCAGACTGGGCAACAAGACCGAAACTCCATCTCAAAAAAAAAAAAAAGAAATCAAGAAAATCCCATTTATAATAGTTACAAAAATATAAAATACCTAGGAATACATCTGACCAAAGAAGTGGAAGATCTCTACAAGGAAAACTATAAAACACTGATAAAAGAAATTGAAGAGGACACATAAAAAATGGAAAGATATTCCATGCTTATCAGTCAGAAGAATACTGTTAAAATGTCACCACCCAAAGCAATTTACAGATTTAATGCAATCGTTATCAAAATAGCAATGACACTCTGCAAAGAAATAGAAAAACAATCCTAAAATTTGTATGGCACCACTAAAGGCCCCAAACAGCCAAAGCAAACCTGAAGCAAAAAGAACAAAGCTAGAGGCATCACACTACCTGACTTCAAAATATTCGTAGTAACCAAAAACAGCACGCTACTGGCATAAAACACATACACAGAACAGTGGAACAGACCAGAGAACCCAGAAATACATCCACACATTTACAGCCAACTCATTTTCGACAAAAGTGCCAAGAACATACACTGGGGAAAGGACAGTCTCTCCCATAAAAGGGTGCTGGTTAAACTGGATAACCACAGGCAGAATGAAACTAGACCCCATCTCTCACAATATACAAAACCAAATCAAAAGGGATTAAAGACTTAAATCTGGCCGGGTGCGGTGGCTATTACAGGCCAAGGCAGGTGGATCACGAGGTCAGGAGTTCAAGACCAGCCTGGCCAAGATGGTGAAACCCCATCTCTACTAAAAATACAAAACTTAGCCAGGTATGGTGGCGGGCACCTGTAGTCCCAGCTACTTGGGAGGCTGAGGCAGAGAACTGCTTGAACCCAGGAAGCAGGGGTTGCAGCGAGCCGAGATCGTGCCACTGCACTCCAGCCTGGGTGACACAGTGAGACTCCTTCTCAAAAAAAAAAAAAAAAAAGACTTAAATCTAAGACCTGAAACTTCAAAACTGCTAGAAGAAAACGTAAGGGAAACGCTTCTGGAAATTGGTCTGGGCCAGATTTTTTTTGTATAAGACCTCAAAAGCACAGGCAACAAAAGCAAAAATAATAATAATAATAATAGGCAAATGTAAAAAAATTTACATCAAGCTGAAAAGCTTCTGCACAGCAAAGGAAACAATCAGCAAGCCAGGCATGGTGGTACGTGCCTATAATCCCAGCTACTTGGGAGGCTGAGGCAGGAGGATCTCTTGAGCCCAAGAGTTCGAGGCTGCAGTGAGCTGTGATCGCACCACTGCACTCAGCCTGGACGGCACGGCAAGACCCGAAGCAAGAAACGAAACTATCAAAGCACTGACAAGATAATCTACAGAATAGGAGAAAATATCTGCAAACTACTCAACAAGGAATTAATAACCAGATTATATAAGCAATTCAACTCAACAGCAAAAAAAACCACATAACTATTTAAAAATGGACAGAAGATCTGAATAATTATTTCTCAAAAGAAGACATACAAATGGCCAACAAGTGTATGAAAAAATGCTCAACATGACTAATCACCAGAGAAATGCAAATCAAAACCACAATGAGATTTCATCTCACCCTAGTTAAAATGGCTTTTATTAAAAAACACAGAGAATAGCAGATGCTGTTGAGGATGTAGAGAAAGGGGAGCTGTCGTACACTGTTGGTGGGAATGTAAGTTAGTACAGCTACTATGGAAAACAGTATGGAGGTTCTTCAAAACACTACAAATAGAACTGCCATAGGATCCAGCAATCCCACTACTGGGTATAGACCCAAAAGAATGGAAATCAATATACTGAAGAAATACTGCACTCCCATGCTCACGGCAGCACTACTCACAATAGCCAAGATATGCAATCTACCTAAGTGTCCATCAAAGGATGATGGATACAGAAAATGTGGTACATAAAACACAATGAAATATTAGCCATAACAAAGGACGAAATCTTGTCATTTGCAGTAATACAAACAGAACTGGAGATCATTCTGTTAAGTGAAATAAACAGGCACAGAAAGACAAATAATGCATGTTCTAACTCAAATGTGGGAGCTAAAAACGTGGACTTCATTAAGACAGAGAGCAGACTGGTGATTACCAGAGGTGAGGGGAAGAGGGGATGGACAGAGGTTGATTAATGAATAGTTCGGTAGAGTGACTTCAGTTAACAGGAATCTACAGGATATTTCAAATACCAGAAGAGAGCAATTCAAATGTTTCCAGCATGAAGATAAATGTTTGGGATGATGGATATCCCAATTACCCTGATCTGATCATTACACATTGTATGAATGCATCAAAATATCATAGGTACCCTGAAAACATCTACTTTGTATCAAAAGATAAATCTTAGCATTAAAAGTTTAAAAAAGAGTTCAATATAAATCTTACAAAACACTGTAAACTACAAAACACTGCAAAGAAAAACTAAAGACCTAAATAAATGAAGAGATACACTATATTCACGGGTCAGAGACTCAGTGTTACAATATTGTCAATTCTTCCCCAGACTGACCTATAAATTCAGGGGAATCTGCCACCCGGCCTCAAGAAACATAGGGATTTTTGTAGAAACTGACAAAGTGACTGAAAAATGCATGAGAATACAAAGAACCAGGAAAAGACAAAGCAATTTTGACAAAGAAGAGTGGGGGCTACCAGCACTGCCTGATTTCAAATCTCATATTAAATTAGAAGCAGTTACCAAGACGGTCGGTCACACAGAAAAGTGACACAGTTAGAGTCCACAAACAGACCCACGTATATGGACAACCGATTTGCGACAAAGATGCAAAGACAATTCAGTGGAGAAAAGACAGTCTTTGCAACAAATGTTTCCGGAACAACTGGTTCTCCATGTGCAAAAAAAAAAGAACTTCAATCTGCAGCTTGTACCATATACCAAAAAATCAGAAAGGATCATAGCCCTAAATGTAAAACCTAAAACCATCTATCTTCAATGAGGAAACCCTTGTGACCCTGGTTTAAGCAAAGATTTCTTAGATATGACAACAAGAGTACTCTGGAAAAGATCTAGCTGATAAACTGGACTGCATGAAAATTAACAATTCTACTCCTCGGAAAACACTGTTAAGAGGGCTGAAAAGACAAGGCACAGACTTAAAGTATTTACAAACCGTATCTCTGATTAAGGACTTGTATCCAGAATATATTAGAAAAAGGTTACAGGCTGGGCATGGTGCCTCATGCCTATAATCCTAATGCTTTGGGAGGCTGAGGCGGGCAGATCCCTTGAGCCCAGGAGTTCAAGACCAGCCTGGGCAACATGGGGAAACCCTGTCTCTACAAAAAATACAAAAATCAGCTATGTGTGGTGGCACACGCCTGTAGTCTCAGCTACTTGGGAGGCTGAAGTGGGAGGATCGCTTGAGCCCAGGAGGTCAGGCTGCAGTGAGCTGAGACTGTACCACTGCACTTCAGCCTGGGTAACTGAGACCCTGTCTCAAAAAAAAAAAAAAAAAAAAGATTAAAACTTAGCAATAAGGAAAGAAACAACTCAGTTAAAAAAAAAAAAAGGGAAAAGGATTTGAACAGACATTTCCCCAGAGAGGGATGACAAATAAGCACATGAAGATGCTCAACGTCCCTGTCATCAGGGAAATGCAAATTGAAATGCTATGCGACACCCCTACACGCCCGCCCATCAGACAGGCCAAAGTTAAAGACTGATCTTAGAGAAACTGAAGGACTCATTCCCTGCTTGCCAGCATATAAAACAGTGTAACTACCTTGGAAAACAATGTGGCGGTTTCTTAAAAACTCAAACATATGCCTCCCCTATGATCCAGCCACTCTACTCCTAGGTATTAACCCAAGGGAAACGAAAGCCCGGATCTACACAAAGACCTGTCGGTACATGAATGTTCACAGCAGCTTTATCTGCAATAGCCAAAACCTGCAAACAACCCACATATCCATCAACGGGTGAAGGGACAGACTGCAGCGCACCTGGACACTGAAACCGCCTGGCAACAAAAAGGATGAATGACGGACAACACACGACGACACACGGGGATCACACAACAATCGTGCCGAGTGACAGATCAACAAGAATGCACATCCTGTGTGATTCCATCTACGTGGAATTCTAGAAAACCCAAAGCAACCTACAGGGACAGTAGACGGCTGCCTGGGCTCAGGGAGGGGCAGGAAGGTGTGATCACGAAGGAGCACAGGGACTGGGGGTGACGGGAACGCTCATTTCCTTGATTTCACGAAGGAGGAGCAGGGACTGGGGGTGACGGGAACGCTCATTTCCTTGATTTCACGAAGGAGGAGCAGGGACTGGGGGTGACGGGAACGCTCGTTTCCTTGATTTCACGAAGGAGGAGCAGGGACTGGGGGTGACGGGAACGCTCGTTTCCTTGATTTCACGAAGGAGGAGCAGGGACTGGGGGTGACGGGAACGCTCGTTTCCTTGATTTCACGAAGGAGGAGCAGGGACTGGGGGTGACGGGAACGCTCGTTTCCTTGATTTCACGAAGGAGGAGCAGGGACTGGGGGTGACGGGAACGCTCGTTTCCTTGATTTCACGAAGGAGGAGCAGGGATGGGGGGTGACGGGAACGCTCGTTTCCTTGATTTCACGAAAGAGGAGCAGGGACTGGGGGTGACGGGAACGCTCGTTTTCTTGATTGTGTGTTGCTTTCACAGACGTATAGCCATACTCCCGAACTTGTCCAACTGGACGCTTTAAACGATGTGCAGGTTACCGTGTTTATAATACCTTTATAATGCTGGGGGTTTTTTTGTTTGTTTTTTTTTTTTAAATGAGGTGACTAGGAGGAGGGGCCCCAGCTGCCCTGCATTCACTGCACTCACCCAAAGCGCTGGTGTTTGTTGAGGGTGTACAGCAGGTAGTCAGCCATGGTCTCCTCCCCGACCAGGTGGTCCAGCACCGTTCCTGTGGAAGCAGCAGCCGAGGTGAGCACTGGAAACAGCCACATCTATGTTCCTGCCAAGTTCAAACACATCCCTTCCAGTCCTAGCCCAAAGACACCGTGCCGTGAGGAAGAGGCCAGCCACTGACAAAGACACTAACCAAGAGGACGGCACTCGGCTGTGGTCCCGGCCCCCACTCCTGCCTGGCACCTGCGACCAACCTCTCTGCCCTGGTCCGTCAAATGGGGAAAGGGAAGGCCACTCATGGGGCAGGGTGGAATGGTGACCAGTGCCTGTCAGCTGTGCACTATTACAGCTCTCACACTAAGCTTCGAGGAAGGTCTGGCAGCAACCAGGTCAAAGGCAGTAACAACTCCCGTCTAGGGGCCCTGTGCCAAAGCCAGCCCTAAAGGTGGGGTGGCAGGGGCCCCGGTCCCAGCCCCAGCCCCAGCCCCAGCCCCGGCTCACCACACAGGGCCAGCTTCAGGCCTGTCTCCACACTTTCAATCCGAGGAGCCAGCACGCCAGGAGTGTCCAACAGGAACATCAGGGGCCGCTCAGAGACCTGTGTGGGCACAGAGGGCATGATCAGGCCGCGGTGGCAGCCTCCCACCCAGGTGGGCCACTCAGGAAGCCTGGGCAGCCCCTGGCACCCAATGCTCCGAGGAAGGCCTCAGGGACCCAACCCCATGGCAGCGTCACTCTCACCAAGCTCCAGGGTTCCCCAGAGGATCTAATTCCCACTTAATTTGGAGAATAAATAAAAGCGTCAGGTCCCAACAGCTTGTCTTCTGCTCCCAAGGAGAACACAAGGAAGGGAGTGGAGGGTGGGGCGGGGGGCGCCACACTCAGGTCTGTCCTGACCACTGCATGGCCCTGGACAGTGGCCTCCTCATCTGGAAATGGGGAAAACAGCGTGCCTTCCCCAAAGGTTTGGCGCAAAGACTATGACGACTGTGGAATAAGGGCAGGGGCAGTGCCTGCCCCGGGGGTGCTCAGCGGGGACACTGAGTGGAGGGGAGGGAAGCGTGGTCAGCAGCCGGAAGCCACACAGAGGTCGGCAGGTGCCAGACGCCTGCAGAGCTCTTGACAGAGTGCTGGGCCTGGCCCCTGAGGACTCCACCTGAATTTTGGACATCACAGCTCTGGTGATCCCAGGCTCGCCACCCACCCTGGTGGCTTTCCCTGTAGGAAAAGGAGAAAAGGAGGCTCAAATGTATACTAAACACAGAAGCTGCAGAACAAGTAGGGAGACGTATGTAACAAACACATCTGACCAGCCAAGCAGGGAGACTATGTAACAAACACAACTTACCAGCCAAGCAGGGAGACTATGTAACAAACATATCTGGCCAAAATGGAAACTAAAAGCCAGATGAGCTTCCCAAGGCTATAATTTGTTTCACTTTCAGTCACAAACCAGCTCACAGCAAGGGCACTTTCCAAGCCACACAGAGACTGAGATTCTTCAACAAATGCACCAGAACCTAACTCCCCAGGACTGGAAAGGCACTGTCAGACTGCGGAGGTCAGACCTGAGCTGCTCCTTCCACGCAGTCCCCCACCTCCCTCCTGGACCCACCCCTGCACCCCAAGGTCAGCCTGCCTCCCACAGCACTGTCCACAGGCGACTGGCTGCTCTAGGACCCAGCTCAGGGTGTGTCCCAAGGAGGCCACTCCACTGTGGACAAACAACCCAAGAATAAAAAACACAAGTGTCCATCCAGATGAATGGACAAGACAGGATGTGGTCTGTACACACAACGGGGTGATCAGCCTTAAAAAGGAATAAAATTCTGACACTCAGGACAACACAGACGAACCTTGAGGACATCACGATCGGTGACATCAGCCAGTCACAAAAGGCCAAGTACTGTGAGTCCACTTGGAGGAGGCAGTTACAGTCATCGAATTCACAGACAGAAAGTGGAACGAGGGGTGTAGGAGGCTGGGGGAGTGACTCTTTGTATTTACAGAGTTTCATTTTCAGGTAACCAAAATATTTGAAAATAGTGGTGCTGGCTGCATAACCCTATAAATGCACTTAATACCACTGATAAAAAATAATACGCTTAAAAATAAACTTAAAAGAATAAATGACTGTAACAATGCTCCAATTAGCACCAAAAACACCCTCTCTGTAAAATAACAGTTCACCGTAGTTTAAAGCCTTCAGATTTGCACATCATGAATGGGTTTGTTAATAAATGCCTTATTAATATGAAAAATGAAGCCAACAAGGACTTGAATTAAACTTGAAAATACTTAAGGAAAAGAGCCCACGGGGCAGTGAAGGGTGCTCGGGGCTCCTGCTTTGAATCAGAGTCTGAGAACAGGCACAGAGGGAGGAAAGGAGCGCCTGCGACTCCGGAGTCCAGGAACCCTCCAGCAAAGGCAAGGCGGACGCCATGGAGGAATGGCCTTGCAGCCTCCCTGCCTGATAATCCAGCCCCGTCTACTTCACACGCTTTGTATTCTCTGGATCAAAGGGATTTTTTTTCTTTTCTTTTCTTTTTTTTTTTGAGACGGAGTCTCGCTCTGTCGCCCAGGCTGGAACGCAGTGGCACAATCTCAACTCACTGCAAGCTCCGCCTCCCGGGTTCACGCCATTCTCCTGCCTCAGCCTCCTAAGTGGCTGGGACTACAGGTGCCCGCCACCACACCCACCTAATTTTTCGTATTTTTAGTAGAGACGGGGTTTCACCGTTTCAGCAAGAATGGTCTCAATCTCCTGACCTCATGATCCGCCCGCCTCGGCCTCTCAAAGTGCTGGGATTACAGGCGTGAGCCATGCACCCGGCCAAAGGGATTTAAATAAATGAACAAATATCAAAGTTTAGAAAAGCCATCTTCATGTTAAAGATTTTAAAAGAGAGAAAAATTAAGTGTGAAATTCACAGAACGACCTGGTCCCACTGTTCAGCCCTCCTGTGAACTGGACTGAACGAGACAAGATGTGCTCTGGGGCTGCGGGGTCAGCAGAAGACTGGCAGTGCTCCTCGGGCACGTCCCCTCCAAGAAAGATGGTGGCATCAGCACATCAGCCACACGCGCCAGTACCTTTCCTGAGGTGATCAGCCGCACGCGCCAGTACCTTTCCTGAGGTGCTGCCTCCGGAGGGAGTTGATGAGGGAGGACTTGCCCACGTTGGGGACCCCAATGACCATGATACAGTACTCCAGGTTCTGCGCAGGCAGAGAGAGGGGTCACAGGGCCCACCGTGGCCGCTAGAGCCTGAGACTCTGCAACCCCACCCAGGCAAGGGGACCCCAGGCCAGGTCAGCTCAGGGAAGAAGGGAGGTTAACGCCGAGGCTCTGCCCACCCAGCGGGGACGGCCTCGGCCCTTTCCACTGAAGAGAATGAGAGGACAAAGGAGGGGCCTCCCTGCCTGGGGCGCTGCGCCTTCTCCTTGGAGAGGCCAGGCAGGAGGGGCTGGCCCATCCCACGCCCGCCTCCCACTCCCAGCTCTGGGCCCCACCAACCAACCTCTTTTCGGTGGTAGCGGTGGCTTCTCCCAATCAGTTCAGTGACCATCGGGATGATCTGCAACAAACACCCACTCATGGAGCCACCCCAGGTCGGACGTCTGTGCACTGACCCGCTCCTTCTGCCACCTCAGAACAGGATTAGGGATTCCAGTGTCTCCACTTTCACATATCCGTTAGGAAAACAGAAACCTCCTATCTGGAATTCTACCCAACATTTCATAGGCAAACTGGGCGTCACCCTTCATCTGGAGGTAGCACACCAAGTATCCGGTGTTGGGAAACTGGAGTTCTGTCCAGGTCACAGATGTCAGACTGAGCTCTGGGGCCGGGGACCACCTATGCCCGTCCCCTCCCATCAAAAACAAGCAGGGCAGACCCGGGGCTTCAGTGACAGCTGTAACTACCTTTTAATGAAGAAACACATCAAGCCAGAAAATTCTACCACATACAACTGGAAACATGAGCTACCTGAGTCTCCAAAAGACTCTGACCACCTACAACCCTGGAATGCGTCTACAGCCTGACCTTGTGCCCTCAGTACAGGGAGACCCACTTGCCCCAGGAGATCGCATCCGTGTGTGGCAGCTGGAAACCAACACCTAGGATCTTTTCCAAAGCTCTGCTTCTTACTAAAGCATAAAACAGTTTATAATGCTCCTCGAACCTACTGAAGCAGAAGCGTCAGAGAGAGCACAGACGAAAAGCCTACCTGCTTGACATTTTCATCCTTTACACAGTTGGTAAAAATGACATTTTTTAGGCCTTCTCCTTCTAAGTGTTGCATAATTTTCTGAAAGACACAAAACATTTCTATGTTACTTTTTTTACTGGAGTCTTGGCTCTGTCACCCAGGCTGGAGTGCAGTAGCACAATCTCGGCTCCCTGCAACCTCCGCCTCCCTGGTTCAAGCGATTCTCATGCCTCAGCCTCCCAAGTAGCAGGGATTACAGGCATGCGCCACCACGCCCAGATAATTTTTGAATTCACTGGCCTTAACATGCAGTGAAACTAGTGCAAAGCAGTATCATATTTCTAAACATCAGTGCTGTTAATCATCTGACCTAAAGTATGACTGATGTTTAAATCAACAAGTCCTTCACTGATTCAGCTGGTTTTATTTAGCTGTCCACGAAGATGACACGGATGGAGAGATCAAACATAAGACACACACCTGAAGCCACACACTCTGGGTAGTAAATGTACTTGGGTGTCCCTGCTCAGGGAGGCAGAAGGCAGGGCCACCCAGGGGCAAGTCTACCTCTCTCCCGATTCTTCAGAAGCACTGGCCTTTCTCTGACCAGGTCAGACACTGCTGTGCCCTATACTAGACGGCCACCCACCAGTCTACAAAAAGTCACATTTTCAAAGGCAGGAGTTGCCACTGATATGACGTAAAAGTACCAACTAGTGAAAACACTTGCGATGATTTAAAAAAAAAAAAAAAACAGGCTGGACGCAGTGACTCACGCCTGTAATACCAGCACTTTGGGAGGCCGAGGCGGGCGGATCATGAGGTCAGGAGATTGAGACCATCCTGGCTAACACAGTGAAACCCCGTCTCTACTAAAGATACAAAAAATTAGCCGGGCATGGTGGCGGGCGCCTGTAGTCCCGGCTGCTCAGGAGGCTGAGGCAGGAGAATGGCGTGAACCCGGGAGGCAGAGCTTGCAGTGAGTCAAGATTGCGCCACTGCACTCCAGCCTGGGCGACAGAGCAAGACTCTGCCTCAAAAAAAAAAAAAGAAAATAAGACACAAGACAAAGAGATAAAAGAAAAGACAGCTGTGCCTGGGGGACCACTACCACCAAGATGCAGAGACCGGTAGTGGCCCCAAATGTCTGGCTGCACTAATATTTATTGGATACAAAGCAAAAGGGGCAGGGTAAGGAGTGTGAGCCATCTCCAATGACAGGTAAGGTCACGTGGGTCATGTGTCCACTGGACAAGGGGCCCTTCCCTGCCTGGCAGCCAAGGCAGAGAGAGAGGGAGAAAGAGAGACAGCTTACGCCATTATTTCTGCTTATCAGAGACTTTCGGTACTTTCACTAATTTTGCTACTGCTATCTAAAAGACAGAGCCAGGTGTACAAGATGGAACATCAAGGCGGACTAGGAGCGTGACCACTGAAGCACAGCATCACAGGGAGACAGTTAAGCCTCCGGATAACTGCGGGCAGGCCTGACTGATGTCAGGTCCTCCACAAGAGGTGGAGGAGTAGAGTCTTCTCTAAACTCCCCTGGGGAAAGGGAGACTCCCTTTCCCGGTCTGCTAAGTAGCGGGTGCTTTTCCTTGACACTGACGCTACCGCTAGACCACAGTCGGCTTGGCAACGGGCGTCTTCCCAGACACTGGCGTTACCGCTAGACCAAGGAGTCCTCTGGTGGCCCTGTCTGGGCATAACAGAAGGCTCACACACTTGTCACGTCTCACTATGTCCCCTCAGCTCCTATCTCTGTATGGCCTGGTTTTTCCTAGGTTATGATTATAGAGCAAGAATTATAATAATATTGGAATGAAGAGTAATTGCTACAAACTAATGATTAGTAATATTCATATACAATCATATCTATGACCTATATCTAGTATAACTATTCTTATTTCATATGTTTTATTACACTGGAAAAGCTCGTGTCCTCGGTCTCTTGCCTCGGCACCTGGGTGGCTTGCTGCCCACAATGCGCACTCACTGACCACTCGGGCTCTGGCAGCACAACCTGGCCACTTCCCACAGGAGACGTGCACTCCCTGGGTGTCCAGGTCACGAACCACACATTAGATGGGGGCACGCCATATGAGAAACGATGCTGGCACGCTTCTGCAAAGCAAAGGGCTGTTTCTAAAGCAGAGCCTGCCTGGGCAAACTGACAAGTGTGCGTCCGGCAACTCTTCCGTTAGAACAAGCGACCTCGGGAAAACACAGCCACACTGCTGAAGGCGTCTGAGAGAAAGGCCTTTACCTGCTGCTCTGTAAGATCCGCCAAGTCCATCTTGTTGAGGACCAGCAAGTGAGGCTTAAGCCCAAGGGTTTCCTGAAACAGAGGGTTGCGGCCTGAAAGTGGGATGTGGCAAAATTAAGGTAAAAATTCCTCCAAAGCTTTACCAGCCAACCAACTTTTTTTCTTGCCATCAGTGAACGAATCATCACATCCTGCCAATTCATTCCTCAAGTACAGGAGAAAAGCCCCAGTTGGCAGGAACATTTAAACAGTTTCATAGCCCATCTAGAGGATTCCACTGCTGCACCGTACCGTCAGGCTTGAGTGACGCAGATATATGTATTAACAATGAAGTTTCAAAGACACGCAGTCTGGACCCCACATCACAGATTCTGATTAACTGGTCTAGAAAGGGGCCTCGCAATTCATATTTTTAAAAGCCTCCCCAGGTAATTCTAATGTGTAATATGACTTCAGGCAGAGGGGCCTCCCCTGCTCTGTGAAAGGATATCCGGGCATCGTGGACCTCGATGATACAGTCCACCAGCTTCAGGCTGCTCTGCATCTTCTTCAGCCCTGGAAAACAGAAGGACGCCTCAGCGAAGGGGCTCACAACCTTTCTAGAGTGATCGATTCAAGCTGAACCGTCCAGAATGACACGCCACCATAAATAACCTAAAAAGACTATATCTGAGGGAAGCGTACTAAGTAATGGTAACAGATAACATCCGCTGAGCGCCTCCTCCAAGGTCCGCACCCTCGGAGTGGGAGACTGGGAGGCACCCTGCCACAGGGTGGGCCATGTGTCAAAAGCCAGATGCGGTCTTCACCACCTGACTCATGGCTGACTCTGGGTGGAATATTTAACGTGCATGGGTCGCTTTTTTGTTTTCTGAGACGGAGTCTTGCTCTGTCACCCAGGCTGGAGTGCAGTGGCACGATCTCGGCTCACTGCAACCTCCGCCTGCCAGGTTCAAGCAATTCTCCTGCCTCAGCCTCCCGAGTAGCTGGGACTACAGGGACGCGCCACCATGCCGGGCTAATTTTTTGTATTTTT
This sequence comes from Homo sapiens, assembly GCF_000001405.40. NCBI lineage: Eukaryota > Metazoa > Chordata > Mammalia > Primates > Hominidae > Homo > Homo sapiens. The sequence continues at coordinate 133,395,231 of NC_000010.11, read as the reverse complement.
AGTAGAGACACGGTTTCACCATGCTGGCCAGGATAGTCTCGATGTCCTGACCTCGTGATCTGCCCACCTCGGCCTCCCAAAGTACTGGGATTACAAGCGTGAGCCACCGGGCCGGGCCCTTCCACGGGTCTTAATCTGGGCTATAACACAGAGTAACACTGGCTCATTAGGCCCCTGCTACCTCGCGGGGATGATGACGATAGTCCCCTAACCAGGAATACCACACACAACCAAGATAACAAAGCTTCCAGCTTTCTTCCCCTCCAGTGTTATCCGAAGACCGAGGACACAGCCTCAGTCACCCACACGGGCCCTTCTTCCCCCTCGGCCCCCAGTACACGCGGAGCCGACGCAGGAGTGGCCATCACAACACCTAGACGGGCTGGGCTGGCCCCAGAGGTCTTCTTGGGGCCGAATTGTGACAAACAGTAAGAATTACCAAAGACGTTAAGCAGGAGAACGACTCAAGATACCAGTTAAAACTGAACAGGTGCCTTCATACCCACTGTTTCATTTAGTCCCCAAAAGACTCAGAAAAGTCTATCTTGTCAAGAACATGTGGAAACGGAGGCTTCGGGGGATTAAAAGGGCAGAAGGAACTTGCTGGGAACAGAGGACAGGGGCGGCGGGCCAGAGGTAGGAGGTCAAGCAGGCCCTGGGTCCGAGGCTGCGCCGCGGGGGCACTCGCGGGAACGGGCCTCTCCCGCAGCTGCGCAGGGGAAGGGGTCCCGGCGGCTCCGGGAGCGGGTGAGAGCGGGGAAGGAGGGGAGACAAGGGAGGAGGGGCGGGGCCAGCCCAGAACGACCGGGAGAAGCAGGCGACGGCCGAAACCGGGGTGGGAGGGAAGCAGAGGCGCCGCGGCCGTAGGCATGACCTTGCCCCTCCCCGCCGTGCCTCACCCTTGGCCATGTGGCCCGGGAACCAGCGCGCCACGTCGCGACCGCACAGGGGGAAGTTCTCCCGCCAGGCGGCCTGGGCGGCGCTGCACAGCGCGCGCGGGGTCAATCTCATGGCGGCACCGTCCCCGGAAACGCTCCCGCAGCTGACCTCCTCTGCGCCGCTGCGACCCGCCTCTGAGGTTCCGGCGCTGCGGGCCTCCGGCACTGCGGGCTTCCGGCGCTCCAAGGGGCCGCACCACGGCCTGCGCGTGCGCACGACGTTGCCTCCGCCTCCGGCGAAGCCCGGAGTGGGCGGGGCCCGGGCCCAGAGGGAGGGACGAATGGTGGGTCGAGCGTCGGGGCGGGACTGCGAGGAGACCCGGGGGGACGGGGAGGTTCCTGGGTTTTGTGGGTTTAAGTAATTCGCAGATTTATTAACATTCATTAAATATTAAAAATCATCGTTCTCCCTTAAGCATATCCTGAGTATAAGTGTAAAAATTTAGCAATCTCTTTTTACAATTTGGTTAAAATCTCTCAAATACTTTAAATTTACCTTATAAATGTAATCTCTTCATTTTCTTTTTAAGTACTTCAGGGTTTTTGTTTGTTTTGTTTTGTTTGAGACGGAGTCTCCGCTCTGTTGCCCAAGAGTGCAGTGGCACGATCTCGCTCATTGCAACCTCCAACTCCTGAGTTCAAGGGATTCTCCCACCTCAGCCTCCGGAGTAGCTGGGATTACTGGCGCCTGCCACCACGCCGGCTGATTTTGTATTTTTAGTAGAGATGGAGTTCCACCATGTTGGCCAGGCTGGTCTCCAACTCCTGACCTCAAGTGATCTACCTGTCTCGGCCTCCCAAAATGCTGGGATTACAGGCATGAGCCACCGCGCGCAGCCTCAAGTACTTCAGGGTTTAATATAACAAACTGTTTCCAAATACTGACTGCAGTTCTGCTAAATTAAACCGATTAATTAATGAGGCTGAAATATTCTCCACTGTCCAAGACTAGACATAAATATAGTCGGATTTCAACTCTAAATCAGCAGTCAGCAACTGCTCAATTGCACACTGCGTTACAAGAGTATTACTCTACCGGAATTTTTATTTTTGAGACGGAGTCTCGCTCTGTCGCCAGGCTGGAGTGCAGTGGCGTGATCTTGGCTCACTGCAACCTCCGCCTCCCGGGGTTCAAGCAGTTCTCCTGCCTTAGCCTCCTGAGTAGCTGGGACTACAGGTGCGCACCACCACGCCCGGCTACTTTTTTTGTATTTTTAGTAGAGATGGGGTTTCACCATGTTGGCCAGGCTAGTCTCGAACTCTGACCTCAGGTGATCTGCCCACCTCAGCCTCCCAAAGTGCTGGAATTACAGGCATGAGCCATGGCACCCAGCCTCTACTGGAATTTTTTAAACAAGCTACTGAAAATACCAAACATGCTCAAATTCTAAGTACAAAAATATTGCCATGGTTCTGATGTTCTTAAACCACCTAATACCCTAACGCCTAGCTGTAAATATTTTTGGGCATGAGAGAGTGGCCCCTCCGTGGAAGACAGAAGCCTCCCAGGTGGTTTCTGGGCTGAGTGGGGGCAGTCAGGGCCTCCTGCTAGGTCAATGCCCCCAAGCCCCCTCCTCACCAAGCCGGTCCCTCACACCCAGAGGGGGCAGCCTGGGTCTTGCTGCCTTTCTCCCTGGGATACAGAATTGATGAAACCCTAAATGTCAATGATAAAGATTTTTGTACTTTAAGGAAGCTGCATTCCCTCATGGTCCTAGGAGCACAAAACCACAATAAAACCCTGTGGAATCTGAATTTCTCTCCCAGGCGTCTGATGGGCAGGTGTCCCCAGAGAGAACAGTCTGGTGACACAGCAAATGCAGGTGGGGCTGCTGGCTACAGAGGGAGGCTGGGGCTCGGGAGGGTGGGGTCAGGGAACATCCTAGGAGGGGCAATTTGAACAGAGACCAGAGGGTGAGAAGAGAGGAGCCCTGCAGATCCAGGCTGGGGTGGAGGGGCCGGAGAGGGGCCTGGACTCCCAGCACATTCACCCCAATACCACGTGGTACCCCAGCACTGCCCACACCCCAACATCCCCCGGCACCCAGCACACTCACCCCAACACCCCCCAGCACCCAACACTACCCACACCCCAACACCCCCCAGCACCCCAGCACTGCCCCCACCCCAACACCCCCCAGCACCCAGCACACTCACCCCAGCACTGCCCACGCCCCACACACTCCCTGGCTCCCATGGGCTGGGCACCGTTTCTCTTTTCAGGCCTTATTATGTATTCACTTCCTCCAGAAAACCCCCGGCCTCAGGGCAGGGCAGGGCACCCCTCATCTCCCCAGTGCCCTGCGAACCTGTGAAGTGGGCGCCTGATGCAGCATCAGTTGATGAGCAAGAGGAGGGTTGTCAGCTATGCTGTCATCCCAGGCAGCAGCCACGAGAATGCAGGGGCACGAGAAGCAACTACAGGACCCAGAGTTCAGGGAACCCAGAGTGTGGGGCCATGTGTGGTTGTGGGGATTGGAGACACAGGGCCCTGTGCAACCTGGGCCCGGAGCAAGACAAAGACAACAGCAGCAGATGCTGGAGCCCCAAGGCAGGAAGGACAGGACAGCCTCAAGGCAGGAAAGATGGCTCTGGGAGCTGTGGCTGTAACTTGCTTTATGTGTCCAGCATCTCCGTGAGCATCTGGTGTCTCAGCTCAAGTCAACCCTGGCCAGACTCCAATAACAGACACAAGAACTGAGAAGGTGGCCCTGGTTACCAAAAACCAGAGGACCCTCATTAACATCCCCAAATTTCAAGCCAGACTGAAATCTGTCAGAAGAAATGAGGGTCCCAGCCTACCCCCGACACGGGTGGAACAGAGTAGGCTGGGCCCAGCTAGAGCCTGGGCCTGGGCTGCTGCACCTGCGGGGCCCACAGACTGAGGAGGCGGTCGGCCTCCCTCCATCCCGACAGCAGAGCCCCGTGCGTCGTGGAGTAAAACGTGCGATGTGTGGCTTCCCCCGCAAACAGGATCTGGAGCTGCAAAGAAGAGCCAGGGTTAGAATGGGGATGCAATTCAGACAGCAGGGTCTGGGCAAGGAAACACAGAAAATGGCTCACAAGCATCCACCAAGAAGCAGGAAAACAGCTCACACACCTCCACCAACGGACGAGAAAAGGGCTCACGTGTACCCACCAATAGCCAGGAAAACAGCTCACACACATCCACCAACGGGCAGGAAAACAGCTCACATGTATCCATCAACAGCCAGGAAAACGGCTCACACGCATCCACCAACGGGCGGGAAAACGGCTCACACGCATCCACCAACGGGCGGGAAAACGGCTCACACGCATCCACCAACGGGTGGGAAGACGGCTCACACGCATCCACCAATGGGTGGGAAAGGAAGCCACTGCACCCCGCAGCTCAGGTGTGAACAGCTTTTAGAGAAAACAAGGGGTGTAAACACTGAATAGTGATCTGGCCTCAACTCCTGGATCACATATGGGGAGGGTGGGGGAGGGATCTGGGAGTCGGGTGGGCAGAGGAAGAAAGCTACAGCCTTATCTGATGTAATGAGAAGTCAATTAGTAACACCTGAAACTGAAAACTCAAGAAGCAACATTTCCAAGCAGGTTCACTGAAGAGAGACCATGAGCTGATTGGAAAACTGAACAGTGACTAAATATTGGATCATATTGAGGAATGATTATTAATTTTTAAGTGGGTAAATGGTATCATAGTTATATGGTTTTATTTTTATGTTTTCTGAGACAGAGTCTTGCTCTGACACCCAGGCTGGAGTCCAGTGGTGCAGTCATAGCTTACTCCAGCCTCAACTTCCTGGGCCCAAGCCTGAGCAGCTGGGACTACAGGTGCATGCTACCATGCCTGGCTACTTGTGTGTGTGTGTGTGTGTGTGTGTGTGTGTGTGTGGAGACCGACTCTCACTATGTTGCCCAGGCTGGTCTCGAACTCTTGGCCTCAGCAAACCTCCTGCCTAGGCCTCCCAAAGCACTAGGATTACAGGTGTGAGCCACTGCCCTCAGCATCATAGTTAAGTATTTTACAAGGATGTCTTTATCTTTTAGAAACAGGCACCAAAATATCCTGAGGTGAGACAATGTCCTGTGTGAGTCATGCTTAATAAAAAAGGGCGGGGGTGGGCGGGGAGAAGCTTGGCTTAGGGGAAGCCTGGTGGGCACTGAAAGGTTCTCCCTACTTTAGTATGTTTGACATTTTGCACAGGAAATGTATCTCAAAACGTGGTAGCAGAAACATGTTTTTAGAGATGCAGTAAACTTAGCGATGAGAATCAGCTGGGAGCACCGTCTGAGAAGGGCAAAAGGGGCTCCACCTGCCATTTTGGTTTTATTTTCTTTTGTTAGCACTGCAGAATTCTCTGACTTTTTAAGCTGTGTGTGTATAATTCTCACAAAAACAGTACATTTAAAAATTATTCTTAGTTTCAAAAAGAAAATGGCTTCCGAGTCTGGGATCCCAGCCCACCCGCCACTGGCTGGTGCTCCTGCAGCGCCCAGACTCGGCGGGGGCCTCTGCAGCGGGACCCACGCCCCCCGACTGGGGCACGCCACATACCTGGGCGCCGGCGCCGTCTGCAGGGAGGGGCTGAGCCAGCAGGTCCAGGTCGCCCCCAGTACTGCCCACGGCCACGTAGCTGTAGGACCCCCTAGTGTACGGGGCGCTGTGCCAGCGAGACCGCAGGACGCTCTTGGGCGCGGGGAGCCGTGGGTTTCCTGAGCCACAGAGACACTGCATGTTAACCGAGAACTCTCACCCACAGGTCTGCAACTGTTTTTGTCATTTTTAAAGATTGAGCAGTTTAACGTGAAAGATGCTATGCAGGAAGAAAAGTGAGCAGCAGAGTGTGTCAGGAGAGGCTCTTCCTGCCGCCTCTGACCCGAGAGCAGTGGGCTGGGACCCGGGGGCCTCTGACCCGACAGCAGCGGGCCGGGACCCGGGAGCTGTGACAGCAGCAGCTACTGTTTCCGAGCCTTGGGTTCCTCCTCTGTAAAAATCTGATCAAGGACAACGGCATTTATTTTGGTGGCAGAAGTAGGAAGTGTTTGCAAAGTCATTTCAGTTCCTCGGAGGTAAGAACTGTTACTGACCCCACTAACATGAGGAAGGATGGTCCCTGGAGATGTACAGAGTCAGCCAAATTTAGTTTTTCTCTGTTCTGCAAAGTCTAGTTTCTGTTTAGAGATCAACCAGTAACGAGCAGAGGCAGGAACCAGCGTGTGTGGTGAGTACCTACCTGTCACTCTCCGGAGCACTTGGGTGAGACACAGAAGTACTTCTTCATCCGACAGAGTCTCCATGAACTCAGACTCAAGTCCGGCAATGAACCCACAGAGAACGTGGACAGACCTGCATGGAGAAAGAGAGCCCTGGGATGACCAGACCTGCATGGAGAAAGAGAGCCCTGGGATGACCAGACCTGCATGGAGAAAGAGAGCCCTGGGATGACCAGACCTGCATGGAGAAAGAGAGCCCCGGGATGACAGTGTCCAGCCCAGCTCTCCGCCCGCGTTTCTCAGCAAGGAACCACTGATGGAGCAGGGGCCCCAGAGGCACAAAGAGCCACCCCACAGAGCGTCCCTCAGGCAGCAGTTCGCAGAGTGTGGGCGGCAAAGTCCTGGGGGTCCGAAGGCCCTGCCAGGGACCCTCAAGGTCACAGCCATCTTCAGACGCTAAGACAGCATTTGCTGTTTCCACCACGCCGACATTTGCACCTGAGCAAGAGCCAGGGCAGGTAAACCGTCCCTTAGCAGAATCAGGCAGCAACAGGATCCACATGCGCCTACAGGCGTTCCCACCACTGCACATGAGGGTTACAAAATGCTGCTTTTTGCAGCCGTCAAAGAACGAGATCATGTCCTTTGCAGGGACATGGATGGAGCTGGAGGCCATTATCCTTAGCAAACTAACACAGGAACAGAAAAGCAGACAGCACATGTTTTCCCTTTCAAGTGGGAGCTAAATGATGAGAACACACACTGGGGCCTATGGGAGAGTGGAGGATGGGAGGAGGGAGAGGAGCAGGAAAAATAACTAATGGGTACTAGGTTTAATTCCTGGGTGATAGAACTAATCTGTACAACAAGCCCCCATGATACACGGTTAGCTACATAACAAACCTGCACGTATATCCCTGCCTCTGAATATAAAAATTAAAATATATATATTAAAAAATAAATAAAAATGCTGCTTTCACTTGAGAATGTCCTTGATCAAAGGCAGTAAAAGTTACTAATTTTATTAAATCTTGATCCTCGAGTTCATGTCTTTTTAATAATCTGCGTGGAGGGCCAGGCACAGTGGCTCAGGCCTGTAATCCCAGCACTTTGGGAGGCCAAGGCGGGCGGATCACGAGGTCAGGAGTTCGAGACCAGCCTGGTCAATATGGTAAAGCCCTGTCTAATAAAAATACAAAAATTAGCCAGGCGTGGTGGCGGGCACCTGTAGTCCCAGCTACTCGGCAGGTTGAGGCAGGAGAATGGCATGAACCCGGGAGGTGGAGGTTGCGGTGAGCCAAGATCGCGCCACTGCTCTCCAGCCTGGGCGACAGAGTAAGACTCCATCTCAAAAAATAATAATAATCTGCGTGGAGAAGCGGGATCCGCATAGAACACTCCTGCTGCGCGTGGTGCACGGTGGCCGTGGAGGACTCACCTAGCACACGCTATTCCAGGCGGGGCTGGTGCGTCTTTCACAGACAGGCTCAGAACTCAGGAGAGCACCAGTCAGACAAATCATGGTGTGGTATTTGGTGACATTTTCTTGAAAATGAGCAAAGTGTCTCTATCACAGGAAAACAACTAACAAATAGTATTTATAGACAATGACAAAGTTTAAGCTCTCAAGCAAAAACTGCAATTTTAGAAAAGCTTGTTTCTGCCACCAACAGCATAACAGCTTCCCAATCCTGAAAGACTTTTCTGAGATCAGTGGTATGTTAATAAATTTGATTTTTTATATTGTATAATGAAATGTATCAACATTTGGAAGACTACATGAACCAATATATATATATTTTATTTTTTTAAGACATGGCCTCCCTCTGTTGCCCAGGCTGGAGTTCAGTGGCTTGATCACAGCTCACTGCAACCTCCGCCTCCTGGGCTCAAGCAATCCTCCCACCTCAGCCTCCCAGTAGCTGGGACCACAGGCACGCACCACCACATCTGGCTAGCTTTTTGTATTTTTGGTAGAGACTGGGTCTTGCTATGTTGCCCAGGCTGGTCTCGAACTCCTGAGTTCAAGCCATCTGCACACCTTGGCCTCCCAAAGTGCTGGAATTACCGGCATGAGCCACCAAGCCCAGCCTAGTATTTTCCAATGACTAAAGCCATGGATAGATAAAAGATCCATTTAAAGTGCAAGACAGACAAATAGATTTCAGTGTCACAGAAGACAAAAAATTCACTGGTGTGCTCTCCAATTTCATATTTGGCCAACCTTTAAGGAATTACTACTACATCTTGACTTTTGAGGTAGTATCAAAGAATACCCACAATCATTTCAAAAGCTATTTAAATATCACTCCTTTGGCCGGGCGCAGTAGCTCACGCCTGTAATCCCAATACTTTGGGAGGCCAAGGTGGGCAGATCACTTGAGGTCAGGAGTTCGAGACCAGCCTGACCAACATGGAGAAACCCCATCTCTGCTAAAAATACTAAATTAGCCGGGTGTGGTGGTGGGCACCTGTAATCCCAGCTACTCAGGAGGCTGAGGCAGGAGAATTGCTTGAACCCGGGAGGCGGAGGTTGCAGTGAACCGAGATCGAGCTATTACACTCCAGCCTGGGCGACAAAAGCAAAACTCCATCTCATAAATAAACAAATATCACTCCTTCTTCCAACCACATATCCATGTAGATCCACATTTTCTTCCTATGTTTCAACCAAAATAAAACATCACCACAGAATGAATGCAGAGGAGGCCTGAGAACCCAGATGTCTTCTATTAAGTGTAACACTGAAGAGTTTTGCAGAAAAGGCCGGGCGTGGTGGCTCACACCTGTAATCCCAGCACTTTGGGAGGCCAAGGTGGGCGGATCACTTGAGGCCAGGAGTTCGAGACCAGCCTGGCCAACATGGCAAAACCCTGTCTCTACTAAAACTACAAAAATTAGCTGGGCATGGTGGCACACACCTATAATCCCAGCTACTCGGGAGGCTGAGGCAGGAAAATCGCTTGAACCCAAGAGGCAGAGGTTGCAGTGAGCTGAGATCACGCCACTGCATTCCATGCATTCCAGCCTGGGTGACAGAGAGACCTTGTCTCAAAAAAAAAAAAAAAAAGTTTTGCAGAAAAGACAAAACTGCTGCCACCCTTCATTAAATTTTAAGAAAATATTCATTTAAAAATGTTATTTATGCTAACATAGAATAGGTTTGTTACTATCATCTCAAATAATAATTTAATTTATCATGTGGTGACTGGGTGCGGTGGCTCATGCCTGTAATCCCAGCACTTTGGGAGGCCGAGGCGGGCGGATCACGAGGTCAGGAGATCGAGACCATCCTGGCTAACACGGTGAAACCCTGTCTCTACTAAAAATACAAACAATTAGCCGGGCGTGGTGGTGGGTGCCTGTAGTTCCAGCTACTCAGGAGGCTGAGGCAGGAGAATGGCGTGAACCCAGGAGGTGGGGCTTGCAGTGAGCCAAGATTGCACCACTGCACTCCAGTCTGGGGGACAGAGCGAGACTCCATCTCAAAAACAAAAAAATATTTTATTTATCATGGGGTAAATTTACAGATGTGACTCACATAAACAAAAGCTCTTTGAGATCCCCAACCCTTTGCAGGTATATAAAAGGATGGGACAGCTACCACCCCGTGCCACAGACAGGGTCCCACCAAAGCACTCAGGGTCCCACTGATGTCCTAAGCAAGAGAGCACAGGAGGTGGGGCTGGGCCTGGAGCAGGTGGCTCTACACACAGTCACCCACCCGGCTGCCCACCAGCAACCCAGGCCTATCTCAACACCTGGAATGCCAGTTTTCTTTCTTTTTTTTTTTAGACAGAGTTTTGCTCTTGTTGCCAAGGCTGGAGTGCAGTGGCACAATCTCAGCTCACTGCAACCTCTGCCTCCCAGGTTCAAGCGATTGTCCTGCCTCAGCCTCCTGAGTAGCTGTGATTACAGGTGCGTGCCACCACACCGGCTAATTTTTTGTATTTTTAGTAGAGACGGGGTTTCATCATGTTGGCCAGGCTGGTCTCGAACTCCTGACCTCAGGTGATCCACCCGCCTCAGCCTCCCAAAGTGCAGGGATTACAGACATGAGCCACCGCGCCTGGCCGAAATGCCAGTTTTCTCTTCAGTGTGAAGGAGACACACAGGCTTCCCCCGTCACAGGTGCAGGGCTGGTCTGCAGCCTGCAGCCTCCTGCTCCCAGTGGATGGCAACTATGAACCATCTGGCAGGCATGCCCTACATCCCACCCCATCCCGGGTCTTTCAGAACAAGAACTTGGTGCCCCCTCCTGCGGCATCTCTCAGTGGAAACGTGGAATTATTTCTGCCATCTGACTATATCAGGCTGTCTTTGTGTTTTAATCTTGCTGGAAAAGTCAGTCCCTCCATCCCCACATCACTCATGGGATTAACTCCTGAATCGCCACGTGGTCTAGATATGCTGTTTCTAAGAGGGCCAGCCCATACAAGGGAGCCCTTCCTCTGTGGGTCTCCCATTCCATTACTTCTCGGAATGTTTCCTTCAATTATTTCATCCCATTTAAGTATTGTCTCCCCACGTATGGGCAGATGGTGTTTCAAAGTTCTTCTGTATCTACAAGCCCCAGCTCCCTGCAACATTCCAGTAAACACGTTCCCACTGACTGAAGACTGAGCCTGCCTGCAAGTCTACAAACACATTCTGGGCCCTGAGGGACGCTGACAACCCGCATACAGCAGGGCGCCATCTGTCCCCGCAGGGGTCAGGCCCAGGTGCAGCCAGCACCTGGTGGGGGGGCGCTCATGGGAACCCTACCCATTAAACCCCCTAGAAATACCCTGCAGTGAACAGACACACTGCTGCGTCCTCCATCAGATGAAGGCCTATGAGCCAGCCACTCGCAGAACTTCTCAGGGAGCAAACGTACGCAAAGGCAGGCAGGACCACAAAGCCAATGAGCTTCCGGAACCAGGCGTCCTGTAGCTCAGGGGCAGCATCCTCCAGGGGCGACGTGTCCTCCCACACCAGCTGGATCAGCTGGCAGTCTGGCTCCCAGAAGGGCTCCTCAAACTCCAGGAAGATTTTGTTGTTGGTCCCAAAGCCTATCTTCCTGATTGCTTCTGCCTTCTCAGCCGGCAGGGGAGGGTCAAAGAAGGTGTCCAAATGTTCCCTAAGAAAACCTGGAATTCAGAATTGGACTCTTCTTACATCACATAAAGCCCTCCACGGAAGTCCTGTCTGTCCAGACCTTGGATCCAGCAATTTCCCCTGCTGGTGTTTATCCTACAGACACATTCACACAAGCAGTTTTACTTTTTTGTCCTTGTTTTTGAGATAGGGTCTTGCTCTGTTGCCCAGGCTAGAGTGCATGCAGCACCATGATCAGGGCTCACTGCAGCCTTGACCTCCCTGGCTCAGTCCTCCCACTTTGGCCTCCCAAACTGCTGGGATTACAGGCGTGAGCCTCTGTTCCCCACCTTTCACACAAGTGTTTTTTGTTTTTTTGTTTTTTGGGTTTTCTTTTTTTTTTTTTTTTTGAGATGGATTCTCACTCTGTCGCCCAAGCTGGAATGCAACGATGCCATCTTGGCTCACTGCAACCTCCACCTCCCAGGTTCTAGTGATTCTCCTGCCTCAGCTTCCCAAATAGCTGGGATTACAGGCACCCACGACCAGGCCCAGCTAATTTTTCTATTTTTAGTAGAGATGGGGTCTTGCCATGTTGGTTAGGCTGGTCTTGAACTCGTGACCTCAGGTGATCTACCTGCCTCAGCCTCCCGAAGTGCTGGGATTACAGGCGTGAGCCACCGTGCCTGGCCAACACAAGTGTTTTTAAGTGCACATGTAAAACTGCATGAAATAGAAAAAGTGAAGGCCACCTAAATTTCCATCTATGCTTATGAAATAATGACAAGAAAACACTGCGTGGCAAATTAACCCGCTCCTTTTTTTTTGAGACGGAGTTTCGCTCTGGTCTCCCAGGCTGGAGTGCAATGGCACAATCTCGGCTCACTGCAACCTCTGCCTCCTGGGTTCAAGCAATTCTCCAGCCTCAGCCTCCTGAGTAGCTGGGACTACAGGCACCCGACGGCTAATTTTTGTGAACTGGCTCCTTATAAACAAAATGCTCACAGTTGTAGCAATGTATCTACTGACAATGTCCCCGTGATCAGCACTTAGCAGGGCCTGCAAGCACTTACTCCAAACGTGAATGAACAAAGCCACTGGAGGGAAACAAAAAAGACCGCTGTAGATCTATGTGTGCTGATTTGGAAACACTGACAAGTTCTATTAAGAAAAAAACAAAAAACAAAAACAGGCAAACTGAGCAGCAGATTTTTGGTTTTTTTTTTTTTCTGAGACAGAGTCTCACTCTGTCACCCAGGCTGGAGTGCAATGACACCATCTCGGCTCACTGTGACCTCTGCCTCCCCCGTTCAAGCGATTCTCCTGCCTCAGCCTCCCAAGTAGCTGGAATTACAGGTGCCTGCCACCATGCCCAGCTAATTTTTGGATTTTTAGTAGAGACAGGGTTTCATCATGTTGACCAGGCTGGTCTCGAACTCCTGACCTCAGGTGATCCGCCTGCCTCAGCTTCCCAAAGGGCTGGGATTACAAGCGTGAGCCACCGTGCCCAGCCAGCAGCAGATGTTCATGTGTGGACGACGACTGCATCTCTGGGAAACAGCAATGGGGTCTCAGTGCTCATCCCTGCCCCGGGGAGGGCAAAGCCACCCCTTGGAGACAGGAGTTAGGGCTGCGGAGGCTCCTGCTTTTCATCACACACCTGTCAATCACACCTAGATTTCCAAGTGAGTGCTGGCAATCGCTAGCTTTGTGAACTTGGGCAATTAAGTGACTTCTCTCTACTTGCCTAGATGTTCAAATCTGTCATATGTGGGACAATGACAGACACCTCCCAAGGCTGCCTGAGTCAATGAGATAACTCAGGCAGAGACCCACGGCAGCGTGAAACCCGTGGGAAGCAAATGTCCAGTTGACAGCAATTATCCTAGTAACTCTGTTTTCAACCATCTCCACCTTTTATAAAACAGCTTCAAACCACCTCTACTCAAGGACAGATCTAAAGCACCAGATCTAGAATTAAACAGAATTATACACACGGCTCCTTCAACAGGTCACCCCAGGCCTGACCTTCAGACCAGGCCTTTCATGCCTTTTCCTGTCTGCAGCAAAGTGCGGTGTGGTTAATCTCCAAGGCCGTCGCAACCCTAAACGGTTACCTCCAAGCGAGCAGGACGCATACTTACTCGCGTTTTTTCTTACGGTGAAACCCTTAATTCCAAAGCATGTAATTGCTACAAAACATAACAGAATCATTCCTTCCACCTATCTGGAACTTACTAGAACGAAAATGTGAGCTTCGTACACAAGCAAACGCCCCAGAGCCAACTGAGGCAGGGTAAGGGCAGAGGCGGGGGCACTTGGGATGGGGGTTTGGGCTGAAAACCTGACCTACCTAAGGGCACGGTGACGATGACATGGTGCGCCGGGAACCGGTCTCCATCCTCACACTCTACCGACACTGGAAAGGTCTCCCCGGGAAAGGCTGCCTCCTGGAAGGACCCGTTCCAGTGGATGGTCTTCACAGGCTTCTCAAAAACTACAGTGTCCTCCGGCAGGGCGGCCATCATGCAGTTTGTGAGTCCTTGATAGCCCCTAGAAAGACGGAAGTGCTGGTTTCGTAGAGGCCCAGTCCCTGGAAGGGCAGGACTGGTGGAAATACGTGCTCTGAGTTCCCACCCGCATCAAAGGTAGCTGCGGGGAGCTCTCCATCGCTCAGGGCCAGCAAGGAGGTCAGCTCCACTCTGTGGTTTTCCACCTCAAGGATGCTCATACCTGCCCTCCAGGCTGTAAGGGAGGGTTCAGTGGGCACAGAGCACTCAAGGCAATCTGCCGGAACCAGGGCTTCCTCCTTACCACCACAGAGTTCCTGACTCACAAATGCCCATTGCCTGGCCAGGAGCCTTGGGGCCAACACCAGGGGTGACGGGACAGCCCGAGGAGGGTCTCATCTGCACCTGGTACCTGGCAGCCACCCTGCCACAGGGAGAGGGCCTGTCTGGCCCCCTCTGCAGTTGAAGCCCCTCATAAATACAGGAGCAAGAGAAGTCTTTACTCTTCTTCTTTTTTTCTCTTTTGAGATGGAGTCTCACTCTGTCGCCCAGGTTGGAGTGCAATGGCGCAGTCTTGGCTCACTGCAACCTCCGCCTCCCAGGTTCAAGCAATTCTCCTGCCTCAGCCTCCCGAGTAGCTGGGATTACAGGCATGCACCATCACGCCCGGCTAATTTTTGTATTTTTAGTAGAGATGGGATTTCACCATGTTGGCCAGGCTGTTCTTGAACTCCTGACCTCATGATCCACCTGCCTCAGCCTCCCAAAGTGCTGGGATTACAGGCGTGAGCCACCGCACTCAGCCTTACCTTTCCTTCTTTTAAACACTCTCTCTCAGAAATAACTTTTTTGGCTTAAATGAGCAAAACTAGGGAAAGGAGCAACCAGTCTGTCGGAATGGGGAGGACAAATGGTCTCCTGTCCCTCCCATACCCAAGCAAGAGCGGAGCTCAGCCAGCCCCGGTGCCCTGGGGAGCCTGGTGGGAGGACTGGCGGGGCAGGGGCTCAGGCACGCACTTAGAAAAGGTGCAGTCCAGCCCCGGCAGCACGGTATACTCCCCAAAGGGTGCCAGGGCCACCAGGTCCATGCTGTGGGTGCCGCTCACACAGCATTCCAGGTTGAAGAAGGAGTTCAGGACGGCCAGCTTCAGCTTCCTGGTCTCCTCATCCTCTGTCCAGCCGGCCACGTGCTGGCCAATCTCCTTCTTGAGGTACTCCCCGACGCTGGGCACCGGGGTCTCTGCAGCGTGCAGGAACTCCCGGGTCTGGTCTATCAGGCCGTAGAACAGAGTCGCCATCTCCGCCACCAGCTGGAGGCTCACGCTGGCCCCGGAGCTGGCGTAGCTCACGGAGGGCAGGCCCACGTGACCCCCGGTCTCCACCAGCTGGTTCTCCTGGGACAGCTCCTTCTCCCCCAGCAGCCCGTACTCAGCAGCCAGCTGGAAGACGGGGTTACCCCGGGAGGGCCCATGGATCCAGTGCGCGCCCACCTCCACCACGCCACCTGCGAGGGGACAGCAGATGCCACCTGGAGGTCCCTTTCCTAGAAGGGTCACCCCGAGCCCTTCTCCTGGGCCACGCCCACGCTGGCCTTCCCAAGGAGGATGTACCACACTGTCCCCAAGGGCCCTGTGGTCCCCCAGGGCAGGGCCCTGTCAGACCCAGTTTAAGGGGAGCACCTGGGCAGGAGGGCACTTGTCGGGCGGTGTGGACCAGAGGGAGGGGCGCAGGGTGGGCGTACCCCGGGGCTGGGGGGGCCCCCGTGGGGCAGAATCAGGGCGGCCTTGTGGAGCCGTAGGTCGCCTTCCCTGGCCGGCGCCCTCCTGACTAACTCTGAGCCCTGAGTTTCGGGGCGGTGAACTCTGGCGGATTAAGCGAGCGGGGATTCCCTCGGGGAGCCCGGTGAGGCGGCCGGGCAGGTCGGCTGCGCGCAGGGCAGGTTGGGGCCGGCGAGTTCGGGCGCAGCCGGTTGGGTTCCGGGAGGGGCTCCGGGAGGGGCGGTTACCGAAGCAGCGCTCCGAGCGGATGCGGCCCCCGGCGCGGGCCGTGGCCTCCAGGACCCGCAGGTGCGGGAAGGCGGAGTGGCCGCAGAGCCTCTGCGCCGCGCCCAGCCCCGCGATGCCGCCGCCCACCACCAGCACCCGGGGTCCGCCCGGGGCCTCCCCGACGCTGCCGGTCGACTCCATCGCGCGGTCCGGGCAGTCCGAGGGCTTCTGAGTAGCCGGGAGGTCTGGAGCTCTCGGAGGAGGCCGGAGGCGGAGCGAGGGGGCGGGGAGGCGCTGGGAGGGGCGGGGAGGGGCGGGGAGGCGCGGGGAGGCGCGGGGAGGGGCGGGGAGGGGCGGGGAGGGGCGGGGAGGCGCGGGGAGGGGCGGGGAGGCGCGGGGAGGGGCGGGGAGGCGCGGGGAGGCGCGGGGAGGCGCGGGGAGGCGCGGGGAGGGGCGGGGAGGGGCGGGGAGGGGCGGGGAAGGGGCCGGGCCGAGCCCCACAGTGCGCCTCGGCCTCCGCGAGCCTCCGGACTGGGCTCGGGTCTCAGAGGGAAGCGCCCCGCGTGGGAGGGCCCGCGAGGACAGGCGTCAGGGAGCGTCCCGCGCTGCCGGGCGGTGCGCGCGAGCGTCCCCATGGAGGGAGAAGCCGGCCGGCCGGGCGGGCCAGTGTCTCCTCCAAGGGAGACGAGGGCGCAGCGAGCGCTTCCCCCAGGGACCCGCGTCGAGTGCGAGGGCGCAGTGGGTCTGGGGGTGCCACGGTGTCAGGGGTGGGACCTGGGAGAGCTTAACGCGTCCGGAGGGGGGCTGTGAAAGCCTCCAGCATCGCCAGCGAGCCGTCAGTTCGCGTGTGCGCGCGCCTGCGTGTGCGCGTGTAGTCACAGGGCTGCAGGGACACAGGACCAAAGTACAAAGTACACTCGCAAAGTACAAAGTTCAGAAGCCGAGGGCAAGTGCAGAAACGTCCCTCGCCCGGGAAGTTGAGCGCACACCCAGGCACGCCTGTGTTTCTGGAGAATCCCCGGTGCAGGCGGCCGAGTTTTCTGCTGCATCGCAGCCCGCGGGGGTTGGAAAGGCTCCCGCCCTGTTTTCAGGCGCGTCCCCGCCTCCTGAGCCCCGGTCCTCTGCCGAGGGGCCGCGCGCTCCAGTTTGCCAGCGTGAGCTTCACTCTTCGCTCTCGGCGTGGGCCTCCTGAGCCGTGTCTTACTTTCCTTTGATTCCCTCTCGTCCCAGCTGGAGAAAAGGCTCCCGGAAGGGTGACCTGGTGTCGCTGGATTCCACTCCCCATCACTCCCTAGCCAACCCCGCGAGCTGAGCTCCAGGCAGGGAGAGGGGCGGGTGCCTGGGAGTCGGGCTGACTCCCTGGGCGGTGGCGGGCAGGGGTCGAGCGTCCTCTGTCCGTCAGGGGCCCGCAGCACCAGGAGGCGACGCTGGATGCAGTGGCCATCTCCTCCTGCCTCCAGGCCATGGGGAACCCAGGGCGGATCCCGGGTCAGCAGGGCCAGCTGTCCACCAAGCTGACCCACCCGACATGCCAGGACTAAGGAAAGAAGGGCTGCCCCACACCCTTAGTCGGATGGCAAGTGTTTGGGGTGCAGCCCCCGCCACGAGTGTCACCTGTTCTGCCTGAGCAGGCTTCTCTCTTACTCCCTGCTCTTGGGCCTGAAGCAGAGCCGCTGGCTCAGTGGGGCGCTCCATTCTGAGGTCCCTGGCATGCACCACGGAAGCCCAGCGGGACCACCCACCCACCTGCCCCAGCTCCCCAGCGGAGGTCCTGAGATGGCAGATTAAATACTCTGGGGTTCTGAATTCCACAGATGAACTGGGTCCCCCACGGGTATGGCCAAGGGAACGGCCCACTCCCTAGTGGCTCCGTGTGAAATCGAGCTGCTGCTGCTCTCGCCGCAGGGCCCAGCTCACTGCCCAGACATAGGAGCACATCGCCCTGCGCACAGGCTGGGTGGGCACAGCTGTGAGGGAGGCCACCCCATGCCTCAGGCCTCCTGCACAGGCGTGGGCCTCGCCACTCTGGGTGGACAGGCTACTTTGGCCCCTCAGCCTCTGGGGACTGCTGCCCTGTTTTCAGCACCGTGTCAGGCACCATCTGGTCAGCCAGCTCCTCCAGCCCCGAGACTCCCGTGTCCTCATTCTCCTGGGCCGTTACGGTCGGCCAGTGCCCAGCCTTTGCTGGAAGGCTGTCCAGGCTGGGCTCTGGTCAGGCATCGATGTCCCCCAGGCACCTGGCCTCACCTCGCGTTGGGACAGCCTCTGCAAGATGGAACAGGAAGGGTCTGGCTTTGCCTCTGTCACCTTCTCCCGGTCCATCATGTCCTCCTGGCCAGCCCGTTCCTGGTTCCTGCGGGGAGCCCAGCCCGAAGGGGAACCGAAAGATTCTAACTTAACTCTAGTTCAGCCTCCCGGATCCTCCTGTGGAGCGGCAGGATCCCATAAAAGATACTTGGCTCAGCAACTTGCTGGCCAAGCCTCCCCACAGCGGTCCACACAGGCCAGAGGTAAACATGCCCATGCCCCACACCTGGAAGGCCTGGTGCAAGGAGGGGTGATTGTAGTGACTGAAATGGGAACTCTGGCTTTATGGCGCGGAGAGAGAAGACATGGACCCAAGAGCTGCAGGGTGGGGACAACCGACGCGCTCTTTGTCCCCTGGATGTGGTGCCACAGCCTGAATCCAATAGCACGGGCCGCTGACGCGCTGACCTGGGGCTGGGTTAGTCGCTCGTCCCCCTTGCTCTGAAATGGAGAGTGCACGTGACCACGGCCAGTCCTGGACAATCCTGCCATGCCAGAGCCACCAGCTGGAACACACGGACACAACCTCTTTTCCATCTGACTGGTACAAGGTATGTGCTTCTCCTAGCTCCAGAGGGCCTTGGGTGATGCCACCTATGGTGATCAAGGTGGCAACTACCCATGTGGCTTTGACTGAATCAGGCTTGTTCATTTTTTAAAATAGCTTTATTGATATAGACATCATGCTGTAAGACTTCTCCCGTTTAAAGTGTTCAATTCAATGGTGTTCAGTTTAGTTACAGAGTTGTGCCACTGTCACCATCATCCAGTTTAGAACTTTTTTGTTTTGTTTTGTTTTTTTGAGATGGAGTCTTGCTCTGTTGCCCAGGCTGGAGTGCAGTGACACTACCTTGGCTCACTGCAACCTCTGCCTTCCAAGTTCAAGCAATTCTCCTGCCTCAGCCTCCTGAGTAGCTGGGATTATAGGCATGTGCCACTACGCCCGGCTAATTTTTGTATTTTTAGTAGAGACGGAGTTTCACCATGTTGGACCAGGCTGGTCTCGAACACCTGACCTCAGGTGATCCACCTGCCTTGGCCTCCCAAAGTGCTGGGATTACAGGCGTGAACCACTGCGCCTGGCCCCAAGTTTAGGACATTTTCATCACCCTAAAAAGCAAATGGGGATGCCCCTCAGCAGTCCCCCCCATTACCCCTCCCTCCAGCCCCTGGTGACCGCTAATCTAGTTTCTGTCTCTGTGGATTTGCCTGTTCTGTACATTTCATAGAAATGGAACCTATTCAATGCACGGCCTTTGTGTCTGGCTTTTTTTACTGAGCATAACATTTCCAAGGCTTGTCCATTTTGTAATGTGTATCAGCGCTTCTTTCTTTTTTACTCCTGAATAGAGTCCATTGTATAGTCTAATACATTCTAATGTATCCATTGTTTGGATATATGACATTTTGTTTATCCATTCATGAGTTGATGGACAATTGGCTTTTTCCCTCTTTTTGGCTATTATGAATAATGTTGCTATGAACGTTCATGTCTAAGTTTTTGTGGACATTTGTCTTCATTTCTCTGAGGTGTACACCTAAGAGTGGAGTTGCTGTTTGACCTTTTGAGGAAACAACAGACTGTTTTCCAAAGTGACTGCACCATTTTCCATTCCCGCTGGCAGTGTACCAGCGTTCCCCGCTCACGTCCCCCACAACCCGCTGTGACTGTTGGGCTTTTTATTGCAGCCAGCACAGTAGGTGTGACGTCGTATCACTGAGGGGTCAGTTTGCATTTCCCTAATGATTCGTGATGCTGAGCTTATCTGACACTGATTATCTTCATTGGAGGAATGTCTGTTCAGTCCTCTCACTATCTTGGTAGTGTCCTTTCAGACATAAAAGTTTTAAATTTTGGTGAAATCCAATTTACATATGTTCTCCCTTTGTTGCTTGTGCTTTTGTGGCTACATTACTTGATGGAGGACGGGAGCTGCCCGGCCTCCTGGGTCGTTAGAAAGGAAACCTCTTGGCGGACACGGTGGTCCACTCCTGTAATTCCAGCACTTTGCGAGGCCGAGACCGGTGGATCACTTGAGGTCAGGAGTTCGAGAACAGCCTGGCCAACATGGCAAAACTCCCGACTCTACTAAAAAACTACAAATATTAGCCGGGCATGGTGGTAAGCACCCGTAGTTCCAGCTACTCAGGAGGCTGAGGCAGGAGAATCGCTTGAACCCGGGAGGCGCAAGCTATGATGAGCCGGGATGACACCACTGCACTCCAGCCTGGGTGACAGCGAGACAAGAAAGAAAGGAAAGAAGAGAAGGTGAAGGAGAAGGAAGGAAGGAAATAAACCTCTTTTCTGTCTGAGCCATTTCATTTTGGGCCTGTCTGTCCCAGAGGTTTAACTACACTAGTATAGAGCATCGTTTACTAAAGGTTTGTTGAGGTTTGTTGTTGATTTGTTTCTACTTACACGAGATGTCTTCATTTTTACCCTCGGTCTTGAAATAAAATTTTGGTGCATGTTCATTTTTGGTTTGAATTGAATTATTTTCTTGAACATAGTGAGGCAGGAGAACAGGGTCTGGAGGCCAATTCATGCTGACTCCCTAGAACTAAATCAAATGGAAACACTTCCGCTATGACAAGAAGTGTCCTCTCCATTTACACAGGGCGTACACCAAGTAACCAATGGAAACCTCTAGAGGGTATTTAACCCCCCCAAAAAATCTGTAACGGGGCTCTTGAGCCGCTATGCTCAGCCGCTCCCACAGTGTGGAGTTATTTTCGTTGTCTTTTCTTGTTTCTTTTTTGAGACGAAGTCTGGCTCTATCGCCCAGGCTGGAGGGCAGTGGTGCGATCTCGGCTCACTGCAACCTCCGCCTCCCGGATTCAAGCAATTCTCCTGCGTCAGCCTCCCGAGTAGCTAAGACCACAGGCGTGCACCACCACGCCCGGCTAATTTTTGTGTTTTTAGTAGAGAGGGGGGTTTCACCATGTTGCCCAGGCTGGTCTCAAACTCCTGACGTCAGGTGATCTGCCCGCCTTGGCCTCCCAAAGTGCTGGGATTACAGGCCTGAGCCACCGCGCCCGGCCACACTTTTGTTTTCCATAAATCTCGCTTTTGTTGCTTCCTTCTTTCCGTGCTTTGTTTGTGCGTTTTGTCCAGTTCTTTGTTCAAGACGTCAAGAACCTGGACACCCTCCACCGGTCACAATAGCAGTTTCGCTTTCCATTCCATTTTATCCAGGGTGGTTTTATCTCCACCCTGGCGTTTGCAGAATCCGGGCAAGTACACAAATGGATGCTCCACAATACTTGTCTAGATATTTAAAAGGTATAAATAAAATAACTTAAATGAATGAAATTTTTATTATTTAAATCTGTTGAAGTCTTGTGTGCATGAAAATAAAACTCCTCCTAATGTGGCGTTCAGTGCCCACGCCGCTGCCACCGTGCCTGGCCCTGCGCCTGGGCGCGCTGTGTCCGCTGCTACAGACGCCGGCGGGCAGGCGGGCAGGCGGGCAGGCGGGCAGGCGGGCAGGCGGGCAGGCGGGCAGGCGGGCGGGGGGAGGCGGCGCAGAGCCCGGCAGGCGCCGCCGTTGCCTCCGCCTCCGCGCGGTCTCCCCGGGGCCAGCTGGGACCCCGAGGGCTGGGGCGGGGGCGGGGGCGCGGGCGACTGCGGCGGGGCCTGGAGGGCGCTGGTCCCAGCCCAGGGCGGGGTCCCGGGGACGCCCCTCGGCCTTAGATCCGCGAGCGGCAGCTCGGGCCTGGGGGCGGGGCCTGGCGGAGAGCGACCCGCTCACTCTGCCCGGGCTGATCTCGCGAGGGCCGCCTGGTCTCGCGGCGCTGGCCTGTGGGCGGAGCGAGCCCTGAAAGGCTATAGGCGAGGGGGCGGCTCCGCGGGGCCGGGCGAGGAGTCCAGAGAGCCATGGCCGCCCTGCGTGTCCTGCTGTCCTGCGTCCGCGGCCCGCTGAGGCCCCCGGTTCGCTGTCCCGCCTGGCGTCCCTTCGCCTCGGGTGAGTGCGCGGTGAGAGCTGGCGGCCCGAATCTCCTCCTGACTCCGACCTGCACGCCCAGACCAGATCCCAGACCGCACCCCCCTCCCACCTGACCCCGCATCCCCCACCTGACCCCAACCCACACCCCTCTTCCGCCTGACCCCGCACCCTCACCTGACCCCTACCCGCACCCCACTCCGCCTGACCCCGCACCCCCCCGCCTGACCCCGCACCCCCCCACCTGACCCCGCACCCTCCGGCCTGACCCCTACCCGCACCCCACTCCGCCTGACCCCGCACCCCCCCACCTGACCCCGCACCCCCCGGCCTGACCCCGCACCCCTCTTCCGTCCGATCCCGCATCCCCAGGGCCTGACTCCGCACTCTCCTGCCTGACCCCGCACCTACCACCTGACCCCGACCCGCAGCCCCTGCCTGGCTCAGGCCTGCAACACCCCCCTCGCCTAGTGCTGCACCCCCCACCTGACCCGCACCCACAGCCTGACCCAGGCTTAACACCCCCCCACCACCCGCCACCCCGCACCGACACCACCCACCTGACCCTGGCCCGCACCCCCACCCCCTGCCTGGCTCTGCAGGAGGCCACTCTCACCAGGCCACGTCCTGCGGGAGGCCCGGCGGCTGGCTGGTACTGCCCCAGTGCCAAGACCTCTGGCCAACTGGGCGCAGGGTGGGGGTTGTAAAAATCCGGGGTGTTCCCTCGGCTCTAAGAGCAGGCGTAGCTCCTGTGCAGCCGGCCAGCCCGAGAACAGGAGATGCAGGTGCATTTTGTCCTGGGTGCCTCCTGACCAGGGCCACCCCTCAGAGGGTCCTAAGGGAAAAGCTGACACCTCCTCCCCAGCCACAGGGGGCTGCCCTCTTCCTCCCTCGTGGCTCACCCGGGGCCCCACTCATGAGCGGCCATCACCGGCTCTAGTATCTGAGGAATCTTGGGCCATGCCTTGGGCTGGGGAAGAACTCTTGCTTCCTCTTCCTCCCTCACCCTGTGTAGCAGTGGACCACTGAGTTGTGTTGGTTTCATCTCCATGCTCTCCTTGGCCTTCGGCTTCTCCACCCTGACAGCAGCCCTTTCCTGGATCTTGCATGGCGGGCACTGCTGCCAGACACTTCACCTGTGATCTTCCAGTTACCCCTAGAAACCCACAGGATACGGCGGGGCACAGTGGCTAATGCCTATAATCCCAGCACTTTGGGAGGCTGAGGCAGGTGGATCACCTGAGGTCATCAAGACCACCTTGGCCAACATGGTGAAACCCCATGTCTACTAAAAATACAAAAATTAGCCAGGTGTGGTGGTGTGTGACCGTAGTCCCAGCTACTCGGGAGGCTGAGGCAGGAGAATCACCTGAACCCTGTAGGCAGAGGTCGCAGTGAGCCAAGATTGCGCCACTGCACTCCAGCCTGGGCAATAGAGTGAGACTCGGTCTCCAAAAAAAAGAAACCCATAGCACAGGGACTATGATCCCTGCTCTGCCACTAACGGAGGCAAGCATCCAACACACAGGCTACCTTTGTCTTTTCAGGTTCACCTTCTCACCCCTGGAACGCCATTGTCCTTTGTCTCCTTCCCACCTTGCTGTCCACCCAGCAGGCGCAGGTCCTGTGCAGCAGGCCAACCGAGAAGCGCCTGCGTCTCCCATTTTCGGGCTGGCCTGCTGCTCCGGACCTGTGCCTGATCTTAATGCTGCAGGAACACCCAGGATTTTCACATCCCCCACCCTGCGTCCAGTTGGCCAGAGGTCTTGGCACTGGGGCGGTACCAAGTGCAAGGAGCTGCCTTACACCCCCTCACCTGTTGGCATTTGTTGAAAGAAGGTGTTTCCTGGTGCCTTGTCTCAGCAGAGTCCAGGGCTGTCTCCAGAGTGGTGTCCTGGGAAGAGCTGACCAAGGCATATTAGGAGAAGGAAAGCGGCTGTGGGCTGTGTTCTGTGCTGGGGATTTTTCTTTTTTTCTTTTCTTTTTTTTTGAGACGGAGTCTCACTCTGTCACCCAGGCTGGAGTGCAGTGGCATGATCTCAGCTCACTGCAAGCTCCACCTCCTGGGTTCATGCCACTCTCCTGCCTCAGCCTCCCCAGTAGCTGGGACTACAGGCGCCCGCCACAACACCCGACTAATTTTTTGTATTTTAGGTAGAGACGGCGTTTCACCGTGTTAGCCAGGATGGTCTCGATCTCCTGACCTTGTGATTCGACCGCTTCGGCCTCCCAAATTGCTGGGATTACAGGCGTGAGCCACCGCGCCCGGCCCGGGGATTTTCTTTAGGACATGTTCAAACACATGTGAAAGCAGAGAGAATGGTACCAAGGCTACCATCTATCCTTGTGGCTGAGAGCTACACCTGGAGCCACTGAGGACTCGGCAGGGAGCCCTCAGAGGGCCTCTTGGGGTCACACTGTATCCACCGATGGGGCCACATCCCTTCCCCCACTCTCCCCAGTTTGATACCTGTGTGAATAGATACCCCTTTTTGCCTTCTTGCTCCAGGTGCTAACTTTGAGTACATCATCGCAGAAAAAAGAGGGAAGAATAACACCGTGGGGTTGATCCAACTGAACCGCCCCAAGGCCCTCAATGCACTTTGCGATGGCCTGATTGACGAGCTCAACCAGGCCCTGAAGACCTTCGAGGAGGACCCGGCCGTGGGGGCCATTGTCCTCACCGGCGGGGATAAGGCCTTTGCAGGTACGCGCGGCAGCAGAGGCCTTTGTGTCTGGGCAGATGTGGGAGGCACGTATGGCCTTGGGAGAAGCCTCCAGACAGATTTGCGCCTCTGTGATGGCAGAGGCATGCGACTGGGGACTTCCTCAAATATCGAGTGAAGACGGTCATGGGAACGGCTTGCATGAGCAGCTTTGTGTATGCCAGAGAGCTGCATGTGCTCCACCAGCAAAACAGCTTCTTCAAAGGGGTTTAGGTCCTTGGCAGTCAGGCTTTGTGTGTGTCAAGGGCTTATGCCCTGACAAATATGCCTAGCCTCTGTGGGCGCCTCCCTTGCACCTGCTGCCTGCCTCAGGGCCCCTCTGCGTGACTTCTGTTCTAGCTGGCATTACAGCGTCCCTACAGCTGTCCACGTGGCCTGGTGTCAGCCGTGCCCAGCAACCCCACTGCCTGTGTCTGGTGTGCTCTGAAGTTCCTTGTTGGTCTGAGAGATATAGGATGGGTGGGCTCTCTGCTCTCTGGTAACTGGAACCTCCTTTCCACTCCTGCTAGCTGGAGCTGATATCAAGGAAATGCAGAACCTGAGTTTCCAGGACTGTTACTCCAGCAAGTTCTTGAAGCACTGGGACCACCTCACCCAGGTCAAGAAGCCAGTCATCGCTGCTGTCAATGGCTATGCCGTGAGTGTTGCTGCCAAGAGTCTCCTCCTCTCGTGGTTGAAGGAACCGTGCTGTGCATACACAGCATAACAGATTTTTATTTTGAAGAGGCCTTTAGTTCCCAGGCCAGCAGCCTCCTTTCCTGCCTCATGGTGCTAAAGAGCCAGGAACTGTGTGGAGAGGACACCTCCTGGCATCTGCTTTTTTCGTGGCTGTTCACCTGACAGCTTCTCCCCAGCAAGCCTCTCTTCCAGGGTGGGGGAAGAGAGGTGTTGGCTTTGGCTACATCTATAAACTAGCTTCTTTTGCTCCCCTTGAAAGCTCTGTGTCCTGGGACTATTTGAAGTGCTGAGACTGATCTTGGCCTATAGGGAAGGCAATGTGATCATTTCATGACGCTCCCTGCCGTGTAAGCCAGGGGTCTGCGGATTGTGATCATTTCATGACGCTCCCTGCCGTGTAAGCCAGGGGTCTGCGGATTGTGATCATTTCATGACGCTCCCTGCCGTGTAAACCAGGGGTCTGCGGATTGTGATCATTTCATGACACTCCCTGCCGTGTAAGCCAGGGGTCTGCGGATGGAGTTTTCCCGGCACAGCCACACCCACCTGTGCACCTAGTCTCTGTGGCTGCATTTCGGCCACAGCAGCAGAGTTGAGTCGTGGCAGCAGAGCCTGTAAGACCCTCATGGTCCTTTACAGGATGTTTGCCAGCCCCTGGTAAACAGCATCAACCATCTGTAGTTAACTTATCATAACAATTATCTAGTTTGGTGCCACCATGTTAGTCTTTGTCATACCCCCAACACTGTTTCTTTTAAATGGAAAATTTGAATAAGCAAGCAGAGTGATTTCTGACTGGGTTCCCCTGGTAAGACTCTCCTGATGCCGAATGTTTTACAGTTTGGCGGGGGCTGTGAGCTTGCCATGATGTGTGATATCATCTATGCCGGTGAGAAGGCCCAGTTTGCACAGCCGGAGATCTTAATAGGAACCATCCCAGGTAAAGAGTGACACTGTCTCTGGCATAGATGCCTTAGGTAATTACTCAAAATCTGCCTGTGTCTCAGGGCCCACAGCTCATATCTGACCAGAGGCCCTGGATGGACAGCCCCATGGCTGGTCAGTGGTCCCTCTGTGGACAGCCACGGAGGCTAGAGTGGTTGTGACAGAGCTTGGGGGGGGCCTTAGAGTCCCGGGACTGTGACTGTGCCCACATCTGATGGTGTTGGGAGAGGCTGGTCCTGGGTAACGCTGGCTTCTAACCATGACAGTTCTTGCTTGTGATTCGTGTCCATGGCAGAGAGGGAACATGGTGACCCTGGGTGGCACTGGGAGCTCTGCACACTGCCATCTCACTGGCCATGGAGGTCACATGGCCTGGGTTCAGGGTGGGGAGTCAGACCCCCCACCCAGGCCCGTGAGAAGGGCCTGGGCTCTTGGCAAAAAGCAACACCCTCTAACCCCAGGGTTCTCCTGGTAGGAAGGGTGGGCCCAGGCCGAGCAGCCAGGAGGGAGCTGAGACCCTGAGGGGAGCAGCTGCACTCAGGGTGCCCTTCGCTGCCCTCTGAGTTGGACGAGGCCGATTCTGAGGCCTGGAGCTGTGAGCTCGGTGCATTTGTTTCGGGTCTGATCCCTAGAACAGCTGCTACTATAAGGGACCAGTGCCTGGGGTCAGGGAGGCCTATAAGCTTCTAATATGTTGACCACAGAGGCTGGGGAGGGCCCTACAGAGTCATCACCTTGATCTAATGTCAGGGTGTTGGGGGAGTGTAGTGTCCAGCCCTACGGGGCTTAGCAGGTGTTCTCCCCATGTGCGGAGACGAGAGATTGTAAGAAATAAAGACACAAGACAAAGAGATAAAGAGAAAACAGCTGGGCCTGGGGGACCAATACCATCAAGAGGCGGAGACCGGTAGTGGCCCCGAATGGCTGGGCGCACTGATATTTATTGCATACAGGACGAGGGGGCAGGGTGAGGACGGTGAATCCTCTAAGTGATTGACAAGGTGAAGCAAGTCACGTGATCATGGGACAGGGGGCCCTTCCCTCTTAGGTAGCCGAAGCAGAGAGGGAAGGCAGCATATGTCAGCATTTTCTTCTATGCACTTACAAGAAAGATCAAAGACTTTAAGACTTTCACTCTTTCTTCTTCCACTATCTGCTACGAACTTCAAAGAGGAACCAGGAGTACGGGAGGAGCATGAAAGTGGACAAGGAGTGTGATCGTTGAAGCACCACAGGGAGGGGGTTAGGCCTCCGGATGACTGCGGGCAGGCCTGGAGAATATCCAGCCTCTCACAAGAAGCTGGTGGAGCAGTGTTCCCTGACTCCTCCAAGGAAAGGAGACTCCCTTTCATGGTCTGCTAAGTAATGGTTGCCTTCCCAGACACTGGCGTTACTGCTTGACCAAGGAGCCCTCAAGCGGCCCTTATGCAGGTGTGACAGAAGGCTCACCTCTTGCCTTCTAGGTCTCTTCTCACAATGTGCCTTCAGCACCTGACCCTATACCCGCCAGTTATTTCTTGGTTATATTAGTAATACAACAAAGAGTAATATTAAGAGCTAATGATTAATAATGTTTATACTAATGATTGATAATGTCCATGATCATCTCTATATCTAATTTGTATTATAACTATTGTTATTCTAACTATTTTCTTTATTATACCGAAACAGTTTGTGCCTTCAGTCTCTTGCCTCGGCACCTAGGTAATCCTTTGCCCACAGGGGAGCACCAGATGTGGGGCCTGAGCTTGAAAAGGGGCTGCTGCCCCTGATGTTCCCGGGCTCTTGTGCTGCCTGGCCTCTGACCCCTGGACCTAGTCTCAGGGCCTATCTTAAGCCCCTTGGAATTTGCTGGCTGCACAGCTGTGATGTCTTCTTGGGTTCACTCATCACAGTGCCAGCCATGACCAGCCCCTCCCTGCAGGTGCGGGCGGCACCCAGAGACTCACCCGTGCTGTTGGGAAGTCGCTGGCGATGGAGATGGTCCTCACTGGTGACCGGATCTCAGCCCAGGACGCCAAGCAAGCAGGTATGGGTTGGGGCTGCCCGCAAGAGCCACCTGGAAACCCGGGGTGGGAGCCCCACAGAAACCCAGGGCGGCATCCAGGTGTCCCCCTCGGGGGAGCCCCACAGAAACCCGGGGCAGCATCCAGGTGTCCCCCTCATGGGTGCCCCACAGAAACCCTGAGCTGCATCCAGTTGTCTCCCTCGTGGGAGCCCCACAGAAACCCAGAGCTGCATCCAGGTGTCCCCCATGGGGGAGCCCCACAGAAACCCAGGGCGGCATCCAGGTGTCCCCCTCGTGGGAGCCCCACAGAAACCCCGGGCAGCATCCAAGTGCCCCCACGGTGGTTGCATGAGCTTTTGGGTCCTGAGGACCTGGGAGAAGACTGACTGCCTTTTGTTTCTACATTTTGAAGTACTGTATGTACGGAAGTGAACCACACGTAAGTATCTGGTACAGAATAACAGCCCAGCAATTGCGTCCCCAAAATGCAGTGTAAGCAATGGGCATCTCCAGGCCTCAGTGGCCGGTCCTCCCACTGCCCTGTTGGTGATCACAGTCCCCGTGTCTGGCCGCCTCTGCCGTCGGAGCTGTGGCCAGCCTGGCCCACATGTCTGAGAGCACAGTGACCGCAGTGCCGAGATCACTCAGCACTCAGGAAGGGGCACGTGCGGCACTTCCCGTGTGGAAGCCGCCCTTGCTTAGCGTCCAGAGGCTGGGGTGCTCCAGCCACGCTGCTCCCCAGCGGCCACTCACTCGAGAAGGGATAGACAAGTGCTGTTTCTGCACATCACTCACTGACTTTCTTGTGTTTCAGGTCTTGTCAGCAAGATTTGTCCTGTTGAGACACTGGTGGAAGAAGCCATCCAGTGTGCAGAAAAAATTGCCAGCAATTCTAAAATTGTAGTAGCGATGGCCAAAGAATCAGTGAATGCAGGTAGGGGATCTGCCAGGAAGACACTGGAGAGGTCTCCGTGGCTGTCAGGAGCATTCCTCAGCAGCAGGCTTTCTGGCTCCAAATGAATATGCCTTAAGCCCTCCTGGGCAGAAATGCTTCTCAGTGTCTCAGTTCTGCTGTCTGTAGAGTCGTGGTTTCTGGTCACGCACTCAGGAACTCCGCTGAGATGTTCCCAGCTCCCCTTTGTACCAGGGCCCAAGAACTGAGCCAGGCCTGGGAGGTGAGGGCAGTACAGAGCTGGCAGTGGCAGGGAAAGGCTGAGAAGGGAGCAGAGGTCCCAAATGTAAAATGGTCTCTGCCATGGGGAGGCTCGGTTCACCTCCCGAGACCTGGGGTTGGCGGCTGCGTGTGCGCCTGGCAGGTGGCTACGCAGGCTTGCAGCCCAGCACCACGCTGTTCGTTCTTGGCCTGGATCCCTTTTAGTTCTCCCTCTGCCAGGGAAGTGGATCTGAACCTCCCCCTCCTCAGAAATGCTCAAGTTTTAATGTCACAATTTATTCTCAGCATGTGGAATGAGATGGTTATTAGCTGGTTGAGTCCGGACAGGTGTGGGTGGCCCCAGGCAGGTCCCCTAACCTCTCTGAGTGCATTTATCTCGAGGGTGTGGCCGTCCCCCGGGCTTGCCGTTGGCTTGAGGCAGGATACAGTGAGGAGAGCATTTTGAAAGAACGGAGGCTGCTGTCGCCCGAGGTGTTTGGCAAGGTCGTGCTCCCCTGGGAGAGGATGCTGGCACCAGCCCTGGAGCCACAGCGCCTGCCTCCATCTGCGCACCTGGATCTGCTCTGCTTGGCCTCGTGCAAAGAACGGGCCTGGAATGAGCAGAGCCAAAGGCGTTCTTGGTGCCGGCCGCGCCCAGCTCTGGCTCTCGTGCTGTCCTTCCTGGTTTTCATCCTTGGTTATTTTTCTCTGTTTGCAGCCCCGTTGCCGCCTCACAGCCTCTCCTCAAGGGCACAGTTTGCCATCTCACCTTTCATCCAGTTCCTCTCCCTTCTTGGGGCCGTGGGCTACCGGAGTGTGACGTTTGGGGGCCATAGCAGAGCTGTTGGTTCTGCCAGGTCTCCGCTGGGGCAGTGCCTTTGAGAAGGGCGGCACCATGGAAGCCTGTGCAGGGCTGGGCCACGTCGAAAGCACAGTTGTGCATGGGTCAGTGAGGAGGGCTTCCTGTCACCGTGCAGGAAAAGTTCTGCATGTAATATCTCCGTTCATAACTCTGGGACTTTGTTTTTCAGCTTTTGAAATGACATTAACAGAAGGAAGTAAGTTGGAGAAGAAACTCTTTTATTCAACCTTTGCCACTGTGAGTAAACAGTGTTCAACCGGAGAATCAAGCAAATTCCAGTCACACAAGTTGCTGGGAATTTCCTTTTAAATTTTATCATTAAGTATCGTTTCTTTCTGGTCAGAACTGCCAGCCTCACCTTTAACGGGATCAGATTGGTTCCATCAGTGGGTCTTGATGTTAGGAAAAAAGTAGAGCATGTACAAGTTCAAAAGTACAGAAACCTTACAGGGGCTTTTCTTGTTTTTCCTGTTATGTGAGGTCTGTGAATTGCACCCTCAAGCAGCTCCTTTATTGAAAATGCAGTTTCAGCCGGGTGGGTGTCGAGCATCCGTAGCCCCAGCTTCCTGGGAGGCTGAGGCGGGTCGTTCGAGTCCAACTGGGCAGCAAAGCAAGACCCCGTCTCAAAAAAAAGACTTTTTTAAAAAATGAGGCCGGGCGCGGTGGCTCACCCTGTAATCCCAGCACTTTGGGAGGCTGAGGCGGGTGGATTGCCTGAGCTCAGGAGTTTGAAACCAGCCTGGGCAACATGACGAAACCCGTCTCTACTAAAAATCCAAAAAATTAGCCGGGCGTGGTGGCAGGTGCCTGTAATCCCAGCTACTCTGGAAGTTGAGGCAGGAGAATCGCTTGAACCCAGAGGCGGAGATTACAGTGAGCCGAGATCACGCCACTGCACTCCAGCCTGGGAGACAGAGTGAGACTCTGTCTGAAAAAAAAAATGTAACTCATTTTACCCATGTTTTTTTAGATCATTCCAATTATTTGGAATAGGCTCAAATGTATTCTAATAAGATAAGCTGAAGCTTTAGAGCAATATTTTATAAGATTTCTGCCAGTAACTTAAAGTAATTCCTCTAATTACCATCATAATTTTAATTTTCTTCCCTTTGAGGCAGAGTCTTGCTCGGTCGTCCAGGCTGGAATGCAGTGGTGAGATCTCAGCTCACTGCAACCTCCACCTCCTGGGTTCAAGTGATTCTCCTGCTTCAGCCTCCCGAGTAGCTGGGATTACAGGTGCCCACCACCACACCTGGCTAATTTTTGTATTTTTAGTAGAGACAGAGTTTCACCATGTTGGCCAGGCTGGTCTTGAACTCCTGACCTCAAGTGATCTGCCTGCCTCGGCCTCCCACAGTGCTGGGATTATAGGCGTGAGCCACTGCACCCGGCCAGATTACCATTTTAATTCATGTCTTTCACTGGGAGAAAGTCATACTTCGGTGTTTTAATTGTTCTATAAAATAAAAATTAAAAGTGGTTTGGGCACCTGAGGAAGGGGTACAGATGCGTGTGTGTGTGTGTGTGTGTGTGTGTGTGCGCGCGCGCACACCTGGGGACACACGTGCACACAGTGTAAGAAAAGCAGATGCAGAGTTGAGTTCTCACGTCCTACTCCAACACAGAGTAGCCCCTGATACAGGCCACCCATCATCCAGTTGATGACATGGTGAGTGACCAAGATGGGTGCATCTGAGGCTCTTTAGATGTGAGCTTGTTGGACATACACAGTGGCTCCTGAATGACCGTCACCTAGACTGGTAGAGAGAGGCCGTGAAAATCCCCGCGCCCAGGCCCAGCTCTGATTGGGCAGGTGTTCCTGCCGCTGAGTCCCCTCCCCGGCCCCCTGGGCCCCTGTGAGCATGAGTGAGGCAGAGCCAGGGAGAGACGGGCGGACATTGGCATCAGGCTCTGTGAGGATACTGCGCGTCCAGCTCTGTTTCTGTTCCTTTTCCTGCCAGGATGACCGGAAAGAAGGGATGACCGCGTTTGTGGAAAAGAGAAAGGCCAACTTCAAAGACCAGTGAGAACCAGCTGCCCCTGCTTCACACCTCTGCTTGGAGAGGACAAGTGCAGCCTGTCAGTTTTAGAAGCAAGTAAATCATCCTCTTTTCAAGAGCAGTGTCCGTGGTGTGCAGTTCCTCTCCAATTGCTGCGTGGTCGTGGCCCGACCTCTCACGGCATGACAGCCTTCGTCACCCAGCCTGTGAGGGTCCTGACTGGAGCACCTTCTAAATCTAAGATTCTGCTGAGGAGCCCCCGCTGGTCCCTCTGGGCATGCTGTGCTCGGACGGAAAGCGGGGCCTGCGGGTCCTTGTGTCCCTGCCGCTGAAGAATGGGGCTGCTCTGAGGGAAACGCTGTCTGCTGCCTTCATACAGATGCTGATTAAAGTGATAGCGATTCAGATTACACCACGCCTTGTAGTCATGTCTGCAATGAGCATTCTGTCATGTTAGTTGTTTTTTTAAACTTTTTTGTTTTTTCACTGTAAGGAACAACATTCAAACAAAACAAGTTTGTATAGTCAGTTGCCTCACATCATACTTCCAGGGTAGCCACTGTGAACAGCTGGGCTTGTGACTTCCTAGAGTTCTGTGCACGCACCCACACACCCCTGCACACGGGCACAGGCATGGTCTATGGTTTTCTTCCACGCCCACTCACGTCGAGCCCTTTCCTCACGAGAGCCCACCCTATTTTCTTCCTACTTCTGTCATAAGGAGCTCTCTGTTCAGTTTACTGCATTCTTCTCTACTGTGGGAACACACGACGTCAACTTGATCATCTTAACCACTGTGTTTTAGAGACGGGCTGGAGTGCGTGGCTCAGTCACAGCTCACTGCAGCTTGAATCTCCTGGGCTCAAGTGATCCTCCCCCCCTCCCAAGTAGCTGGGACCACAGGGGCGCACTCCCACACCCAGCTGACTGTTTAAATTTACCTTTTGTAGAGACGGGGTTTCCCCGTGTTGCCCAGGCTGGTCTGAACCATTTCAAATGCACATTTCAGCGGCATTAAGTACGTTCTCGTTGTGCAGCCATGACTATCCAAGAAAGCTTTCATTTTCCCAAACGGAAACTGTCCCCGTTAAACAACAACCCCTTTTCTGCTTCCCTCCAGCTCCTGGCACCCACGCTTCTACTTCCTGTCTCTATGGAGGGACCTCCATTTATCCCTTTGGGTCAGGCTCATTTCACTCAGCCCCACCCCAAATCCCTGGGTTGAAATCCTAACCCCTACCGTGACTGCATTAGGAGGGGGGACTTTGGGCAATGACTAGTCACAAGGGCAGAGCTCTTCGAGTGGGTTTAGTGTCCTAGGAGAGAGAGGGTGGAGCTCCTCCAGTGGGATTAGTGCCCTATGAGGGGGCGGAGCTCCTCCAGTGGGATTAGTGCCCTATGAGGGCAGAGCTCTTCAAGTGGGATTAGTGCCCTATGAGGGGGCAGAGCTCTTTGGGATTAGTGCCCTGTGAGAGGGCGGAGCTCTTTGAGTGGGATTAGTGCCCTATGAGAGGGCGGAGCTCCTTCAGTGGGATTAATGCCCTAAGAGAAGGCAGAGCTCTTCCAGTGGGATTAGTGCCCTATGAGAGGATGGAGCTCTTCCAGTGAGATTAGTGCCCTATGAGAGGGCGGAGCTCCTCCAGTGGGATTACTGCCCTATGAGAAGATGGAGCTCTTTGAGTGGGATTAGTGCCCTATGAGAGGGCGGAGCTCCTCCAGTGGGATTAGTGCCCTATGAGGGGGCGGAGCTCCTCCAGTGGGATTACTGCCCTTAGGAGAGCCCTGAGGGCACTCTTTCACCCCTCCCACAATGTGAGTGCTCTGTGGGAAGGTGCTGTCTGTAAACCAGGGTGGGCCTCATCACACACCGAACCTGCCTGGAGCCTTGGCCTCCAGAACTGTGGAAAGTCAGTGTTTATCAGCCACCCAGACCATGCCACTGCATCACAGCAGCCCAAGCTAAGGCACATACTGTCCAGAAGGTTTGTGCCTGTTGTGGCATGTTTCACCATTTGATTTTCTCACTAAATGACAGTCCTATAACATTCTTTTTAGTGGCCCTGACGTTTCATACTATGGACATGTCATCATGCCCTTGGTTCTAGGTATTTCCCCCAGGGAAGCCCACCTGCCCCCAGCTCAGTGCAGACGCCAGAGAGCGTTTGCCGGTGTCTCCTCCACTTGGCCCCGCAGCTCAGTGTGCGTAGGTGGTCTAGATTGTGGTCATGGCCTTGGGTTGGGTGGGCAGAGTGTGTGAGCCCCCACCGCTGAGGACTTGGGCTGAATACCAAGGACAGGTTCACCTGCATCAAGAAAGAAGAACAGTGATCTTTGCCGAGCTCTGGTTCCCTGAACGCTGCAGGTGCCACGCCCGTGTGTCCGGTTACATGTACACGCAAAGGGGACACACGCATGCTCTGCGACCGCTTGCCTCGGAGGCATTGGCTCTGCACTCCCACCCACCCCGTCTGTCCTCCTGTGTGCTGTGATTGGAGTCCACTAGTTCAGAGCCGGCTTCAGGGTGGAGCAGGTTTATCTCGCTTCTGCCAGGGCAGGTGGGAGTTCTCATGCAGTTGG
Source organism: Homo sapiens (assembly GCF_000001405.40). Taxonomy (NCBI): domain Eukaryota; kingdom Metazoa; phylum Chordata; class Mammalia; order Primates; family Hominidae; genus Homo; species Homo sapiens. Next base: position 133,360,317 of record NC_000010.11, on the reverse strand, counting down.
CCTTAAAACAGGCGGGAGATGTTCTTTTCAGATAAGCCTCAGATAAGCCTTGGGATCTGGGACTGTTTGACAAATACTGAAACAGGTACAAAGGGAGTTTGATTCAGGTCCAACAGGGCATAACAGGCTCTTCCCTTGGGGTAGGGAATCTGGAACCTGCTCACTTACTGGAGTGGAGCACGTGGAGTCTGCGTGGGTCATGAACCACTGGCCCTGGAGCCTGGAGTAAATATGCAGAGATAGATAGGCACCAAATGTTCAAGTATGCAAGGGAGGAAGCCTGAACATTGAGAAAATCCACTCCGTTTAATTTTTCATGTGCACTGGGGTCAGCCTCCATAATCTGATTTCAAGCAATGGAACCTCAGAGATCCGTAGGGCTGGCTGCAGCCTCACGTTCATACCTGTGTCAGCCACACTTGGCTGGAAGCCAAGAAAGGGCCCAGCATGGAAGCCGCATCTCAGAGGGCTGCGTCTAGTTATCTGGTTCCAGAGCTTGGCAGGGACAGACACCCAACCCTTAGGCTGGGGAATGGACTTTGTCTTCATGCTGGCCCCAGGGAGCCTGGAGGGAGGGGTGCCACTGTCCGGGGCAGGGGAACCCCAGACTCAGAGTGAGGCTTCCACTCACTCCTGAGCTAGTTGACCTCTGGCCCCATTATTGTTTGGGGTTTGATTAGGTGTTTTTTCTTTGTTGGTTTTGTTTTTTTTTTTGAGACGGAGTCACTTTCTGTCACCCAGGCTGGAGAGCAGTGGAGTGATCTCGGCTCACTGCACCCTCCGCTTCCCGGGTTCAAGCAATTCTCGTGCCTCAGCCTCCCAAGTAGCTGGGATTACAGGCACCAGTCACCATGCCTGGCTAATTTTTGTATATTTTGAAGAGACGGGGTTTCACCATGTTGGCCAGGCTGGTCTCCAACCCCTGACCTCAAGTGATCCGCCCGCCTCGGCCTCCCAAAGTGCTGGGATCACAGGTGTGAGCCACCGCGCCCGGCCTGATTTGGTTTTGAAGCTGAAAACTTTCTTGCCCATCTCTATAAAATCCTCTTGCCCTTGTATATTTGGGTAAACGGTGACTCTCCACTTACAAGTTGGAGTAGAAACTGCCCAGGTACAGCTCTGAAACCCGGTGGCCTCGGTGCAAAGCCACCCCTCATTGGCAGGCCCTGGGCAGCCCCGGTCTTCTCTCTGCCCGAGTGGCCGGCCCAGGGCCAGCTGTTCAGGTGCTGCTGGGTGCCAGCCTGGGTGGCCCCACCAGGCTTTTCCGACGCAGCCCAGGCCACTTCCCATGGGGACAGGCTCCTAGGGCCAAGCAGTTCAACATGGAGACGTCTGTTTCCTCCTGGTTTTCTGACGCGGCTTTGTCATTTTTCACATACAGATTGATTTTCAGAACTTTTTAGGAGCCGCCAGGCCTCAGAGCATTTGTGTCACCTCAGGGCTGAGGGCCAGGGCCGCAGTGCTAGCCCCACAGCTGGTGTCCAGCTGGGAATCATGTGGAAGAAGGTGGTTCCGCGGAGGGAGGGCCTGGCCAGCCTGAGCTCAGCCAAAGGTCAGGATGCCGCCATCCTGGGCAGGGGGTTGCAGGCCGCTGACACCGGGGGATGATGGAGGACCCTTAGGTGTCCTGGCACTTCGCAGCTGAGCCTGGAAGCTGGGCCTGGCTGCCCTCCTGGACTCCCCCCAAGGGGGTCCGAAGTCCTGGCTCCCGTGTCCCTTGCTCCCGGTCCCTCAGGAGCGTGGGCTGAAGGCCTGGGTCCAGCTACCCACCATGGTGACCCCAGGGACCCGGTGCGCTCCGGGCATTCTGCCAGGCCTAAGGGCAGCACGAAGTGGTCAGAGGGCAGAGACCCTCATGAGGGGAGGCCGCGGCGGTTGAACCCCTTCGGCCTGAGGGAGCTCGGGGTGGGAGGCTCGGGTAGGGACACTGGGGAGCCCCCGGCCACAGCGCAAGGGCACCCGAGTCTCGGACCTGGCGAGGAGCCCGTGGGCTGGCTGGGTGTTGCCCCCACGCCACGACTCAGCCCGCACGTCCCCAGTTCCTGGGGCTCCCCGCCCTTCCTTGAGCCGCAAGCGGACCCCAGCCCGCCGAACCCTAGGCCCGGCCCGTCCCCAAGCCCCAAGCCCGGGACCCTAAAGCCCCGCCCTCCAATAAAGCCCCGCCCTCCCCGTAAAGCCCCGCCTCTGCCCCTAAGCCCCGCCCTCCCCGTAAGGCCCCCGCCTCTGCCCCCAAGCCCCGCCCTCCCCGTAAGGCCCCGCCCCGGCCCCCAAGCCCCGCCCCTAGGCCCCGCCCGCCCCGTCTGCCGGGCCATGGTGGCGCTGAAGGGTGTCCCCGCACTGCTGTCCCCCGAGCTGCTCTACGCGCTGGCGCGGATGGGGCACGGGGACGAGATCGGTGAGCGCAGCGGGCCGGGGCCTCGGGGAGCACCCCGGGACAGGCAGGAGGGCGAGGCTTGCACGGGGACCCCCGGGCCGGGAAGGGCCGCGTCCTGGGGTGTGGGCGTTGCTCGGGCCTCCCTGGCTTCCGGGCAGGAAGCCCCCTCCCCCGCATTCTTTAGGGAACTGAGACCTCGTGGGGCTCTGGGCGGAGCCGGCCCGAGCTTCTCCCGGAGTCCCTCCCCAGACGGCCCGAGAGCCCTCGCGTCTGGGCTGCCCCCGAGGGTTCGGCGCTTTTTCTTCTCCTGGGGCCTGGGGTCCCGGGGCAGGGGTTGGGTGGCCGGGGGCCTGGTCCGGGCATCGCGGGCAGCCGCGCGTCCTCTGGCCCCTGGGGAGGCGGCCGGGTCCGGGTCGGCCCCCTGGCCTGGTCAGCACCCGACAGCCTCGCGGGCAGCTGTTGACGCCTCTCTGCCTCCCAGGCAGGGACCTTGCCCTCCCCACCTCCCCGCGTGGCTTCCAGCCCTGCGGATCTGACTGCGGCCGGTCGGCGGTGGGGGCGCCCAACTGGCTGACCTGAGACCTCTTGTGACCCACGATCTGCCGCCATGACTGGGTGGGAGGACGGGCGGCGCCGACCCCGAGGGCAGGGATAGGTGCCGACACGGGCTGTCCTCCCGGCTGTTTAGTTCTTGCGGACTTGAACTTCCCGGCCTCCTCCATCTGCCAGTGTGGGCCCATGGAGATCCGTGCAGACGGTGAGCGAGCCCCAGGTCCCCCAGGGCAGGGCGGGCGGGTGAGCGGTGCTCCTGGCTCTGAGGCTCCTCTGTGGCCTGCCGTGGCCCCAAGTCCATGCTTGCAGTGTGAAGGGTGCAGACAGGCAGGCGGGCGGGCGGGCTGGAGACTGAGTGCTGCCTCCTCTGCCCTCCAGGCCTGGGCATCCCGCAGCTCCTGGAGGCCGTGCTGAAGCTGCTGCCCCTGGACACCTATGTGGAGAGTCCGGTGAGGGCTGAGTCGCCCCTGCACCCTGCTGCTCCGTGCCTCAGTTTCCCCTTTTGCGGGCTTCATAGGGCCCACCTGCCTTGGAGTGGGGGGAAGCCATGTGTCCCCAAAGGGGCCCTGACCCTCACCAGGGGAGTCCCGAATGGTCACCTGACCAGGAAGGCTGGCAGTGCCCAGGGCCCCAGAGCTGACCCCTCCCTCTAGGCTGCAGTCATGGAGCTGGTGCCCAGCGACAAGGAGAGGGGCCTGCAGACCCCAGTGTGGACGGAGTACGAGTCCATCCTACGCAGGGCCGGCTGTGTGGTAAGCCTGCAGCCCCAGTTGTGGGGAAAAGGCCAGGGACCCTCTGTCTCCTGGAGGCTCAGGAGGAGCCAAAGACAGAGGGTCCCAAGCTCTGTCCTCAAGTGGTCTCCCACCCATCACCCTGAGAACCCCGGACCACTGGCACTCCTTCACCAGCCAGGTGGAAGAGGTGCACCTGGGCAGTGTGGCCCCTCTTCCTCTGCCCCCGAGCTTTCCACCTGCCCTGCCCCGCCCAGGATCCTGACCTGCCAGGTGGGTTGTCACCCACCACAGCCTGTGAGTGGAGCCTGGGGGACTCAGGATGCCTGGCCTCCACCTCCTCAATCTCCCCTGGAGGGGTGCCCCCTGGTCCCAGGTCTCTCGCCCCATCCTGGCTATGGTTGGTCAGAGGCTTAGCTGGGTGCTGTGTCTCACTCAGCCCTCTCCACACCTTGCCCTGCAAGGGGACAGGCCCATTTTCCTGGGCAACCCACTGGCAGGTCTTGAGCAGGGCCTCCATAAGGGGGGCCAGGGGCTCTTGTCCTGGGCAGGGGACTCCCCCCAGGACAGCTGGCAGGGGCTCGACAGTCTACTGAGCTGTCTGGGTGGCCCCAGGTCAGGCAGAGACCCAAGCATGGCAGGTTCCTCGTCCACCATGTCCTGGGACCCCCTGTCCTAGGCCTTGGGAGCCAGAGGCTGAGTGACCGTGGGGCCCTTGCCGGGGGAGAGCCCAAGAAATGGAACCCCACTTCCTGGTGCCCTCCCTGCTTTGGGCCCTGGGGAGTCCAGGGCTGGCCCATGAGGGTTTCTTGGCAGGGTTCCCTCCAACCCTGCCATTTTGTCTTCCAGAGAGCCCTGGCAAAGATAGAGAGGTTTGAGTTTTATGAACGGGCTAAGAAGGCTTTTGCTGTTGTGGCAACGGGGTGAGTTCCAGCTGGCTCAGACCTGCCCCATCCCCACTGGGGCCTCAGGAGCTGCCCCCATCCCCACCGGGGGGCCTCAGGAGCTGCCCCTACCCTCTTCTCAGCTTCTGCCTGGCTGAGGCTAGACGTCCCACAGAGTGGAGAGACCAGGGAGGAATTTCGGGGGGGCAGGGCCCCCATTTGCCTGAGCATCAAGTGGGTGAAGGTGGACAGGGTCTGCTCTGTCCCCCAGATGCTGAAGCAGGGTCTCGGCACCCTGGCCCTGCAGCCCAGCTCAGTGCTGGGCTTGGCTCCTCTGCAGGGAGACGGCCCTCTACGGAAACCTCATCCTCAGGAAGGGGGTGCTTGCCCTCAACCCCCTGCTGTAGGCCTGGTGAAGACCACCTGGGCCGGAAGAGGAACTGGGGGCACCCTGAGCTCCAGTACCACCACTCACAACAGGCCTCCCAGTGGCAGCTCCCAGACCTGGGCCCTGGCCAGGGCTCTAGGGGCCGGCAGTCTTGGGGTGGGCCCTGCCAATTGGGACGAGTATCCCTGATTTGTGAAAATGATGGAAAAACGTTCAGTCTCAAGAGTCCAATTCCAGCTCTGTTCTCACGCAGGCTTGTTTGGTGCTGAGCTCAAGGGAGGCTGCTGGCTCCAGAGTGGCCCCCACGTACCCTTGACGAACCTTGAGTGGGAAATCAGGCCTGGGGCCCTGGGGACTGGGCGGGGTGCCTGGTGCCCTGGGGACACCAAGGGCTGGAGTGGGGGCAGTGGCTGCCCTGGAGGCCTTGAGAGGGGTGGGGACTTCTGCCATAGCCCCTGGGCTGTGGACACCAAGGGGGTTCTTCACCGGGGTCCATTCCTTCCACCCGCAGGAGGGCAGGTGGCAGGGGCTGGCCTGGACGCTTCGGGAGGAACTGTCGGCTGGAGAGGCCTCGGTGTGGGCCATGCCCTATGCCTGTGGCATAGGTGGCCTCCCGCTGAAAGCCTCACTTGCCCTGGCAGGCAGGGGAGGTAAAGGACACGAGGTCATTTGGAGTCCAGTGCCAGGCAGAGGTGGGATGCAGGGGGTTCCTGAAAGGGGGTGCCTGGGAGGCTTGCCCATGGGATGCTTGGACTGGTCCCCAAGGATGGGGAAGAATAACCACCAGCCACTGTCCGGACCCTCGTCTTGCTCCCCAGAACTTGCTGCAGTGACAGGTACAGGAAGAAGATGGGGCAGGGCTGGAGTTTGAGGGACCAAGGGCAGGAGTGGGGATGACAGGGGCTTCCCCCAGGGCCTGGGGCTGGTGTCCCCGGGGCTCGAGGGGGCAAGTCCCAGGGTTCCAGACCCCCACTCCAGACCGCAGGAGAACCTTGGGGGTGCAGGCAAGCCCACCCCGGCTGAGATGTGGCTCCAAATCTGGGGAAGGGACCCTGTCTGGGCTTGGCTGCAGACTTTGGGGTCCTGTCCGCCTGCTGCTCCCAGATGGTAGCCAAGGCTTTCTCTGTGCTCACTAGTGGTCAGCCTTGGCCCCAGGGGCCTCGCACTTGCCTGGCCAATCACTGCTCATCTCTAGACCCGATGGCCGCGTCGTGGCCTAACATCAGCGGTGTACGAGCTGGTTGCACACACCCTCGCCCATCCCCAGGCTCAGCCCCACAGATGAGCCTCTGGGGTTAGTGTGCCCTCTCTAGCATGTTATATAAATGAAGCCATATATGAGCAAACTAAGTAAAATCACGAGAAAAAACAAAGTAATGGGCAAAACAAAATAAAATCAAGATAGCTTTAAAAAAAAAAAAAAAGCCACAAACACCAGCTTGGGCTGCCTAGGGCAAGACCCTCCTGCAACTCAGAGATCCAGGGTCTTCTACCTGCCTGGGGCTCAGGGAGTGGGGAAGGAGTTGCCCAAATCTCAGCCCTGAGCGTGTTGATCCCTCAATGCCCTCCTACCCCATGTTCTTATCAGGATGACAGGGGAGGCTGCCAAGGGAGAAGCTGGCAGCCCATCTCTGGCCCTTTTAGGACAGAACCTCAAAGGTCACTGGCCTCTCCAGCTCATCCATAAGCCAGGGTAACAGCTCTTACATTGTGGGACACCGTGGGGCACCCTTGGGCAGTTACTCTCAGCCGTTGGTGTCCTGGGAGAGCGGGGATTTGCTGGCGGTGCAAGGAGCTCTTCCACACCTGGGCAAACCCTCAGCCCCCTGAGTGGCCACACGAGGGCTGAACACGGCAGGATGAGGGACGGGTGGCCTCTCTCCCTTGCTCCGTTCTGTCTTAGCTGCTGGAGCTGGCAAATGTGTGTGGCTCAGCCCCGGGCTTGGCACCAGGTGCTTCTCTCTCACCATAGGGATGAGACTGCCACGCAGGAACCCCGCCCACATTTGCATGTGCCCAGGACACATGCGGTGTGTGAGTGACTCCAGCAGCCTGGACCTGCGCTGCAGCATTGGGCCTGCTGGGCCAGGAGGACAGGATGGGCACCCAGAGTGGGAGCTGCACAGAACGTCAGGAGGGCAGAAAGGCCATGTCCTGGGCCTGGGTCTACCCGCCCTCACCTGAGACCTGTGCACTTTCCACCTGAGCACATGCACGTCCGTTCAGCTGGGCCCTGAGCCCCAGGCACTCGGCCACCCTCCTCCCCGACCCTGTCTCAGGCTCCTGCTGTAGGGAGCCCAGGGTGGGTTCTGTTTCTCAGCTGAGACTGGTCCCAGGGTGCCCTCTGGTCCCATCCCCTAACTGCTGCCACACCCCTCACCATCCCGGTATACAAGGAGGAGGGCCTGGGGGTAGTGCAACCTTCTGGGAGCCAAGGGTCACCTGGGCCTTGTGCAGCCCTTGATTCTCCTAGGCAGGGCAGGCTGGGCCCCGGTCATCGGTCTTCTGGGGCATGTGGCCTCCCACCTGTTTGCAGGGGTTGATTGATTGATTGATTGATCGATTGAGATGGAGTCTTGCTCTGTCGCCCAGCCTGGAGTGCAATGGCACGATCTCAGCTCAATGCAACCTCCGCCTCCCAGATTCAAGCGATTCTCCTGCCTCAGCCTCTCAAGTAGCTGGGATTACAGGCACCCGGCACCATACCCGGCTAATTTTTGTATTTTTAGTAGAGACGGGGTTTCACCATGTTGCCCAGGCTGGTCTGGAACTCCTGATTTCAGGTGATCCGCCTGCCTCGGCCTCTAAAAGTGCTGGGATTACAGAGGTGAGCCACCGCGCCCGGCCTGCTGGGGTTTATTTGTCTAGCTGGGGCAGGGTAGGGAGGGTCCCAGTCCCAACAGCCTGGGCCTTGGGACAGGGCGGGGGCAGTGATGGCCCCTGGAGCCCTACTGGGGGTGGTAGATGTGGTCTTGGTCTTCCTCCGGTCCCAGGAGCACCTGGTGATTTGGCATCACCCACAACCGGGGCCTCTCCTCGCCCTGGTCCTCCTCAGGCGGAGGGTGGTACAGGCTGTCATGGTCGGGCTCGGGACTCAGGACATGGCCCAGGGTGTCCTCGGTCTCCATCCAGGCCTTGGTGCCTAGGGACAAGCACATGAAGGTATAGTCTCAGTTTCTTTCCCGAGACCCTTGGTCTGTCCAAGTCAACCCCACGAGCGGACTCTGCTGCTGTGACCTTGTGCCCACCTGGAAGGATGGGGCCCCTGCCCTGACCTCGTGGCTTCTCCTCGGTGGTCAAGAGTTTCGGCTTCTGGACAGGGAACAGCACCACCAGCTGGTCGTCCTTCTCCGGAGGCTCCACCACACGGGCGCCCCAGGCCCTGCTGGCACAGTTTGGTCAGGTCCACATGCAGGTGGGGGAGGTGGACAGAACCCCCCGCAGGAGGGTGCCCACCATCCCAGGGCAGCCACTCCAGCCCCACCACCAGCAGCCCCAGGACAAGCCTCTCTCTCAAGAGCCAGTGATGAGTGGCCCCCAGTGCTCCCGGCCAGGCTTCCACACCACGTCCCTGGGTGGCTGCGTGGGGAGCAGTGGTCAGAGCCTTGGTTGAGCAGTGTCCCAAGGGCAAGGATGTGGGGAACCTCAGGATCCAAGACTGAGCCGCCCCAGCTACAGCCACCAGCCGTGGAGCACAAGCTGCCCTGGAGGCTGTGGGGAAGCTGAGTAGGGAGACACCGTGGAGCCCCAAGCCCTCCGGCTGTGCTCTCTTCTCCCTGCATGGGGCGCTGTTGACAGATGCCCATGAGGCTGGAGTGCCCCCTCCTTCCAAAAGCTGCTGGACAGGGCTCCTCTCTGCATCTGCCCCGTGCTCTCCAGGTTCAGGAAGGGCCCAGCAGAACGGGCTGTAGCTTCAGGGAATGGGTGGTGGGGAGGTGGGGTTGGGGGGACTTACTTCTCTGGGTCCTGCTCTGAGGGCCAGTGTTTGACTTGCATCTTGATAGGGACCTGGGGGAGAGTCACAGGTGTGGGCTGGGCCACAGTCCACGCGGGTGGAGGACACCTGGGGAGAGGTTGCTCCGAGGCCCACCTGGGGCTGCATGGGGTGGAGGTGGCTGCAGGGGGTGGGGGCAGGGCCAGCTCAGCACAGCTCGAGCGTCTCTAGTGGGCAAGCCACTCTCGGGTGTTGGGATTGCAAGCCGGGATTGAGGTTGCCGGCCTGTGCCCAGATGACCAGCTGGCCTGGAATTCTGGCCGGGTCTGGGGCAGCACAGGACTGGGATGTAACCTGGCACCGTATCCCTGACCTAGCACTCCCAACCCTGGCCGTCAATGCACTGGCTGTTTTCTGCAGTGACTGGTTGGGTCTGTGTCTGCACCACCCCTTCCTGGCTGGTGCCGAGAGAACGCGGTCAGCCGCTCTGAGCCCAGCTAACCTTAGTTGTCAGCTGCTCTGAGCCCAGCCAACCTTAGTTGTCAGCTGCTCTGAGCCCAGCCATCCTCAGTGGGGCAAAGGACAGACAGGAGAGCAAAGCAGGTGACCCCAGGGGAGGACCAGTGGCTCCAGGGGAGGACCAGCACCGTGGGGGGGCTGTGCCCATGCTCCTGCGTCTCCAGTCAAGGAAGGCGTGGGCCTCCTTCCTCCCGATCCATCCCAGGTGTGCAAGACTGTGTGGCCTTGACATGGGCCAGGGAACAGGGCCCGTCCCCAGGCATAGTCCCGGCTGAGGACACCACTGTCAGCACAGACAGTGCAGCTGAGCCACTAGCACATGGAGTCACCTCTGGCCTTCAAGGCCCAGGTGAGTATCAAGGGGTGTCATCCGGGCCCTCCTCCACCTGGGTCACATGGGTTCATCTGGGATCACCTGTTCCACTTGGGACCACGTGGGTGTCATCCGGGCCCACCTCCTCCACCTGGGGTCACGGGGGCTCATCTGGACCCACCTCGTCCACCTGGGGTCATGTGGGCTCATCTGGACCCACATCATCCACCTAGGACCACCTGGGTGTCTTGAGGCCTGTCCATCTGACCCCAGGGAAGGGAAGCCTGCCCCCTCCTCATGCCTGCACAGGCATCAAGAGTCATGAGCGTACCCATGCCTCTCTCCCCTAAGCCAGCTTGGGGTTTGAAGCCAGAAGAGGGGCCCTTTGTCCACATCCCCTGCTGTAGGGGCAGAAGGTGACAACTGGAGTTGCTGCCCAGATGGGAGGGGCTCACACCTACCTTGGGTGCTGGGACTGCACCTGCCTCCCACAGCAGCACAACCACCAGGCTGGTGACCAGGAGGAGCCTGAGGGGGGGCCAGAGAGGGAAGTGTGAGGTAGGGGAAGGGGACGCCCTGAACTCCAGGCAGCACCCTGATGGGCAGCTGGGAGGCCTGGGCTGGGTTCCTCCTTGGGAGCGCAGGTAGTTTTACTGGACTGTGCTCACATGGGCCAAGACACGCAGGCACAGAACAGGGAGAAGCCCCAGGCCCACCTGCCTCCAGCCCCCCTCAGGCCAGAGCCCACAGCCCCAGCCCCAGACTCTGCTCCTCACAGTCTGGGCAGACCCCACTGTGGCAGGCACTGGTGGTTGGCTTGGAAACTCCAGAGGTTCTGCCATGCCTCTGTGCCGCCCTCCACGTGGGGACACACATGAACACACTTGCACATGGGTGTGGGTATGGGTGGGTATGGAGCAGCGAGGGCCCACAGCCCCACGCCCACAGAGCCCTGAGGCTGCACGCTGCTGCAGGCAGGGCACCTGCTGTGTCCCAGAGCTGCGGGGCCACGGCTGGGGGGCTCAGGGGTGAATGGCAGCACTATTAGGCAGGCAGGCAGGGTGTCAGGTCAGTTCGGACACGGGATGTGTGTGTTTGTGTATGTGGTGGGGGGTGTGCATATGTTGTCTGTGCATGTGTGTTTTGTGGGTGTGGACCATGTGCATGGTGGGTGTGCATGTATGCTGTGGGTGGTGTCGTGTTCGGGTGTGTGTGCACTGTGTGCTTCAGTGTGTGGTGCATGTGTATGTTGTGTGTGGTGCGGAGTGTGTGAGTTCGGGGGTGCGTGTGCTGTGTGTGTATGTTATGTGTGTTTGTGTGTGGTGGATGTGTGTGTATGTTGTGTGTGGTGTGGAGTGTGTGGGCTTGGGTGTGTGTGTGTGCTGTGTGTGCATGTATGTGTTGGATGTGTATGTATGTTGTGTGTGGGGTGGAGCGTAAGGGTTTGGGGGTGGGTGTGTGCTGTGTGCATGCGTGTGTGGTGTGTAGAGTGTGAGGGTTTGGGAGTGTGTCTGTGTGTGCGTGCGTGTGTGATGTGGTGCAGACTTGTCTCTTCAGGGCCCTGCGGGGGAGGCTTGCGTCTGTCAGGGTGGGGTGGTCTTGGGGTGGGGCGGGGCTCTGGGTCTGTACAGGGCTCAGCAGGGCTGCAGTCAAGGGTGTCTGGGGCAGGCGCAGTGGTTCACACCCATAATCCCAGCACTTTGGGAGGCTGAGGTGGGCAGATCACCTGAGGTCAGGAGTTTGAGACCAGCCTGGCCAACATGGCAAAACTCCGTCTCTACTAAAAATATGAAACTGCCTGGGCACGGTGACTCACGCCTGTAATCCCAGCACTTTGGGAGGCTGAGGCAACAGATCACTTGAGGTTAGGCATTCGAAACCAGCCTGGCCAATATGGTGAAAACTTGTCTCTACTAAAAATACAAAAAAAAAAAAAAAAAAATTAGCCAGGCGTGGTGGCAGGTGCCTGTAATCCCAGCTACTTGGGAGGCTGAGGCAGGAGAATCACTTGAACCTGGGAGGTGGAGGTTTCAATGAGCCAAGATGGCGCCACTGCAGTCCCTCCAGCCTGGGCGACAGAGCGAGACACTCTGTCTCAAAAAAAAAAAAACAAAACTTAGCTGGGGGTGGTGGCACACACCTGTAATCGCAGCTACTCCTGCTGAGGCAGAAGAATCAGTGTCTGGGACACCCTGCAGGCCTGGATTGCAGCTCCACAGGGACCTTTGCCCGTTCTCTGGGTGACTCAGCCATGGTGAGAGGTCAAAGGGCAGGGGGGATGCCCCGGACAGCCCGGGGCCGGGACCTGGTCTGGTCTGGTTCGGGGGCCCTGCTTCTCCTCAGGACCCCCAGCTGGTTCTGATGCTGGGCAGGGGCTCTTGTCTGGGCACTGGACCCCAATCCCACTGCCGTGCTGCCTGGGCCACCCCTGGTGCCCACCTCCCATGACACACAGCCTGGGGGCCTGGGATTCGGGTCACGGTAGCCCCTAGAAAGGTGGTCGGTGGTGACTGCCAAGCAGCCTGGCTGTGGGATCCCCGTGGGTCCCCTCTCCAGGCAAACGGCTCTGGGCACCAAAGGGTCCCCAAGCTACCCAGAAGCCACCTCTCTACAAGGGAGAAACACCAGGAGAGGAGGGGCAGGGAGGGCCCTGGCTTAGAGGAGGGGGAAGAGGAGGAGGGCACCTCCACAGGAGCGGGGAGAGGGGTCCCCCACACAAGGAGGGGGAAGACAGACACCCCCACAGAAGGAAGGCAGCCTCTGATTCCAGGGTCCAGCGGGAGCCCGGGTGCTTCCCTGAGCTCCAGATCACAGCTCCCAGGGTGACACCACCTCAGGGCAGCCCCTGGCTCCTGCGCCCCAGCCCCTCCCCTCCCCCAGCCCCCTTCCTTTTGGGCAGTCACAGGCCTGCTGGTTTCAGCCTGGCACCTCCCCTTTCCTTGTTCCGGGTGGGGGTCCCTGGGTGATTCTCCACCAGGCCAGGGGAACCAAGAGGCAAGTGCACTCGGGGCCACAGAGGAGGTAGAGCCTGGTGGCAGACCCCAGACCCTCAGAGGGCCCCTCCTTCTCCCTCCCACCCGCACACTCCCCTGAACCAGGCCCCCTGGAGCGCAGCACAGCTGGGCCCCCTCTGGCTAAGGGCCAGGCCTCCAGGTTTGGGTGGGGTGGGGATTGGGGCTCAGGGATGGTGGCATTACCTCCTCATGTCTGGGGTCCGCGTCTCTGTAGAGAGTGCTCAGGGAGCTGCAGTGGCTGATCCCAGTATCTGGCACCCGGCCCAGCTCCTCCTGCCCAGGCCCAGGCCAATTGGGGCTTTGTTGCTGCCGCTTGGGGCGTGTCAGGACAGAGGTCGGGGCCAGGGATCCCACCCTGGGTAGCTCAGGTGACTGGCTCTGCAGCCGCCCAGCCCACTCGGGCCTGGATCTGAGCGGGGACACCCAGCTGCCTGCTCAGGGCCTGCCACACGACTGAGGAAGAAATTTGCCTTTAAAAACATGCTTGTTGACCGGGCGCGGTGGCTCACACCTGTAATCCCAGCACTTTGGGAGGCTGAGGCAGGTGGATTGCCTGAAGTCAGGGGATTGAGACCAGCCTGGCCAACATAGTGAAACTCCGTCTCTACTAAAAATAAAAAAAATTAAGTGGGCGTGGTGGTGGGCTCCTGTCATTCCAGCTACTCAGGAGGCTGAGGCAGGAGAATTGCTTGAACCTGGGAGGCGGAGGTTGCAGTGAGCCGAGATTGCGCCACTGCAGTCCAGCCTGGGCAACAAAGAGCGAAACTCAGTCAAAAAACAAAACAAAACAAAACAACACCAAAAAAAAAAAACCTGCTTGTCATGAAGGCTGAACCGTGCTCACAACCAAGGCAACTTGGAAGGGTGTCGTGGGCAGCTGTCCCCAGCTCAGCTGAAGCACTTCCTTCCTCAGGTGGGCGTGACAAATCCCCCATCCAGCCCCAGCCCACCTGCCTGTCACACCTGCCCCTGCCCACCACCTGCGGCAGGGCGGGACCAGCTCAGCTCCACCACCGTGGAACCCTCACCCCCAACGCCACCACCTTCCCCACCCCTTCCAGGCGCTCCCTCCTGTCCTTCCTTACTGGGCACACCAGCCTGAGGAGTCTTGCACGCTGTGTGGCCAGGGCCCGCTCCACGGGGCCCAGTGCCCTCATTGCCTTTTTTATTTTATTTTTTTTGAGACAGTCTCACTCTGTCACCCAGGCTGGAGTGCAGTGGCGCGATCTCAGCTCACTGCAACCTCCGCCTCCTGGGTTCCAGTGATTCTCCCGCCTCAGCCTCCTGAGTAGATGGGACTACAGGTGTGCACCAACACGCCCAGCTAATTTTTGTATATTTAATAGAAACGAGGTTTCGCCATGTTGCCCAGGCTGGTCTCGAACTCCTGACCTAAGTGATCCGCCTGCCTCGGGCTCCCAAAGTGCTGGGATTACAGGCATGAGCCACTGCGCCCGGCCCTGACCACCTTCTTTAGCCGTCCCTGGCACACCCTGTAAAACAAAAACACAATTCCAATCTCCGCCTGACCCCACCCGACTGATGGACCCTCCCTAAGCCCAGGGCATTCCACGGTTAACCTGAAAACTAGTTCAGGCCATAATGGGAAGTGGGGGTCAGACAGGCCTCATTGTACCCGCCTCCTTTTGGAATTCAGGCAAAACTGACCAGCATTAACATTAAAACAGAGACCTTAAGACTAATAGAACAGACTCTGACAAGAAATAGTCCCTTTTATTGATTCTATCTGCATATACTTGGTCTCCACAACACCTTATCTTAACCCTGACTTTCCCTTCTATTGATTCTAGGTCTTTAGATAATAACTTAACTCTTTTGACCAATTGTCAATTGGAAAATTACTGAATCCACCAATGACCTGGACACCCGCCGCCTTTCTGGACCAAACCCATGTACATCTCCCACGTACTGAGTGATGTCTCGTGTCCCGAACATGTATCAAACCAGCTGCACCCCAACCCTCTCGGGCCACACATGTTCTCAGGATCTCCTGGGACGGCATCATGGGCCTTCCGTCACTCATATTTGGCTCAGAATCACTCTCCAAGTATTTTACAGGGTTTCACTCTTTTCCTCGACAACCCCCAGCGGGCAGCTACTGTTGGGGGCTCTGAGACCGCCGGCCTGCAGGGTATGGTTCTCCCGAAGCTGCATGTTCAGACACAATTGGAGGCCGTGCTTCCAAGGGGGTGGAGTGAGGGCCCTCAAGAAAGGCCAACTCAGGAATTTCCAACGTGACCCACAGCGTCTGAGCTATTGAGGAGGGGTCACCCGAAGAAGCCGCTGGGCTTGGGTGAGAACAGATGTTCCTCTGGCCTTCTTGCCTGGGGCTGCTCCTGAAACCACCTTTGCGAAAACCTGATAGTGAATCTGACCTAACCGACTCCACCTTGCTTCTAACCTCCAACCTGTCCTTGTTCATTCCTGGGTGTAGGTCACACCAACTTTGGGAGGATCTTAGTTTATAGTTTAATGTTGAAACAAAGATGAAAACAGCCCCTTCCTGAACAAACCCCCTTCTTGCCTGGGGACCAGACTGCCTTTGTAAAACTAACAAATTAGTCACAAGATTAGAAATTATGGTTTAGGAAACTTCTAGTGGCTTGAGGTATCGGCCGGAGCGGCCGGGTGGCGGGAGGAACCGTTACGGGAACTGAAGTTGCCGATTAAGCCTGATCAAGATGCCAACCTCCCAAAAGCACCGAGACTTCAGGGCAGAGCCCATGGGGGAAAAGCTAGTGGGGAGCCTGGCCAGGATTGGTGAAGTCCTGGGCAAGAAGCTGGAGGAAAGGGGCTTTGACAAGGCCTATGTTGTCCTTGGCCAGTTTCTGGTGCTGAGGAAAGATGAAGACCTGTTCCGGGAATGGCCAAAGGACTCGTGGTGCCAACACCAAGCAGTCCCGGGACTTCGGATGCCTTCGAGAGCATGCGATGCCTTCTTGTGATGCTCTCCAGGAAGCTCTCAATCCCCAGCCCTCACCCAGAGTTTGTAGCCGAGTCGGGACTCCTCCCCTGTCCTCTACAAAGGAGAAGATTGCTATTGTCATACTCACGTCTGACGCACTCTGGGTCTTTTGGGAGTTTTCTCCCCTAACCATTTCAACTTTTTTGGACTCTCACTCTTGCATGTCTCCCCCTTCCTTTTTCACTTTCCCTGGTGACAGTTACCAGCTTTCCTGAATGGATTCCTGGCCCCGTCCCTCACCTCCACCCTCACTTTCAGTCCATTTGATACTATTTGGCTCCTTTTTTGGCAGAACAGTCACTGTCCTTGTAAAGTTTTTTAGATCAAGAAAGTCAGTGGCTTTCATGAAAAATAAAAAAGAAATTATGTTTTAGGTGTCAGGCAGGACCGGGCGCGGTGGCTCACGCCTGTAATCCCAGCACTTTGGGAGGCCGAGGCAGGCGGATCACGAGGTCAGGAGATCAAGACCATCCTGGCTAACATGGTGAAACCCCGTCTCTACTAAAAATACAAAAAATTAGCCGGACGTGGTTGCAGGCGCCTGTAGTCCCAGCTATTCGGGAGGCTGAGGCAGGAGAATGGCCTGAACCTGGGAGGCGGAGCTTGCAGTGAGCAGAGATCACGCCATTGCACTCCAGCCTGGGTGACAGAGCGAGACTCCGTCTCAAAAAAAAAAAAAAAAAAAAAAAAAGGAGTCAGGCAGCTGGAGGCCACAAGATTCTAAGCCTCCCCAATTATTCTTAGGGAAAACATCACTATTGTAAATCCTAAGATTGGTGCTCGAGACATTTTTCGGACTCTGAACTTGGTGGAACAGCTGGTGCCACCCAGATCCATGAACTGGCTCACCTGGTCTTGTGGCCCCCACTCAGGAAGTGACTCAGCACAAGAGGACAGATTCGACTCCCTGTGATTTCATCTGCAACCCAACCGATCAGCACTCCCTGCTTCCCAACCCCTACCCACCAAATTATCCTTTAAAATTTGAGTAGTGATAAAGCTCCAGCCTCCCGTTCAGCCGGCTCCGCGTGAATTAAACTTTCCGTGTTGCAGTTTCTCTCTGCCCTGATAAATCGGCTCTCTCTGGGCAGCAAGCAGAATGAGCCTGTTGGGCAGCTACACTCCCACCCACCCCTCAGTGGCCGAGTGGCTCCACGGGGGAGGCAGCAGAAGGCCAGTGGCTCAGGGAACTGGGGTCCCCAAGGGGATTATGAGCAGTGATTGGCAGGCCAGCCCGAACTTGAATGGGGTGATCAGGTCTGGAATGAGAAAGGCACAGGGAGCCTCCCCAGGTTCCCACACAGTCCCAGCTGACCTCCCCATTCCTCTGGCCCAACACAAGTCTGTGCATTCACACTCAGGAGACGGGAGACAGCCGGTGGGAAGTAAAGGTCGGGCACCTTAAAAACTGCATCCACACAGAGCGTGGCCCCCAGCCCACCCTTGAGGCACCAGCAGAGTGGGTCCCGCGGCCTGAGCACAGCCTCCAACCACACAACCCAGTGTGACTCAAGGAAGATAGGCTTAAAAAACTGGGCGGAGACACCAGGCCACGTGCTACAGGGGAAACAAAGTCCACAGATTTCAACAAAACAGCAACAACAACCCTTGGGAGAAAATATCAGAACTCAAAATGTTTGCAATATATTATCTAAAACATCTAGTCTTTAGTAAAATGAGACGAGGTCCCCAGGCTCGTCTCGAACTCCTGGGCTCAAGCAATCCTCCCACTCAGGCCTCCCAAAGTGCTGGGACCACAGGCATGAGCCACTGTGACTAGCCTGTTGTATATTTTAAATTAACAAAAAAGAGTGGAATTAGAATGTTAGCACAAAGAAATGATACAATCTTGGGGTTATGGATACCCCAATTATCCTGGTTTGATCATTACATATGGCATCCGTGTACCCCATGGATATATATACCTATTATGTACCCATAATAATTAAAACTTTTTAAAAATTAAAAATAAAGGGCCAGGTGCAGTGGCTCACGCCTGTAATTCCAGCGCTTTGGGAAGCCGAGGCGGGAGGATCACTCGCGGTCAGGAGTTCGAGACCACCCTGGCCAAAATAGCGAAACCCCGTTTCTACTAAGAATACAAAAATTGGCTGGGTGTGGTGGCAGGCGCCTATAGTCCCAGCTACTAGGGAGGCTGAGGCAGGAGAATCGCTTGAACCCGGGAGGCGGAGGTTGCAGTGAGATGAGACTGCACCACTGCACTCCAGCCTGGTTGACAGAGTGAGACTCCATCTCAAAAAAATAATAATAAAACTAAAAAAAAGAAAGAAAAGGACTTATACCCAGAATATAAAAAGAACTCTTACAACTCAACAATAAAAAGACAAACAACCCAACTGAAAAATATTCAAAACATTTGCACAGACATTTCACCATAGATGATTTACAAATGGTGACTCCACCCTGAGAAGATGTTCAGCACCACTTGTCACTAGGGCGACGTGGACTCAAGCCACAGCTACACTCCTATAGGACGGTGTTATGGGCTGTGTCCCCTCTAAATTCATACATTGATGTCCTAACCCCTCAGAATATGACGATATTTGGAGATGGGTTTTTAAAGATGTAAGTAAGGTAAAGCAAGGTTATTAGGGTGGACCCTAATTCAACAGGACTGGTGTCCTTATAAGAAGAGATGAGAACACACAGATACGCCAAAGGGAAGACCATGTAAGGACACGGGGAGGTGTGGCCACCCACAAACCCAGGGAGCAGCCTCAGGAGGAGCCAACCCTGCCAACAGCTCCAACCCTGCCGACAGCTCCGTCTCAGACGTCAGCCTCCATCGCTGTGAGAACATGAATTTCCATTGTTGAAGCTGCCCAGTCTCTGGCAATTTGTTATGGCAGCCTCAGCTAAGACAGATGGCTAGTATAAAAAAGACAAAATCAAGGATCAAGAGTTGGTTGCTGGGCACGGTGGCTCACGCCTGTCATCCCAGCACTTTAGGAGGCCGAGGCGGGTTGAGACCATCCTGGCCAACATGGTGAAACCCCATCTTTACTAAAAATACAAAAATTAGCCA